>NC_000006.12:40666060-40969090 GCF_000001405.40 Homo sapiens | reverse complement strand
CTGGCATTCTCAGACCTGAGCAACCAGTGTGCTGACTACTCCCCCCATGAATAAATGTTTCTGAGTTTTAGTGTGAACAGGGAGAAGAGCCCAGGGCCATGGGGTGATGCAATTTGGCCATGTGATGTTGGCCTTGGAAATCTTCACTGGTGAAGATATCATCTTCCCAGTCTGTGGTCCCAAAAGCCTGCCTCCAGCAACTTGCTTCTGTGGGTCAGATGGCTGGCTCCACCACTGAGCTTGAGGAAGTTACTTAACTTCTGTAGCCTCAGTTTCTTCATCTGTGAAATGGGGAAAACAGCAGTACTTATCTCCTAGAATTGCTATGAAGGGTAAATGAGTTACTCAGTGTAAAGCACCTAGAAGAGTGACTGGTTCATGGTAAAGTGCTATAGAAATGTTAGTTCTCTGATGTTTCCTGGCCAGACTGGAAGCTTCCTAAGGTCAGGGATCTTGACTACCAAGTATAACATCACGCCCACAGGGCCTAGATCTGTAATAGAGCCTCAACTTATATTTGCCATATGACTGTTGAATGAATGAGAGTGCTTTGCAAACTGGTAAATACAAATAGGATTCTGGCAGTATTACTATTTATTATAAGTTGTTGTTGCCCTGTTTTCCTTGGGATTCTCCTATAGTTCAGAAGCTGAAGAGTACAGGAGACCTCAGGTCTGGTTCATTGGTCTGATACTTCCTGGGCTCTTCAGGGTCCTGGGGCCTTGGGGTCTTTACAATCTCAGGGACCTAGCTACTAGTAGGCATTAGACAGGGACTTAAAGACAAAGGTTAATTGAGAGGGACAAGGCAGTGGCTCAGTGTTAGAGACCTACTGCATGCCTTCATCTAGAAAACTCTTTATTTAACTGAAGCAAGCATCTGAAATTCAAAATCTTACAGGGGTCATAGAGGCAACATAACAAAATAGAGCTGGGGGATAGTATTTTTGCTGAATCTTGTTTGGGTTGTGTTGTTTTGAAACACATGCACTTAACCATATTGAACTCATGATTATTCTTCACTTGCATCAAGAATTATACTCACATTATCTCTCACTGCACTATCCTTGTGGTCCAGGCTTGCTTTTCCTAGTTCTGTTAGCGACATGAATGCAGAAAAATGTATTCCCATTGTTGGAAAAATAAGGGAACAGATGTCAAGGTAAGTGACACCTGATTCCCAGCCTCAGGTAGGGATAGTGGCACACTGGGGAGAGAGCATGGCTACCTCTTGGCTCAACCAATTGATGCCAGTCAATGATGTGCAGAGCTGTGGGACTGATGTTGCAGGAGCTTCTAATTTTTCAAGAGAAGGTAAAAATCTGGACCCTGAAGAAAACCTGTTAGAATTTACCCAACAACTTAAAAAAAAGTTTTAAATACTCTGTGAGTTAAACAAAATAATGGTGCCCTCTTCAGCCTGCAGCCTCTAGTTTTTGATTCTGCGAGAAGGTGGGGAGATAGTTCAATTCAGATGAGGCAGTGCAGAGGACTCTGAGAGCAGCTGCTTCAAAGGGAGTGGCAATGGAGTCTTCATTTGTAGGGCTGTTTTTCTTAAGGCAGTTTAAAGGATGTTGTGTGCAGTGTCTCACAGGGAACTGAGGAGCTACCTTAAGCTACTTACAAAGGACATTGTCAAGACTCAAACCCAGGTCTTCTGACACCAAGCCAGGGACCTCGCTTACACAGAGTTCCCAGGTATTAACAAACCTAGTGTTGTTTGTGAGATGAGAGGCTGGTGAAAACATGGGTTTGGTCTGTCTGTCCCCTGCAGGATGTGTGATCTTGGACATGCCACTTTCCTCTGAGCCATGTTTCCCCACCTATATAATGGAAACAGCAATAAAACCTATTCCTTCCAGGGTGGTTTAAGAATTACATGAGACAATGTGAGAAAATAGCTTTACTGAGAACTTGACACGAAGAAAATGTTCAAGCTTCCGTCACTGTGCGGCTCCCAGTGCCTGAATGTTGTGTGCCAGTGGTATGCGGAAATGGATCTTGCACACTGGCTGGGGTTGGGGAACCCATGCCTTCCCTTAACAAATATTTACTGGGGGCCTATTATGTTCTAGGCACAGTCCCAGGTACTCAGGAGACAGTGGTGAGTAAATGGGGGCTGATCTATGCCCAATGGGACTTAAAAATCCAGTAAGACAGGCAACCATTCATCAAATACCTCACAGAAAAGATATCACAACACAAAGATTTCCTGACAATGTGACAACATTTGTGAAGGAAAACCTAGGGTGTTTATAGAAGAGGGATCGGAGAGGTCCTGACCCCTCCTTCATATATATAATATATATATAAATAAATAAATATATATTCATAAATAAATAAATAAATAAATATTCATATATAAATAAATAAATATTCATATATATGTATATATAAATATATATAAACAAATATATTCATATATGTGTGTGTATATATATATATATATACACACACACACACACACACACACACACACACATTCTGGGGTAAGATATATATTTACATTCTGGGGAAGTGACTCCTACATTGAGACCTGAAGAATGAGGATCAACAGACTGGACACAGAAATAGGAGCCTCATTTTGTCCACGTTGTTTGTGATGTCTTGAAGCCTCTAAGTGCTGTGCCAAGCAGGTAGCTGACTGAATAGAGAGCTCCGCAGAGAGGTGCTGAGCTGGAGATGGAAATGTGGGAGTCATCATCACACAGGTGGGCCCTAACCTATGAGACTGGCTGAGCTCGCCTAAGGAGTGAAGAGCTGGAAGGAAGAATCTCAGACAAAAGAAAAAGAGACCTGGTCCCTCCTCCTGGGGGAGCTTGTCATGCAGTTGCAAAGTGGGGACCCATACTTGGAACATGGCTAGAATCAGGCTGAAAATTGGCTCTTTCCCCCCATTTCTCCTACTCTCAAACTATTACCTAGTCTTTAGGGTCCAGTTCCAATGCCTTTTACCCAGTCACCCCATGAATAGAGCCTGCTTTTCTGGCAGTATGTGGTTTGTTCCTCCTCATCTAAGTGCACACATAGTGCATGCATTGTAACTACTCCTACTTCCAAACAGGTCTTCTTGGTCCTCTTTGAAAATTCAGAAAACAAAATGTCATGAATGTAATGAAAAGGATCTTTCTCTGGTGGGTAAAAATCTTAGAGTGACTTTAGATGAAATTTCCACCATTCTGGAAAACCCATCCTCATGGTCTGGGCCTGGAGATTTGGAGGGTCGCAGATGAGAAAATGTTACAGCTGGAATCTAGAGAATTTCTGGATAAGAACAACCTCTGCTTTTATTCTTGAAGAGACTGATTGAGGCTCAGAAGTTTTAGGAGGCTTTCCCAAAGATATATGACTGCATCAGGGTCTAGGCCACAGTATACCCTGGATATTTTGCTGAAAACGAAAAGCCCCAGAATTTTTCTTATGATTGGCCTGGTTCTTCCAAATTAAACTAGGTGGGAGAAGTTACTAATAAAGAATTCTGGTTAGTTGGCAAGCAATGATTAATATGCCAATGTTCCTCAGTTGATCGTGAGTGTGAATTCACTTTGTTTGATCGCGTAAGTTCCTTGAAGCCCTTCACTTGCACCTTATTTTCTCATAGTACCTCAAGACTTGCCAGGCACATAGTAGGCACTCAGTAAAGAACTGCTGAATTAAATGATGCTTGCACCCACATGCACATCTCATCCTCCAAATTCTTCCCTAATGGACCGTGGTGACATGCTTTAATTAAAAGACCGCTATTAAAAATGGAGCCCTGATGAGTAAACATGGTAATATGTGGTGGAGGGAATGATTCACTAGCTTCCAGCCACCAAAGTTTAATTAATCCACTGTAATACCATTTAATGTTATTGGATACTCACCACAGGGGAGAAGCTGGGCCTCTGCAGGGAATGTAAAGAAAGATAAGGACACTCAGGTTTCTAGGATTCTCATTGGCTGAAGCCCAGAGAGGAACATTTCTCCTTCAACTGCTTCCTTGGTCTAATAACTACTCATTGGGTACTTTGGGTTCAATATTTGCTATTTCTGCAAAGTCTGGCTTTGAATGCACCATTGGCACCACACTCTACCTATAGAACCTGCTTTGTTTTCTTCTTTCTTCATCCACTAGTCTGTCATTATTTCCATCCTTCCATCTGTTATATCCACCCATCTATCCATCCAGTCAGCTTGGAGTACCTTTCTTTTGTGCCAGGCACTGTTTAAAGGTAAGGTCCTAGACGATCTGGTTGTCCCCTTCTTCAGTTCCTACCACCTTCTTTTTCACTCCGCTGAGTGTCACACCAGCCTTCCTGTTATTCCCTAGGGTCTTTGCATTGACATTCTCTTTGATTGAATTCCATTCCACCAGATTCTTACATGGCTTACTCCGGTATTTCATTCAGGCTTTTGCTCAAATGTCCCCAGGAGTACTGCACTTCCATTATGCTATCCCCTTTACCCTGCTTTCTTTTTCTTTGAGCCACTTATCACCACTTGAAATTATAGCATTTATTTATGTGTTTATTGTCTAGCTCTACTTTTAAGATGCAAGTTCCTTGAAGACAAGGATTTTCTTTATCTTTGATGCTATATTCCTAGCACCTTAAAGATAGTCCAGCACAGAGTAAGTGCTCAGTAAGTATTTGTTGAATGACAGAATGATAATGGCCTTAATTTTGCCCTTGAATGCTTTACAGTATATTTAGGGTGACAGAAATAATATTTAAGAAGATAAGTAAAATAAGGTGGCCAGATGAATGGTTTCTGACCATCAGAAGACAAGATGATCATGTTTACTTGGAGGGGGGATTTCTTGGAAGGCTGGGAGCACTTAGATAAGGGTGATGTAGTAGATAACATGCCTGCCCCACCCACATCCCCCCATACCACCTCCAGGTTCACGTGCATCTGCCATAGACAGTGACTGTGCCCACTAGCGCTTCCCACTCACCTGCTCAGGGTTTTGGATCTCTGGGTTTTTCTGGTACTATGGGAGTTTGCTCAGCTTAGGTACAGGGTGACCCAGAGGGGTTGGAAATTAAAGTCCCCAGAGGTCAGTAAATAAATATTTCTGCTTCCCTGTCCAGCACCGGGACAACTCAGAGGCATATTCTCTGCAGTCACTCCTGGGGGGAGTGAGTCCAAGTGTCCAAAGCAGTAACCCCCTCATACATGTGCCCTGTATTGGCTTTTCTCCCTTCCCTGTCTCACTTCTCCACCTCACTTGGTGTCTTAGGCTCACCTCTTACATAAACCACCAGCACCTACGATCTTGTCTCAGGGTCTGCCTTCAGGAAACCCAAACTAAGACAGTCAGTGTGGGGAAAGGCTATTCCAGATACCATGAAAAAAGTCAGTAACCTGTAGATTTCCCTGGGGCCCTGACTGTCCAGCAGTCTGAGCCCCTGCACCTTGCTGGTGCCATTGACCACTTACTCAAGTGAGGGGGAGCCTTTGATCCCTGGTGGCAAGGGAGGCAGCAGAGTGCAGGGAAAGGGTGGGGGTCTAGGAGTCAAGAGTCCTGGGTTCTCTCTGGGCTCTGCCACTAATATGCTGTTTACCCAAGGGGCAAGTCCCCTCTCTGGTTCTTAGTCTTGTCATTGGCCCAGGGAGGTGTTTGTGCTGTCTCATCCCTAAGCTTCCATGTTGCTCTGAGATGCCACACCAGCTCCATGGTTTGCTTTTCTTCACTTCTCTTCCCTCCCACTCCAATCATCTGTATTTGCCTCTTGGTCTATTCCTGCAAAGTCCCCATGCTGGGCCTAGTTTTGGAGGTCTGGATGGTAAAATACCCAGCGTTAGTTTTCTCTAGTAAGGAAAATTGTTTTCTCTACGCCTGAGGTGTCATTATTGTTAATAATGATGACATCAGTCTACCTCATCAGGACCTGTGAGTGCTTAACTAAGAAAAATGCTTTTGTCATTGTTAGTAAATATGAAGTGTGCCTACTCAATCAGAATGACACCTCCAGACGGGTGAGTCCATTCCTTTCCCCACACCCCAGCTACTCATTTGCAAATGAGCCCTTCTTCAAATGACAGTGTTTATTTTTTATTGATGTTTCAGCACTTTGACAAATACATTTTTCCATGAAGAGAAACATAATTAACTTAAGTCATTTATATTAATCACAAGGGGGGAAAGTCATGCAAAACAGGGGTAATTTTGTACTGAACAAGGCACGATATCTAATGAATATAGATGATGCTGATTTATGTGTTTATCCAAAAAGCATCAGTGGGGGAAAAAAAAGCCAACACCAAACCTCATCCCACTCCCACAAAAAAAACAACAAAGAAATAGCCTTCAAGGTCTGTTTAATGAGGCTTCCTCGTTTGGTGGCATCCTGCCCACAGATTGAAAAATAAAATGACTTTTCAAGTGTTTATGGAGCTTGAAAAGCCAGAGAAACTCCTTCCCAGCGTGGGTGCCCTCTGCATGAATTCAGGGAAACTGGAATTACTTATTTCAGCAAATTCAGGCTGATGAGGCCCAGTCTACACAGGTGGGCTGTCACAGACTCCTTCCCATGGAAGGTTCAGGAAGGATTCTGAGGTCTGTCATTGCAGGATGTGGTCAACAGAGTTCTGGCCACAGTAGCTCAGATTCCCCAGCTGTGTCGACCAATGGAGGTGGATCCACTTGATGGAAGGTTGGAATGATTCACCACTGTGAGTATGAGTGGTAACACTTCCTGTTTGTGTAGTTCTCTCTACCCTACACTTGTGAGTAAACTAATTGGCTGGGGCTCACAGAAACAAAGAAGAAAGACTCAGGCAAGTGGGAGGAGACAAGGAAGCACCCTAGGAACATCATGAAGTCACAGAATGTTCGAGCCAGAAGCCCATACCTGGCACAAAACTCACCTCCTCATTTTCCCACTGAGGAAACTAAAAACCAGAGAATGAGAACAGTTGGCATTTGTTGAGCATTCGCTTTGTGTCGGGCCCTGTTCTAAGTGTTTTTTGTGTTTTAATCCTCACAATAATTTTATGAGATAGGTACTATCATTATACCCATTTTACAGACAAGGAAACCAAGGCTCAGAGAAAGAAGGGTACTTTCGCAAGGAAGGTCCCACAATAGGAGACTGGCTGGACTGAACCAGACTTTGGTCTTTCCAAACCCTTCATCCAGAGCGGAGGGAAGCTGGTCATTTGTATGAATGAAACACCTGTGGGAGCTTTTATGCCAGACTTTGGAAACTTTTTAAGAGCTCATACTGTCTCTTTTTGTTTTATGTGGTCTGTTCCCTTTGCTGCCACTAGCCATAAACATCCCTACAAAATCTCAACAGACTGCAAGCTTGCCTCAGGGACACAGAGGTGATGGTTTAATGAACTACGAGATGATACTCCAGGGGATCTGGGTTGGGATTATTAGGCGGAGGGAGTGAATGTGTGTCGGCAGAGGACCTAGTGCCCAAGGGTCCCAGAAGAACAGAGAGGCCTGCCCTGGAGCTGGTCTGGGACCTTGCAGGGCCTTGCAATAGCAGCCACTGCTCATTTTTTCTGGTGGAAAAATTGAGGCAGGGCAACCTGTTCCTGTCCACTCAGGTTAGTGGTGAGCCCTGCCTACCTGAATCCTTTGCCTAGTCACGATTTTTCCTCCACTCCAGGCTCTCAAATATTAGACAGTAGTCCTGAGGGGCATTGAACTCTGGAGCCAGAGTGTCTGGATTTGATTCCTGCCTCTGCCACTTAATGTGTGAACTTGGAAGAGGCCTCCAACCTCTCTAGGCTCAGTTTCCTGTACCTCCACCACCGGATGGCTAAGGATTAAAGAGCTCGATGTATGCTAAGGACTTAGAACAGCAGAGCAGCATATGTTAGCATCAGCCATTGTCACTATTATTATTGGAAACAACCCAAAGCCCGTGAGCACTCACCTCCTCATCAGTGACCACATACAAATCTTAAGCAAACACCAGATTTGGGCAGGTCTAGGACACTGGGGAGGGCAGGCAGGTGTCTGGTTCAGGGGCAGGCTGCAGCCACATCTGCCTGCATGCACACTGAGCCTCCTGCCCACTGACCAGGCTGCAATTTGTCTCTTGCCTGGTCTGCAGCTCCCTGCACATGCCAGGCCAAGAGCGGGCGCCGGTGCCAAGGCCCCATCTATCCTCCACTGCCTGGATGGTGGGGCTGGAGAGCGCATCTGTCACTGTCTCCGGTGGCATGGATGACTGGCATGTCATCTTTGACAAATGTCTGTGCTGGCGAGCTCTGTGCGGCTGTGGGTACTTACAGATGCCGAAAACTCACAAACACAGAAGGGCTGCTCCGCACGCTGGCAAACATAAATGAGGACTAGGGCAGCTATGGATTGGAAGGCGGGGGAAAGGAGGCAGCAGAGTGCAGGACTTGGACTGGGAAGACCTGGGCTCTGCCTCTCACCATATCCTCTCTCTGCACCAGGGTTTCATTGCCCATAAAGTGGCCATAAAGGTCTCTGCCCTGTCTTCAGTGATATCATAGGAATCAGTCATAATTTTCATCATACTATTGGCAATGATAGCTGCAAACCCTTATCAAACACCTGCCTTGGGTCAGGCACTTACACATACACACACTTCCTCACCAAATTCCCACAAGCACATTTTACAGATGAGGAAATGGAGATTCAGGAAAGCAACTTGTCTGGGGTCACATAGCAAGTGTCGGAGCCATCTTAGGACACATAGGACACACCTTAGGTGCATACTGTAGGTCAGGGGTCAACAAGTTTTATCTATAAAGGGTCAGAAAGTTGATGTTTTATGCTTTGCAGGCCTATGATCTCTTGCATCTACTCACTGCTGCCCTTGTTTTTTGCAAATCAGTCAATAAATAAATGAATGTGGGTGTATTTCAATGCAATGTTATTTATAAAAACAGTTGGTCAGCTAGATTTAGCTCTGAATCTCTCAGGCCATAGTTTGCTGACCCCTGGTCTAGGCTTCCAAATCAAAGGAGGTGATTATGAGACAGGGCTGTTTACACTTCTGACAGGCAGTATCTGGTATGGTTCACGTCATGGACTTGGGAGCCAGCCTGCTTGTGTTCCATCTCCAGCTGGGTCACTTATTGGTTGTGTGATCCTGGGCCAGTGACTTAACAGCTCCATACCTCAATTTACCCATCTGTAAAATGGGACTAACAGTACTGTTTAGACCCCAAGGTTGTGAGGGTTAAATGATTGATCATGTAAGGAGCTTGGAGTAGTGCCTGGCATTACCATCATGAGCGCTGGGTAGATGTCACCTATGATCACATGCCAGGGGATTTTATCTGCAACACCTGAGAGTCTGATGCTCATTTAGATGATGAGGTGGGCAAAAGCTCCTGGCTCAGCTCTCCTGGTCGCAGCTTTCTTCTCTCCTCCTGCCACCAACACAAATTCTTTGTCGGGGAAGTGCCTGCCTTATCATTTGTTCAGCATCTCAGTGGCAGTCCTAACCCCCTAGGATGCCAGACATGGAAGAAACCTTAGGGCCTAGTCTGCTTCTTACAACCATACGGACCCTGAGGTCCTTGTGACCTTGGCAAAACATTTTGCTTCTTTGCACTTTAGTTTCCTTATCTGCTTTTTTTTTATTTTTAATTTTTTCATTCCTCTTAGCTCATATCTAAAGTTTCATTATCTGTGAAAGGGGGATGATAGTAGAAGCACCCACCTCACATGGGTAGAGAGGTACATCGATGTTTATGTACAAAGAGCCTGGCACAATACTTGGCAGAGAGTAAACGCACAATAAACATCAACATCTTTATGAGGGGAACACAAGGGAGGGAATAAGAGGCCACAAGGATTCCTGAAATCACTGGGAATCCTGTAAGAATAGACTTCGAACTCCTATCCTGTAGATATTTGACAGGAGATGTGGTTCAGACACTAAGGGGAACGTGACCTTCTTCTGTGGTCCTAAACTAGTTAGATCTGAGGCCCTAGCAGTAATACATATATTCTCTTACCGAATCTTCCCCAGAACCCCACAAAGGTTTTAGGTGGAACCTATGAGACTGCCAATATTCAACAATTTTTAACCTACAAAGACACTTTCATGTGGTTTACTCTAATGTTATCATTATCATTTCTACTTTCAGATGACAGGCTTAGAGGGGTTAAGCAGCTATTTGAAGGTCACACAGCCTGTTTGTGGAGAGTGCTTTGGACAAACCAGGACTATATAATTCCAAAGCCTATATGAGAGTTCCCCACATGGTCAGAAAAACAAAAAACCACAACAGCCATTGCAAATTCAACTTGAATGAGGTAGCCTGTACTGATGGCTGAGAAGCAGTAGCTGCCTGAGCATAGAGGAGGAGGCTGAATAGGGTTGGTGGGGGCAGAGTTCCACTGAAGAGAGATCCTAGGGTCGGTCAAAAGACCCAGTCCTTAATGCTCTGACCTATCGGTGGCAGCCACTGTCATTCTGCCATTCTAACATTCTATTCAAGGAATGATTTCAGCAAGTATCCCCTAAAGGGCAGGTACTTAAGGTGTTCATTGGCAGGACTCAGGAGCTCTTGAAAGACAGGGACTCCCCTCTCATGTATCTTGTAAACACCTTACTGTTTCCTGACATATGGTCAGTTGTAAAGGTTTTAGCTTGTTACATAAGGGACTGCTCATCCAGACAGAATTTTGGGGAGGGAGAGACAGGGGTGCTGTTTACCAGGTTTTGCCCAATATGGGCATGAGAAAACTAGCTCTAATAGTCACATAGAGTTGATCCATCCAGGAATCTATGAGTCACAATTCTTAGGGTGGGCCCTTTAACTTTGGATTTTATGAAGATGACAAAGGGATTTGTTGATGAGAATGTCTGGAATTTCATGAGGTTGCATGTAGGTATCTGGTACACATGCACATACAACAGACTGATGAGGACATGGAGAGTTGTGATTTTCATCTCCAGGCCTCCCACGCTAAGGAATTAGGGATAATTATTAACCAGAAGGGCTAGGATGTTGGCACTGTGGTCTGGGCTGAAGCTCTGTGCTGGGACATTAACTTCCAGGACCCTCCTGCCTGAGCCGCAGCCACTGCTTACCTATTTACTCAAACACTCACTAAGGGCCCAAAGATCTGGGTCTCTCAGTAGATTCCTAGGGAGGGCTGCCTGTCTCCAACACATTGCAAAATTCTGACACTGGTTGGGAATTGCCACAGCTCTGGTCTCCAATTAAAGAGCACCGAGGCTTCCTTCTTTCTGTGTGGACCAATGAGACTTTGCTCTGGCATTTCTATCTCTGCTTACAGGAATGATAAAAGTCATCTCAGTCCTATTTACTGGGGTGAAGGTGGTTCTTAGAATCCAGACCAAAATTAGAGTCCCTATTTGTGGAGACCAGGCAGTTCCTGTGAAACCCATTATGGTTGGTGCTGCGTCCTTCTAATTCCCTATGACACTCTGGTTTCAGTACACACAGACAGTGTCCTACTGGAAACACCTGCTGGTCTCTGCTGGAAGGCTTTCTCTGGCCTCAGGAGATTGGTCAGCTTAATAAAGGGACAAACTGGAAGTGCCTGGAAGTTAAGGTTTGTGGGAAGAACACTCAACAACAAAAGAGAGTTAGTGGATAAGTACCTCAGTTTCCTTGCCCCTTGGTGGGACAACCCTGAGATACATTCTGTACAGCCTCCTAGAGTAGAATTGAGCCTAATTGCTCACAGTGGTGATCAGTTCACTAATACATTCATTACCTGTCTTGCTTCCTCATTCTCCTACTGGTGCTTCCTGGGTTCACTTTCTAAATAACTACTTGCAACCAAATCCTTGTCTCAGGATCTGCTTCTGGAAAACCCGATTAAGACATCCCTTAAACACCCCTCCCTCTGCACCCAGCAGTCTATGCATACTTGTTCATTGATTGGGTGATGCTCCACAAATAGCCAGCAGACAGCTTCCTCTCTCTTGACTAGTCTGTTTTCTGTAGTTTAGGGCTTTGGGATTTGTGAATCTAGAGAATTTTAGTCAAACTTGCTTATTCTGCTACTTGAGCAAGGCTTAAGCAAAACCATATTACTCACTGCTCAGTGAGTTTCCCAGTGAGCTCCCAGGAGTTCTTCAAGGATGGATGAATGTGGTGGGGCAGGGGGAGGGGCAGGGAATTTACCTTCACTTGTATCTGGAAACAGTGAGGCTTTGGGTTGAATGCCAGTGTTCTACTCTGCGAGCTCCCCTGTTGCTGTGGTCTCTTGGTGCAGTGTTGTCCCAAAGACTGCATGGAGCTTCTTCATTGCCAGCCCAGCCGTCAAGTGATGAACATTCCAGAGCTGGTGAGATTGCTCTGGCACTTCTGTCACTCCTCAGTCAGAAGCAGTGTGATCTGTGAATCTTGAAGTTCAAGGTCTAGCTCTGCCTGTGACCTGGTCCCTGAGGTCCTGACTTGTGTCCACTGTCTCCTGTCCACCTTCACTAGATGTTGAATGGCATCTTGAATAAGATGCTCAAACAGAGACCCATTCTCCTGTGGTATCCTCCAACATGGCTAATGGGAAACGTCTTCCTTCTAGCAGCATGGGACAAAAACCTTGGGGTCATTCTGACTCTGTTCTTCTCACATCTTGCATTTGGTCCTTTAGTCAATACTGTTGCCTTTACCTCCATAATCTGGCCAGACTCTGTGTGATTTCCTCTTCCCACCTCCACTACTGCCTCCTTGGTTCAAGCAACCATTATTTCTTGCCTGGATCTCCTACATGGACTCTTTGACTTCAGGCTTGCCAACTGTCTGTCTATCCACAGCACAGCAGCCAACTAAATCCTAAGTCAGAGCTGTTCCTTTTCTGCTCAGAGCCCACATGGGCTCCCATCCGACTAGAGTCAAGGTGAAGTCTCTACAAAAGAACTTCTCCCTCATACCTCGCACATCTCTGACTTAATCTCCTACAACTCACCTCCTGGCTACCTCCTCTCCAGCTACACCATCCTCTGCTTTTCTTCCGGCGCCCCAGCATGCCTTGTCTTAGGGACTCTGCACTCACTGTCCCCTTTTCCTAGAATATTCTTCCCCCAGAATAAGCTTCACCTCCTTGCGATCTTCACTCTAGTGTGACCCTACTTAAAGCTGCCTCTACCTCCAAAGCACTGTCTATCCCCTTGTCCAATTTATTTTTCTCTCCTGTACCCATTGCCATCTGGCATTCCATATACTTTGCTTGGTTATGTTGGTAATAACTATCTAGAAGGTTTGGCAAGTGGTAGGTGTTTGAACTGTGTTTGCTGAGTGAATGGATAAAGGCATGTATGATTAAACTGTGATCTTGAATAAGTCATTCTCCTTCTCTGGACCTCAGGATCAGGCACAGGCCACTTGAAGTGATTTTAAGGCCCTGTTCCTTCTCTTGCTCTCTGGTTACAAAGAGAGGCTCACTCTAAGAAAACCAAAGATTTCCCCAGCATTTGTCAGCCACGTCAGGAATGAGTTTCTGGCTTTCTCAGCTGAGGAGTGATTAAATGGGATAGAAAAACTGGACGGGGTCGGAGGTATATTTATCCTGTTCATCTGTAGGAATGGATAGAATCAGTGACCCCTGAATCCACCACTGGGGGCATGTGAGGTCTGTACTTACTGGCCCCTTTATCTAACTTGCTCTAATTTTGAGTGCCTATGACAGTTTTCTCTGTGCTCCAGACTGGTGTGTGTGTGTGTCTAAAAGTACCCAACAGCCTAATGAATAAGGACTCAGCAATATGAGCCAATGTAACAATGGCAACAAGAACGCACAGCCCCAACTCTCCAGGCTGCACCCAGAACCTCGGTCCCAGACATTTCAGGCATCCCGACCACTCCCCCAACAGCTGAGGGTCTGCACCGACCACCTGCCATCACGGCATGTGGCTCCTTCTCTCTGGGAGTGGGGCTTGCCCCTCTCTACACAGCTCTGACTCCAGGGCAGCAGCGCTAGCCTGAGCCCATACCAAGCATGGGGCCCTACCCTCCCATGTGTGCCCAGGCCCGGAGTGGAGGCTTCCCTGCCAGTCAAGGTACATGGTTCTTCCAGGGCTGGGCTGGGGTCCAAGGGGTTGTTGTGGAACAGTCTGTGTCTTCCCATCATGGTGGGCATGTCCAGGGTCAGGGTGAGGCTGGTGGCCTCCCCATTTGCTCTGGTTGGGTTGGCAGTGCTCCATCCTGCTAAGCTGGATAACTGCAAAGCCCTCACTGGCCACCCACCTCTAATCCTTCCTCCACACGGAAGCCAGAGGAATATTTTCAAAGAATAAATTCTATAATTCCACTGTCCTGCTCAAAACTGCTCAGTTGCTCCCCATTGCTCTTAAGACAAAGTCCAATCTCAATAGCATTGGCTCAGCATATAAGGCCTTTCATGAGCTGGCTCCTGGCTACCTCTTAGTCCTGCTATGCCATCCTCTCGTCCACACTGGGTGGCACCAGGCCTCTGTTCTCCGTGCATTCATGAGGTTCCATCAGCCTATTCCAGCACCATTCACACTACACTGCTATCACGTGCTTCCTCCTCTGGACCATGCACTCCTCAAAGGCAGGAGCTGGGTGAAATCTTTTAAAATTGTTGACACTCGGCACAGTGCCTTGCTCATGGTACAGCTCAGTGTATGTGTGTGTTTGCACATGTGTCTGTGCATATTCATGAAAGGAATGGATGAAGCCCAGCCCCATAAGGTTCAGGATATCAACCTGTTTTCCCTCTCTCCATTTTTGACCTCCTGTAGGTGGAAGTGGCCAGGGAGGACCCTTTGATCCCCTCTTCCACTTTCACTCTGAGGGCCACTGGCTGCCTGCTACTTACCTCTGATACCTGGCTGCTACGATTTCACTGGCTTGTCTTTTCCTCCTTACTCTCCCATCTTTACGTAGCTGGTGTCTCCCTTCCCCTCCCATGCCCATCCATGGGACAAAATGGCCTCTTTTCTACATAGGTCTGTAGCAGACACAGGTGGTGCTTTGTCACCAACTGACTATGTGGCCTGGGCAAGTCACTTAACATCTTTGAGTCGCAGCCTCAGGGAGGCCATCCAAGGCCCTCAGATTGGGCATTGCACAGTGCTACAGACTATGTAGTCTATTGAATAACGCTCCTGGGTCAAGCAGTGTAGTGACCCAGCTCATGTACTTCTGATCAAAGTGGACATGCTACTGTGTGGGATGACAGATTTGGTGATAACACAGTGCCTAGCAACTGAGCACATGATAAGTGCTTGGTTAAGTGGTAGTCTTTAAAGTGGTTTTGTTATCATTATTATTACCATCATTATTGTTACCTAATGAATGCTTGCCTCCCTTTCTTCTGACCCACACAGTATAATTGTAGCTTCCCTCTGGGGTGGTGGGAAGTCGAGGATGTTAGTCTTGCATGCCATTTCTCCAGCTGGGTGGTCATATCAGCGTGGATTGCTTTGTCACATGGAAGATATCACTATTGCCTGCCACCGATGGGGCAACCATGGCTGTACTTCATTTCCTGTTACTGCCTTGGTTGAAATGAAACACATGCACATAAATGCACACTCAGAGAAGAACCATCTGTCTTTAATCAAGCTCTTCAGTGACAATTGTAGCATACAGGATTGGCAGAGGGGCTGGACAATGGGTTCTGTGCCCTCTAATCCAGTAGACTTGTCCCCTTGGACCACGCAAGAGAAAACCTTGGTGCCTATTCTTTTGAGATGGCCCATGATGAATATTCCTTATGTTTCCAGAGTGTCCCATAAATATGCCCCCTTCTTTCCTCATGTAACCCCCCTGCCCCAGTCTTGACCTCGCAGGTTTCAGGACTCTCTACCCCTCCAAGCAGAAGGTTTCTCTTCTCCTGACTTTGCACTTGTACAAACTTGAAGTAAGTGCCCTTTAAATTTTGCACCCTGGATGCCTCACTTGCCTCATCCTCATCATGATCATGCTTCTGTCTTATAAGTTTTCATCACCCTGGCATGGTCTGTGAATCAAAGCCATTCTCTCACTTGACATTTCTTAGGCAACAGCTGTTTTTCTCCCAAAGAATTGGGGGAGAGCATTGAGCCCAAGGAAAGAGGGTGTCTTAGCTCCAGCCACTATAACAAACATATCATACACTGAGTGGCTTAAGCAACAGACATATATATATTTTATTTTATTTTATTTTATTTTTGAGATGGAGTCTCGCTTTGTCTCCAGGCTGGAGTGCAGGGGTGCAATCTCGGCTCACTGCAACCTCCTTCTCCCGGGTTCAAGTGAGTCTCCTGCATCAGCCTCCCAAGTAGCTGGGATTACAGGTGCCCGCCACCATGCCCAGCTAATTTTTGTATGTTTAGTAGAGACGGGGTTTCACCATGTTGGCCAGATGTTCTCGATCTCTTGACCTTGTGATCTGCCTGCCTCAGCCTCCCAAAGTGCCGGGATTATAGGTGTGAGCCACTGTGCCCAGCAACAGACATATATTTTTTACAGTTCTGAGGCCTGGGAAGTTCAAGATCAAGGAGTGACAGATCTGGTATCTGGTGATGGTCCTCTTCCTTGTTTGCAGACAGATGTCTTCTTGTTGTATCCTCATATGGTGGAGAGAAGAGACAGAGGCAGCAAGCTGTCTCTGTCTCTTCCTATAAGGGCACTAATGCTATTCATGAGGGCTCCACCCTCAGGACCTAATTACCTCCCAATGGCCCCACTTCCTAATACCATTTCCTTGGGGTGAGAATGTTAACATATGCATTCTAGGGGGACACAAACATTCAGTCTATCACAGAGGGGAAGGAACCCCTTCTGGTGCTCCTTTATACTGTGCTCCAGTTGGAATTTTTCATTTTCTTGTCCCTAAGTGTCTAAAAACAGGTACACCATCGTACACCACAAGGGCTGGTTTCCCTGCCAAAAACCTTATCAGATCTGCATAGGAGAGTCACATCCACTCTGCTGCCATTCCTCTGACCTTATTACACTTCAAATTGAGGGTGCATCAGAAACATAGATAGCTGAGCTCCACCCTTCTGAATTTCTGAGTAGGTAACTCTGTGATGGGTCACGATAATTTGCATCTTACACTTTCCAGGGGATGCTGATGCTGCTAGTCCAGGGACCACACTTTGAGAACTACTGAGCTTAAGAAACCTTTGCTCCCTTCCCTCAGACTTGGGTTAAATAACAAAGTCTTTTTTCATTAACTTGAAGGGAGAATTCCCTTGACTTCAAGGTGTATGTTGTTGTTGGTGCTGGTGGGAAGTGAAGAAGGGTAGTTTCCCTACATTTTTATAATTATAATTGGCACACAGAAATGTTAGCTATTTATGAGCCCTGTAATGAAAAAGGCATTGTGCACACATATGACTAGGATGAGATTTTTGCATTCAATAAAGTGCAAAAAATATCATACATTATCATTACTGGGCTTTGTGGTTTATAAAGAGTGTCTGCATGCATTTTCTAATTTGATCCTTAGAGAGACCCTATGAGGTGAGCAAGGCATACATCATTGCCCTCTTCTACAGGTGAGGAATCACAAGGGGAATTCACTTTTTACTTGTTTGCTGTGTGCCAGGCACATCACACACAGCAGCTTGTTCAGTCCTCACAACCACTGTCAGAAATGGGGATCATTACTTATCACGGAGATCAGGAAGCTGGAGGCTGAGAAGCTGAATGATTTGTCAAAGGTTATGCATTTAATTAGCGGCAGAGCCAGAACTAAAATAAATTTCTCCTGACTCAACATTCAGGGCTTTTTCTAAGACACCACATTTTTTGAAATTTATAACTCATCAAGTCGTTGTAACGAAAGAGAATCTTGTTGTTCCTTCAGATTCTGTCTTTCCTTCCCTCTTTGAGTTCAATGTTTTTCAATCGCGTTCTCAGATATTTTGTGACACAGAATCAAGACACAGGGGGGAGAGTTAGAACCAGAGAGGCTAAGGTGAGTTATGGTAAGAAAGAGGGAGTGAGTGGAGGGAGGTGGTTGGGGAATGCCTGCTGGGCTGAGTGAGTGTTGAGAGTTTTGTGGGTTTGACAAGTGAAGGGCCCCAGAGCGGTTGCCAGGTGGGGATTGTGAGAAAAGAGAAAGGAATTTCACAGTTTGTCTGTGGAATTTATATAGGATCTCTGTTAATATTCTTTAGGAGCTGCAGGAAAATTGAAATAAATGCAAAATTACTTTTGGCAACTGGACTGTGCTCATTTATATGTGATGCTGTGCAGAGAATGGGTCGCATGGGACCCCAGCTTATATTAAGGTTGTGTGTGCATATGTTTGCAGGAGATATTTGAATGTGAAAGGTGATATGTAAAAAAAAGGGTTCAGTGACAGAGACACTAGGGCTGAGAAAGAAGAGAAAAGGGGAGAAAGGAATAAAAGAGAAAGAAGAAAAAGGGGAAGTTATTAGGAAAATGGACAGGTAGGGATAGACATACAGAGAAGTCTCAGGGAAACAGAAACCAAGGAAAGTAAGTTTTTCTTCTACCTGTGTCCCAAGGCTCTCTGCTACTGGGTTTCCCAAACTTTCTGAACTGTGATTAACTATTAGGAATATGTTTTCCATTGCTACCCATTACTTATACAGATATACAACTGCAAAACACACACACACACCCCTCTTTTCTTTCTTTCTTTTTTTTTTTTTTCGAGATAAGGTCTTGCTCTGTCACCCAGGCTGGAATGCAGTGGCACGATCATAGCTCACTGAGGTCTTGAATTCAAACTCCTGGGCTGAAGCAATTCTCCTGCCTCAGCCTCCCAAGTATCTGAGATTACAGCCACCAGCCACTGTACCTGGCCCTTTAAAAGAAAATATGCTTACCCTTGTGGCCAGCAATGAGCCCCATCTCCCAGTATTTGTGCTATTTTGTGGTCCCCTCTCACATTGAATCTGGACTGCTTCAGCCAGTGAGACATTAGCAAGGGTCCAAGCCTCCAAATGAAGGCTTGGTAAGCTCTAGCCTATTGGAAAGTGTGTCCTCTTGGAAGGTTTACTCTTGTGATGCTTCCCCTGGGAACCAAGCTGTCATATGGTGGGAAGCCCAAACTAGCCATACGGAGAGGCCACTTGGAGAAGCACCAAGGTCCCAGCTGAGTTCCCAGCTGATAGCCAGCAACAACTTGCCAGCCCTGTGAATGAGGCATCTTGGAAATCAATCTTCCAGCCCCATTTAAGCCACCCCACCTGCTGCCCATGAAGCGGAGATGAACTGTCCCCACTGAGCCCTGCCAAACTGCAGAATCATGAACAAATGAATGTTGTTTTAAGCCCGCTAAGTTTTGGATTGTTTTGTTTTATGGCAGTAGACAATCAAACATCTTTATTATAAGCGACACACCATGATGTTATCTATTATGTTGCATTCTATTCTATTTTTCAAAGTGCTTAGTTGATTTCATGACCCACTAATAAGCCGTGATCCGCACTTTGAAAAGTACTACTCTAATTGATGCAGACGTGATTGAGATCATCTGTCTTCCAACCTCTCCCTCTATCCTGATGCTCTTAGAATCACGACATATAAGAAATGAAAGTGTCAACGAAAAGAATCAAACTCTGTAAAATATTTGAAGAGATTTATTCTGAGCCAAATATGAGTGACCATGGCCCGTGACACAGCCCTTAGGAGACCCTGAGAACATGTGCCCAAGGTGGTTGAGGTGCAGCTTGGTTTTATACATTTGAGGGAGGCATGAGACATCAATCAAATACATTTGAGAAATACATTGGTTTGGTCCAGAAAGGCAGGACAATTCGAAGGATGGGGGGAGGTTCCAGGCTATAAGTAAATTTAAACATTTTCTGGTTTACAATTGGTTGAGTTTGTCTAAAGACCTAGGATTAATAGAATGGAAATGTTCAGGTTAAGATAAAGGACTGTGGAGACCAAGGTTCTTTTGAAGTCTTATAGTGGCCGCCCTTAGAGACATAGATGACAAATGTTTCCTATTCAGACTGTTAAAAGATGCTAGACTCTTAGTTAATCTCTTAGGAGGATTGTGAATGGCTAGAAGAAAAAGATCTAACTGTGTTAATACAGATTCTTTACAGATGCAGATTTTCCCCCACCAAGGACGGCTTTGCAGGGCCATTTCAAAATACGGTGAAGAAACATGTTTTGGGGTAAAATATTTTGATTTTCTTCTTTGTCACATAATGTTATGCCAGAGTCAGACTGGAAAGTAAGTCACAATACATAGGGTTAAGTAAAACCCATCTGATGGGAAGGTATTTATCCCTTCCCTGTGCTTGGCTATGAATCCTATAAGCACAATTTACAACAAGCATGGTCTATAGGTGACGAATCCTTCCAGATACTGATGTCACCCCGACTCCCTGCCCAGATACCTGCTCCTCTGCCTATTTCTCCAGTCTCTGGGTTAAGATGGAACAAGCATCTTTCTGAGTCACTCAGGCTTTCTACATTACAGTCCTACCAAATACATGGCTTCTTCCTCTCATACTGTGATTCCTGAATTGTGTTCCACAGGCCAGATGTATTGCATGCGCCTGGGGAGCTTGTTAAACATTGAGTCCCAGGCCCCACTGTAAGATACAGCCTCAACACTCTCTGGAGAGTGGGGCCTGGGAATCTGCATTTTAACAAACTCCCCAGCTAGTTCTGCTGCACATTGGCATTCAGGTTCAACTATTCTAGGGGCTTATACTCTAGATCAGTGCATTTCAACCTTTTTTTCTTTTTTTAACCTCAAGTCACAGTATGAAAAACATTTACATTTTGTCTCCGTGCATATGCACATATATGTAAAAGAAACACAAGTTTCATCAAGCTCTATCTGTGTGCTGCATTCTGATTTTTAGTCTGTTTTATTTTTTTCAAATGCTGGTTGTGACTCATTAAACTGATTTTATGACTCAGCAATGGGTCTCACTACACAGTTAAAAACAAAACTGACCTAAGAAAACACAGCCTAGATACTTGTATGGTAGATAGGGTGGATTCTGAGTGCTTTGCTGTAATGATGATTGTTTGGAGTTGCAAGCTCAGTTTGTCTTTTTTCAGGTGCCCTTTGATTCTAATGCTAATGGGGCTTTCATTCCTGCCACACTGATAACTTTCTCAGTGCAGTGATCCTCAAGAGAACCCTGGGAAGTAAGCATGGTTTTTCCTGTGGCTGGGTCTCCACAAGAGCCCAGTCTAGTCTCAGAGTGCAGCTGGTTGCAGATTTTGAGGCCTGGGGCTTCCTCCAGGGCTCAGTTTGCAGGAACCAGTAGGCCTAGGAGCTTCTGGCTACAGGAGGAAGGAACTAAAATGGGGCAGGACAGTGCAGGGCTATGATGGCTAATCTCCGCTTTCTCCCCACGGAGTTTGTTCCTGAGTCCTGAGGGAGCGGGAGCTGGACTTCAACATCTAGAGTAGGGTCCACGAAGGACCCTGTGAACCTCCCTCCAAGGGCCAGGCTGCTTCAGGATCTACCTGCTCCTGAGCACCTGCAAGTTACCTCTGGGGACTTCCAGAAACAAATTAGAGGAGACCACTCAGGCAGAATATGGAGTGCCTGCATCTTTATTATCCAATAATGTATGGAACCTCCTCTTGAATTGATATTTTTCCCTTATGTAACTCCTTTTTTTTTTTTTTTTAAGAGACGGAGTCTTGCTCTGTCACCCAGGCTGGAGTGCAGTGGTGCGATCTTGGCTCACAGTAACCTCTGCCTCCTGGGTTCAAGCAATTCTCCTGCCTCAGCTTCCTGAGTAGCTGGGACTACAAGCACACACCACCACGCCCAGCTAATTTCTTTTGTATTTTAGTAGAGACGGGATTTCACTGTGTTGCCCAGGCTGGTCTTGAACTCCTGAGCTCAGGCAATCCGTCCGCCTTGGCCTCCCAAAGTACTAGGATTACAGGTGTAAGCCACCGCGCCCAGCCCTTATGTCACTTCTTGGGAGTTCCCTAGATTCACTGCCTCCTGGGTAAATAGTACTTACTTGTCCCTAACCTGCCTCTCTCAGAGGCAAAGTGGACAACCTTCATGGGCTGATCCAGGGTTAGGGCCCGGTCCTTGTTTTCTGTTTCATCCTCTCTGGGCCTTCACATACTCTGCAGTCTTGATTCTTCCAGCCTGAAGAAGTCTCCTCTTCTCTATCTGTCCTCAGATTTCAGTCTCTCTGTCCTCTCCATCATTTTGACATTTGAGACAGCCACTGAAATCAAAACAGATTCAAAAATGTGCCATTTATGGTGTCCAAGAAAGGCAACCTGATCCCCAAATGATTGATTTAGTGTTTGCAGCTGGGCATGGATGCAGACAGACAGCTAATGAGGTAATTTTTCTAAATGCAAAATGTAAACAAGGTAACAGCTCTCTCCCTCCCTGTGAGTCTCTCTGGGTTTCTCTCCATCTCCCTCAGTTTTCTGCAGAGAGTCACATACCAGTTTGCATTTCTTCACTGTTATGTGTAGACTCATGTCCTCCTCCTACCATATGACACATTAGAGTCCTAACCCCCATTACCTCAGAATGTAACATTATTTGGAGATAGGATCCTTACAGAGGTAACAAGTTAAAATGAAGTCATTAGAATAGGCCCTAATCCAGTATGACTGGTGTCCTTTTGAAAAGGGGACGTTTTGGACACAAACACCCATAGAAGGAAGACGATGTGAAGAGACACAGGGAAAAGATGGTTATGTATAAGGCTGGGCGAGGCCTGGAATGGATTCTCCCTCCCAGCCCTAAGGAGGAACCAACCCTGCCCATACCTTGATCTCAGGCTTCTGGCCTCCAGGTGGTGAGACTATATACTTCCTTTGCTTAAGCCACTCAGTCTGTGGTACTTTGTTCCAGCTGCCCTGGCAACTGGATACATACACATTTAAAAATCTGTGCTGGCCGGGCACGGTGGCTCAAGCCTATAATCCCAGCACTTTGGGAGGCCGAGGTGGGTGGATCATGAGGTCAAGAGATGGAGACCATCCTGGCCAACATAGTGAAACCCCATCTCTACTAAAAATACAAAAAATTAGCCGGGTGTGGTGGCGGGCGCCTGTAGTCCCAGCTACTTGGGAGGCTGAGGCAGGAGAATCACTTGAACCTGGGAGGCGGAGGTTGCAGTGAGCCGAGATTGTGCCACTGCACTCCAGCCTGGCGACAGAGCAAGACTCCGTCTAAAAAAAAAAAATCTGTGCTTCTGTGTCCTCTCTGTGGGAAATTCTCCTTCCTGAGGGGGAGGAGGGCAAATTGGGTAAAGGCTGAGGCAGATTTACCTTGAAGCGGGTGAGATTTAGGCTTTGGGGCCCTCAGCTGCACTGGCCCTTCCAAAGCCCTGGGGACGTTTACGCGGGGGCCTATGTTTCTGTAAAATGTGCAAATGGTGGTAAAACCACAGTCAGTTATGACTGTTGATTCTCTTCATGGCAGTTTTCCCTCCAGCCTTTTCTATTGCGTGGTGGCCTTCAAGTTGCCATGCAGTGTTGAGTTGGAAATGCATGTAATTGGGGTTCAGGGGGTTATAGGTATGGCTCACAGTCATTTCCACACATCTTGCTACCCATCTGGTTTGGCTCAGTGTCCCCACCCAAATCTCATCAAGAATTATAATCCCTACGTGTTGAGGGAGGGAAGTGATTGGATTATGGGGGGCATTTTCCCCCATGCTGCTATTGTGATGGTGAGTGAATTCTCACCAGATCTGATGGTTTTATAAATGGTAGCTTTTTCTGTGCCTTTACCCTCTCTTTCCTGCTCCCTTTTGAAGAAGGTGCTTGCTTCCCCTTTGCCTTCCATAATGATTGTAAGTTTCCTGAGGCCTCCGCAGCCATACGGAACTGTGAGTCAATTAAACAGCTTTCCTTTATAAATTACCCAGTCTCAGGGAAGTTCTTTATAGCAGTGTGAAAACGGACTAATACACCATCCCCACGTAGGAATGGCTTCCAGGGGCGCTCCTACACCCTATGTAGTGATGTAGGCCAAGTTGCCTCACCATGCAAATGGAACCCATGGCACCCAGCACCAGAAGAATGTGGGTAGTGGAGGAATAGCAAGGTTTGAGTATAGAGCCAGAAGCTAGCTGGTGATGGAAATTCTCCCAGTCATCAAATGTATAAAATTATAAGTTTAGTATTAGAGGGCTGTGACAAGCAGTTAATGATAGGATATTACTTTTCTGCATTGTAGATACATTTGTGGTATTTGTCAGCTTTTGGAGTTTCTAATTTTTAATGTGTTTCTTAAGATATTTACTTTTGTACCCTATTTCGTGTTCATAATATTGTACTGTTTTCCTTACAAGGGATCCTAAAATTGTACAAGCTTCAGGCTCCATTCGATTTTCTTTTTCTTTTTTTTTTGAGACAGAGTCTTGCTATGTCACCCAGGCTGGAGTGCAGTGGCATGATCTTGGCTCACTGCAACCTCCACCTCAGGTTCAAGCGATTCTCCTGCCTCACCCTCCCTAGTAGCTGGGATTACAGGCACATGCCACCATGCCCAGCTAATTTTTGTACTTTTAGTAGACACAGGGTTTCACCATATTGACCAGGCTGGTCTCGAACTCCTGATCTCAGGTGATCTGTCCGCCTCGGCCTCACAAAGTGCTGGGATTACAGGTGTGAGCCACTGCTCCTGGCCAATCTAGATCTGGCTCTGGTGTGAGAAATAAGGGAGGAAGAGAGACTGGAGCCAGCAGGCAGGGAATTAAGAAGAAGTGAAGAGGGGACATGGAAGAGGGATGCAAAGGCCAAGAAGCAAGTGGGGGGCAGTGGGCAGGGCTTTGGACTGGGAGCTGGAGGATGGCAATCAAGGCCCAGCCCTGCTGCTCATTTTGCTCTATGCCTCTGTGCAAGTCAGTTTCCCTTTCTGGAATCTCTTCTTCTGTAATCTCTTCTTCTGTGTGAGAGGTGTGTGTGTATGTCGGGGGGTGGGGGCAGGGACGACCTCTAAAGGTACCTTAGACTCCAGTGGTCTAAGGTTCCATTTACCTGAATCACCAAGGGGAGAAGATGGAGTCAGAATTGTTAGTGGTTGAGGGAGCCATTGTCTGAAGGAGGAGGAGAGGTACCATGAGAAGCATCCCTCCCAGATGGGGCTGGAGTCACCAAAGCTCCCAGCTGGGAATCCTATGTGACAGGTAAGGTTGGGTGTGGCAGGCAAGTTCTCTCTGGTCATTCAAATGTTCATCTATTTCTTAAACAGCTATGCACGGGGCAGATCCTACAGGCTAGGCACTGGGGACACAGCAGTGAAGGCTGCACAACCCTATCTTTGAGGACCTGACAGTCAGCAGGGGGGACAGAGAATGCAGCAAGCAGCTCCAGTGCAGAGGCATCCACGCCCTTGCAGAGGCTCATCCGTTTCACCGAGTTTGCTTAGTGAGGCTGAAAGGTGTGGACATGTGTGATCCAGTGGTCTGATCGTGGCTGCACGTTTTGAATTACCTGGGAAGATTTTATAATAAATATATTTACTTAGACCTACCACCAGGAAATCTTAATTGGTCTGGGATGGGACCTGGGTATCAGCATTATTTATTCATTTAATTTCAATAGTTTTTGGAGAACAAGTGGTGTTTGGTTACATGAAAAAGTTCTTTGGTGGTGATTTCTGAGATTTTGGTGCACCCATCAACTGAGCAGTGTACACTGTACCCAGTGTGTGGTCTTTTATCCCCCACCCACCTTCCACACTTCCCCCTGAGTCCCCAAAGTCCATTGGATCATATTCTTATGCCTTTGCATCCTCATAGTTTAGCTCCCACTTATATAAGTGAGAACATACAATGTTACTTCACTTCATTCCTGAGTTACTTCACTTCAAGTAATGGTCTCCAACTCCATCTGGTTTGCTGCAAATGCCATTATTTCATTCCTTTTTATGTCTGAGTAGTGTTCCATGGTGTGTATATGTGTGTGTGTGTGTACCAGTTTTCTTTATCCACTCGTTGATTGATGGGCATTTGGACTGGTTTCATATTTTCACAATTGTGAATTGTGCTGCTATAAACATGTATGTGCAAGTGTTTTTTTTTTAAATTATTTTATTTTATTTTATTTTTTTTGTGTAATGACTTATTTTCCTCTGCATAGATGCCCAGTAGTGGGATTGCTGAATCAAATGGTAGATCTACTTTTAGTTCTTTAAGGAATCTCCATGCTGTTTTCCATAGTGGTTGTACTAATTTACATTCCCACCAGCAGTTTAACATGTTCCCTTTTCACCACATCCACACCAACATCTATTATTTTTTTATTTTTTAATTATGGCCATTTTTGCAGGAGTAAGGTGGTATCACATTGTGGTTTTGATTTACATTTCCCTGGTAATTAGTAATGTTGACCATTTTTTCATATGTTTCTTGGCCATTTGTATATCTTCTTTTGAGAATTGTCTATTCATGTCTTTAGCCCATTTTTGATGGGATTTTTTTTTTCCTTGCTGATTTGTTTGAGTTCCTTGTAGATGCTGGATATTAGTCCTTTGTTGGGTGCATAATTTGTGAAAATTTTCTCCCATTCTGGGTTGTCTGTTTACTCTGCTGATTATTTCTTTTGGTGTGCAGAAGCTTTTTAGTTCAGTTAAGTCCTATCTATTTATCTTTGCTTTTGTTGCATTTGCTTTTGGGTTCTTGGTCATGAAGTCTTTGCTTAAGCCAATGTCTAGAAGTGTTTTTCCAATGTTATCTTCCAGAATTTTTATGGTTTCGGGTCTTAGATTTCAGTCTTTTTTTTTTTTTTGAGATGGAGTCTTGCTCTGTTGCCCAGGCTAGAGTGCAGTGGCATGATCTCAGCTCACTGTAGCCTCAGCTTCCAAGGTTCAAGCAATTCTCCTGCCTCAGCCTTCTGAGTAACTGGGATTACAGGTGCCCGTCACCATGCCCAGCTAATTTTTGTAGTTTTAGTAGAGACAGGGCTTCCCCATGTTGGCCAGACTGGTCTCGAACTCCTGACCTCAAATTATCCTCCTGCCTCGGCCTCCAAAGTGCTGGGATTACAGTTGTGAGCCACCGTGCCTGGCCAGATTTAAGTCTTGGATCCATCTTGAGTTGATTTTTGTATAAGGTGAGAGATGAGGATCCAGTTTTATTTTTTGACATGTGGCTTGCCAATTATCCCAGCACCATTTGTTGGATAGGGTGTCCTTTACTTACTTTATGCTTTTGTTTGTTTTGTTGAAGGTCAGTTGGCTGTAAGTATTTGGCTTTATTTCTGGATTCTCTATTCTGTTCCACTGGTCTATGTGACTATTTTTATACCAGTACCATGCTGTTTTGATGACTATAGCCTTGTAGTACAGTTCGCAGTTGGGTAATGTGATGCCTCCAGATTTGTTATTCTTGCTTAGTCTTGCTTTGGCTATGTGGATTCTTTTTTTGATTCCATATGAATTTTAGCATTGTTTTCTCTAGTTCTGTGAAGAATGATGATGGTACTTTGATGGGAATTGCATTGAATTTGTATGTAGATGGTTTTTGGCAGTATGGTTATTTTCACAATGTTGATTCTCCCCATCCATGAGCATGAGATGTGTTTCCATTTGTTTGTGTCGTCTATGATATCTTTCAACAGTGTTTTGTAGTTTCCTTGTAGAGGTCTTTTACCTCCTTGGTTAGGTATATTCCTAAATGTTTAATTTTTTTTGCAGCTATTGTAAAAGTGGTTGAATTCTTGATTTGATTCTCAGGTTGGTCACTGTTGGCGTATAGCAGTACTACTGATTTGTGTACACTGATTTTGTATCCTGAAAATTTACTAGATTCATTTATCAGATCTAGGAGCTTTTTGGATGAGTCTTTAGGGTTTTCTAGGTATACAACCATATCATCAGCAAACAGTGACAGTTTGACTTCCTCTCTACCAATTTGGATGCCCTTTATTTCTTTCTCTTGTCTGATTGCTCTGGCGAGGAGTTCCAGTACTATGTTGAACAGAAGTGGTAAAAGTGGGCATTCTTGTCTTGTCCCAGTTCTCGGGGGAATGCTTTCAACTTTTCCTGTTCAGTATAATGTTGGCTGTGGGTTTGTCATAGATGACTTTTATTACCTTAAGGCACATCCCTTCTATGTCAATTTTGCTAAGGGTCTTAATCATAAAGGGATGCTGGATTTTGCCAAATGCTTTTTTATGTCTATTGGGATGATAATATGATTTTTGTTTTTAATTCTGTTTATGTGATGTATCACATTTATTGACTTGCATATGTTAAACCATCCCAGCACCAGCATTTTAAAAAACTTCCCGGGTGAGCAGCCAGGGTTGAGACCCGCTGCTTACAACCACACTTCTCAACCTTAATTGAGAATCTGGGGACCTTGATCAATGTAGATACTAACTTAGTAGGTCTGGGGTGAGGCCTGAGACTCTTTCTAACCAGCTCCCAGGTTATGCCGATGCTGACTTTTAGCAGAGGTGCTCTATGATCTGACCTTCATACCGTCTTCGATCTCATCTTCTCCTTACTTTCCCCCTCATCCTCTCTGTTCCAGCCACACTGGCCCCCTTGCTGAAGCTTAAATACTCTAGGCTCACTCACTTGTTGTGGTCTTCACATGTCCTCTCCCTGGAACATTCACTCCCAGATGTCCATATGGCTTGTTCCTCACGTCTTTCAGTTCTGCTTAAAAGTCACTTGTTGGAGACGGCTTTCTCTGACCATCTGACAGAGGATAGCACCTGCATGCCCCATCTTTATCCTCCCCCACCCTGCTTGCCTTTTCCATGGCACTTCTCATGACATGATAATAGATCATGTGTCTATTGTATCTGGGGTTCTCATCTGTCTTCCTCACTAAAATATAAGCTCCATGGCAGCCAGAACTTTGTTTTGCTCCCACCGACCACTCTAGCACATAGAATAGTGCCTGGCACATGAAAGATACTTGGTAGATATTTACTACATGGAGAAAGCAAGGAAAGAGAGGTGGAACAGGGATAGTTAAAACTTAGAATCACAGACTTGTCAAAGTTGGGAAGACCTCAGAACATCATGTAATTCAATATTTCTCAGTGAGTTTGCTTCTGGCATTTTGGGTGGGATAATTTGTTTATCATAGGGTACTGTTTTATGCATTGTAAGTCATTTAGGATCCATGACCTTACCCACTAAATACCAGTAGCCCCACAAGTTGTAGTGACCTCCCCCGACCACTTAGGTGGGGATCAGCTCCCAACTGAGAACCACTCATCTTGTTAGATTTTCTCATTACATAGATGGGGGAATTAAGGTGCAGAAACGTGAAACTATTTGCCCAAGGAGACATGGCAAGTTAATGGGAGACCTGAGCCAGAGTTTAGGATTCCAAAGCTTCAGCTCATGGTGTGTTTGGGTTTGTTTTGTTTTACTATAGTTTCAACATCTTGCTCTCAAGGAAGTCCTCTTGAAGAACCCCTAGGATGAGGTTGGAGGAGAGCTATCATCCCCAGATAAGACATGTTGCCAGAGGGTCTCAATTTTTCTCCTGCTTCACCATAGGACTGATATCAGAGTGTCCAGGGTCTGTAGAATCTAGATTATGCCGAGAAAGCAGACAATCCCTGCCTCTCCTCCTCCATGCTGGCCCCTGAAGAGAAGAGTTTCTCTGGGGACCATGACAAAGCACCCTGATTGAAAGTCATCCCTCAAACCTTTTCAGTCTATTAAGCAAGGGAAATGGATTTGAAATTGAGCACACGTTAGTACAGCTTTGGAAAAGTCACTTTTATTAATCAACATGGATTTTACTTTTCAAAGTTACATAATGGTGTTATATGTTCTTCTACTAAGTAAAGGCCTTGGAATAAGTTGGTCCTCAGGCAGGAGCCCTGGGGTGATGCCATCTTTCTCCAGTGAGGCCTAGGAGATTCTCTCTAAGGGCTGTACAACTGGACTTTCCTTTAGCTGGGACCCTTCTGGTACCTGGAGTGTCTCCATCCTACATGACTGCCAGAGGAGGGCAGATGTCACTGAGCCTCTGGGCCCCATGAGGGTCTACCCAGTAGAATAGAAAAGCCAGGCCAGGAAACTCTAGCCAAACCCTTTCTACTCTTCCTTCTCTTCTTTGTGGTGGGGCACTGGAACTCCATGATAAGTTCACAGTGATTTGGTTGAGAGGATGTCTGGGGTGGGTAAATGGACATGGTAACTTGAAGACCTTATTTCTTTGTATTTCACAAGACAGAGTGATAAATCAGAGATGGTTCTTCTGTCCAAAACAGGGACGTTCAGTGAGGGACTATAAATTTCATGTAAAGGGACCCAAGCCTGTGGCTCTGTGCCTGGAACATAGAAGAAACACAATATAAATACTGTTCAACTCATGGACATAGTGAGTAGAAAGCTGGTTACCAGAGGCTGGGATGGGTAGTGGTGAGCTGTGGGGGAGGTGCGGATGGTTAATGGGTACAAAAAATGTAGTTAGAATGAACAAGACCTCCTACTTGATAGCACAACAAGGTGACTGTAGTCAACAATAACTTAATTGTACATTTTAAAATAACTTGTGTAAATGGATCGTTTGCAACTCAATGGAGAAATACTTGAGGGGATGGATAATCCATTCTCCATGATGTGCTTATTTCACATTGCATGCCTGTATGAAAACATCTCATGTATACCATAAATATATATACCTATTATATACCACAAAAATTAAAAATGAAAAACAATAACAAATGCTGTTCGAGTTAAAACCATTGAATCATGGAGCCCTGGTGCCTGTCTGTGGGTCTGTAGGCAATTCAGGATATGGGAAGAGGGGTGAGTGATTGCGTGTAGGTTGCAGATAAGGTCCCCCTTAGCATTCACCTCCAGCTCATCAGTCCAACCAGAACTCCCAGAAGCCTCAGGGAAGCTTAGGGCTGCAGGTGAGAGGCAGAGTGGTTTCTCATCTCAAAAATACCAGGATATGATACTCTAATTGTAGAGGTCATTCATTTATTCCACAGCTATATTCACTAACTATTTCCTGTGTGCAAGGTTAATGTGAACCTGGGCCCTCCTGGACAATGGGGGCCTCAGCAGTCTTAGAGGGGCAAGGAGGCTTGAGAAGGCCAACAGGAAGGAGCATCCTGTGTGGGAAGGATAAGCGGGCACTGGGCATTGAGAGCTTGAGACAGAATTAGCTCCTTTCCCTGGATTCAGAGTTCCCTCGCTTGAAAAACAAGGAGGTTGAATGAGGTGGCCTGTAAGCTCTGACATTTTTAACAGTCTGTGATTCTTGTACTGCTGAAGGTAGTCTTGGCCTTAGAGCTGCCCTGATGTGGCTACTCCAGGAGGGGAGGGGTAGGCACCTGCTCCCTGAGAAAGGGGCACCACATGGGTGGCTCTAGGGCCCATGGGCAGAGTTGCAAATCCATCCTTTCCCAAGGGAACCTTCCCATTGGTTAGTCAGCAAACATTTACTCTCCACCTTCTGTGATCTTGCCAGCACTGTTCAAGCTCTGTGAGGGACATGAAGACACGACACCAAGTGCCTGCCCTCAAGAATCTGTTTAAGTTGAGGACACAACCACGTGCACCTGAAAGAACAGCAGGAAATTCCAATGGGGCAGATGGCCATGTGCAGGAGAAGCTGTGGGCTTGCATGAGTGATTTATCTGGGAAACATTGTAAATCCTCATGTTTTTGAATGCTAAAATGTTTGTGCAGCTTCCTGGCTTTTCCCTGAAATGCATTCCTGTCTAGAACTACATTTCTGAAGCACAGTTGCACAGTACAGTCCCCACTCATGTATTTACACATAGAGTAAATGAACATTGAACACTTTCCATGTGCCAGGCACTGAGGAGCCAATATGAACCAAACAGAGGGGGAGCCTACAGTCAAATCAAAAAGGAGGCCAGCATTGCCAGTACCACAAGGGGACTGCCTTTACACCATTACCAAAGTCTTCTATTTCCCTTGGGAAAAAAATTGGTCATTTTCAGGAGGAAAAACATTTTCTGAAATTACTTCCTGACAACCACTGCATATGTGACAGATGAGCAGAGTAAAACAGAACCGAGTTTAAATTTGGAGGCTGAATGCTCTGTAGGGTTCTCTCTCTAGCTAAGTCACTTTAAGCATCAGCCTCACAGCAAGACACTAAAATCTGCCTCAGCAAAATTGCAAATTGCTACATATAGGGGGCTGTGGGGTAAGGGGAAACGACTCAAGCTGTAACTATTCTACCCACTCATGCTGAGACTCGCCGTATCAAGGGGGATTATCTGAACAGGGAGGCCTAGCCAGGAAGGCTTCTTTATTTGTTCATTCAATCATCAAGTATGTGGGTCCTGACTTGAAGGGCACACTGATTAGTCATGGTGATCAGTGTGCAGTGAGTGTTTAGTCTTTGGGAAAGTTCACTGTTGTCACCTCTTCTGGCTTCAAGCAATGGAAATGGATTTGCTAAGGGGAGGGACCTCTTGAAGGCAGGGAGAATGTGAAAGTAGAAATCTGGGAAGTCAGAACTAGCAAGTCTTGCAGGGAGAGCAAGTTGAGGGACTTGGCTAATGCAGATAGGCTGTCTTGGGATGTAAGGAGCTAAGACGGTGGGAAGCAGGGAGCAGAAGTTGGTTGGTGGAGGGCCTTCTGTTTGAATGTGGATTTTATTCTGTGGGTCGTAGGGAGCCATTGAATGTTCCTGAACCATATGGGGCAAAAAGAACAAAGAGGTGTTTGAGAACAATTTATTCCCCAAACACAGGGTGGGAAGAAGTGTGTGGAAGCAGATGAGTAGATTTTTGGCTTTTGTGGTAATTCTGGGGAGAGCTATTGCAGTTTGGGAACAGGACTGAAAGGTGGAACCTGGGAGAGTCTGCATCTCGGTAAAGGGACAGGAGGAGGTGGCTGGAGAAAGGAGAGGGTTCACCTCAGGAGCACAGCAGACACTGGTCTCCAGGCCTAGAATGGAAGGCAATTAGGCTAGGGCCACCCTGTCCTGACTCAGCATCATGCAATCACCTCCCTCATTAGAACACCCAACCCAAGTGGTAGGTCTGTGATTGTGTGTTTGTGCACGAATTAATTCATCCTCATCAAAATACGGAATCCAAGTGCTCAGCTACCCCCACGCTTCAGAGTTTGGAGAACAGGAGTGAACCACAGGCCAAATTTCCGAAACTTCTACAGTGTTGCAGGAAGAAAGATGCTGAGATCATTTGTTGGAGTGAATCATGGCTGTGTCTTCAGCAGCTGCCCTGTGCAGGAAGGCTGGAAATCAGAGGTATATTTTTGAGACTGCTTTATAACAACCTGCGAGAAGCTCCTTCTTTGTTTTATGCTTCCCTGAAGAAAAGCCTCTGAACCATGACAGCTTCCCAAACAGCAGCCTCAGCTGCAAATCAAGACTGCCTTGCACCTGCAGGGCGCAGGTGGCCAGAGGCATCTCTGGATGAGCATCAGTCTTTCTCTACCACACCTTGGGGTCTCCAAGTTAGCAGCAGCCACCTGTCATTGTGTCAGCTTTGGATACAAAGGCAAAACACAGCCATCTCGGTGAAGCAGGTCCCTGCTCATGCCCTCTGCTACTTGCCTGCTCACCCAGTTCCACCCAGTTCAGGCACCTTCTCCTCCATCCCAGGTCCCAGAAGTCACCTCCTCCCCTAACTCCTTGATGACTAGACTCACTTGGCATTTAGCCTATGCCATCCTGTTTCTTCTCTTATGGTTTCTTTTTACTTTTTTTTATGTTTAAGACTTTTCTTAGCCTCCCTTCTAAATTCATCCTTTGAAGGGAAGGACTGTGTCTTATACTTAGGATGACATATAACCTTTTATCTAAGCCAAGACACTTCCAAGCGTGGTACTGAGGCTGCTGATGCCTGCTCATATTTTCTTACCCTCACTGCTCTTATACCCTCTGAGGTGCTCACTGCCAGCCTGGGGGCTTTCTTTGTTCACTGGAGCAGGCTAGAAAAGCCAGAGTTAACACCGTGGGGAGCAGCGCATAGCCAGTGAGGGACAGGAGTTGGTGGACGCACACTCTCCTCCTCCATGGGGATGGTGATGCAGTGCTCTACAGTCTCCTGGAGGCCCCCATAGGGCTGAGCCCCAGCTGCCCACGGTGGCCACTGGGATTTGCTCCTCCTTTCCTTAACCGCCAACCTTTACTTCCCCAATAAATAACTTACATTCAAATCTTTGTCTCAGGGAAAGTCCTGGGCTAATAGGGAGGTCTGGTGACCCTATATAAAGGTCTCTTGGTCTGACATTGCCTCAGAGGGTGCCAGCCAATGGCACTCACCCACATTTAGCCAAATGAATGTGTGAATGGATAAAAATGCTCTATTGTGCCCCAGCTAGGTCATGAGAACCAGTTTCTTAAGGCACAGAAAGGAATTAAGCATTTCCCTTGTCCTTCTTGCTCCCACTCTCCCAGGTAGCCATTTCATGGCTTCTCTCCTCTCCTCCAACCTCTGACACCTCCATCCCTGTCCTTTCAGTTCATGACCTCACCTCCTATTTCACCGTGACAGACACCATTGAGGGGAGAGAGCTTCCACATGCTCCCAGCTCACGCACCCGCCCACCTGTGTCTGTGCTGCAGCACTGTCTGCAAGGCCCCCTGCACACACCGTGAAGGCCACTCACCATCCTTGGGATCCCTGGCCCTGCTGTTCCCCATTCCCTCTCCTCCTCCAGGGGTTTGCTTATTTGTTACTTGCTAGGGAGGCCTTCCTCAGTTAAGTTGCACACCCTCCTCCTGATCATCCCCTATCCCCTGCCTAATTTTTCTCCGTAGCACTCCTAACCACCTGACATCTTATACATTGGGCTTATTATCTTTATTATCTGTCTCCCCTAAAATGTAAACTCCATGTGGGCAAAAGTCTTTGTTTTATTTATCGCATTAAAAACAAAGCTCATGAGAAGAAGAAAGGCAGGCAGGCTGGCAGCTGTTTAAAGTGAGAGAATTAAAAAAAATTTAGAATGTACGATCAGAAATGGACCATAGAGATTAACCAAATCCAACTCTCTCATTTATACATGAGAAAATGGAGAAGCAGAGGCTCTCTGGCAGCTGGGTGAAGCGCTGGGACTGGAACCCCTCAGTCTCAGATGCCCAGTGTGGGGTTAATTCCACGGCTCATCATTACAGGCCTGGAGTCCTAAATCTCTAGTTCTGCCATGCTTGGGGGGTTTGCTACTCTCTGTGCGGCTATGTGTTAGTCACTGTTTATTTTCTGTAATGTGGCATTAGCTCTCTCGTTAGAACTGAAGTCCTCAACATCATGAACTCGAGCTTCTTCCTCTGAAATGCCTAGTGCATAACACAGTGCTTAACATCATGTGAGCTGGAAACCCTGGAAGGAACCCCTGCCCTCCTCTAAACCCATGACAGTTATAATAGCTGTTGTTTACTGAGCATCTTCTAAGGGCCAGGGGCTTAATGTACCTTAATGCATCACTCCTGAAAAGTAGGCACCTGGAAAGTGCCCTGGAAAGTAGCACCTGAAAGGTGCCCTGGAAAGTAGGCACCGTGTTCCCTATTTTATGGATGAGAAATTGAGGCTTGGAGAGTTGAGCAACCTGCTTTAAGGTTGACCACAGGACAGTAAGGGCCAAGGCAGGGATTTATTCCCACCACATTGTGGAGAGGGAATCATGGGTGGGGAGTGGAGGAAGGATGTCAGATCAAAGAGCATACGTTTGCCACCTGCTTATTCCCTGTTGCCTGGAAGTCCTTATAAAGGAACAAGGATGTTCTTTGAACAAAGCAAGCTCAAGAGATCAAGAAGTGGGATACATTCTTCCCTGAGAGAGAGGTGTGATTGGAGTAGAGGAGGGAGAAGAGAGTACTAGGTACTCAAACAAGGCAGGGGCCCGGAGGTGCAAAGGCTTTGGGGATGGGTGAGCAGAAGCACTAAAGACAAATTCTGCCCAAGTCACAATGGGGCCAACAGGTACAGGCCAAGGAGCCAACAAATATTGAAGGATCAGTTGGTTGATTACCCCCGGCATATCCCAGTTCAGCCTCAGAAACAAGTCCCAAGGCGCCGACTGTCTGCCTGGTTTTGAATTTTAGCGATTACAATGTTCATGCTGGAACCAAATATAGATCCACAATGAGTTGGAGCATTTTGTTTGCAAGCAACTAGCACAGCCCTTAGGATAGCCATAAACAAGCTTAGATATGCTTTGCGGGCTCTGAATCTCTCAATGCCTCTGCTGGATGTGTTGATTGATATGCCAAGATTCACAAGTGAGCTGCCTCTTCCGGACAAGATAAATGAACAACTTTGCAGGCAGCTCAGCAGGGGGAGGCCTGACTTGGTGGCTGCCAAGCCTGAATGGGTCCTGTCCTGTAAGAGCCATGCTTCCGCCACACAAACAGGGTGAGATGCATAGGGGATGGGTGAAATCTAGTCCAAACCCCTGGTATCACGGAAGGGAAACCGAGCCTCAGGGGTGAGAGACTTGCCCAGGGAAATGGGTCTGATTAGAGGCAGGGGTGGAACCAGAAACCCATCTGTGCCCTTTTCAGGAACATTGCTGGGCCTGGCGTCACTGCCTTTTGTGGGCAAAATGAACATGTGTGTGACTTGAGTCCTGAAAGCTCAACACCAAGGGCATGGTCTGGACATGCTGTGTCATTATGAAAGGTGGGACCCTTGGGCAAAGGCTTTAGCGAGAACACCTAAAAGAGGTTTCCATTTTTCTGAGCTGGAAGAACTTAAAAGGAAAACATGAGTCAAGTCTCATGACTTCCAGTCCTGCAGCTTCCAGGACTCATCCAGGGAAGAAAGCAGCTAGTATCTTCATTCTGGAACAGAGCACTACACTATCTCCTGGAAGAAAAGGAATAGATAACACGTGAAGAGAAAAGATAGTTTCTGAAAATGAGATGCTGGTGAGTTCCTCCCTCTGAGCTGCTGCCTTGGTTCAGGTCCTCAGCACTCCTTTCCCAATCTCCTCTTAAAACAATTTAAAAACATATATAAAAATAAAATACAATAAAATACAGAGAAAAACATAACATGTGCCTACCACCACAATTAGCAAATATTTACTTTCTGTCATTTATACCTCTATATCTATTTATGTATATGAAGCCTTATAGATACAGTTGAAGCCTCTTTCCACCTCCCTGCCACCCCATTCCTGTCCCTCCCCACCATGACTAATATCCTGAAATTAGTTTGTATAATTCCCAGCCACGTTACAGAATTCCCATCATACTGACTGTACTTTCTGCAACTTGATTTTTCATGTGACATTATGTTGTCAAGCTGCAGCCATGTTGATACACATAGATCTGGTTTATTCTTTTAATTTAATTATTTTTAACTTTATGCCCCCATTGAAGGCCATTGTATTAGTTTGCTAGGGCTTCTATAACAAAGTGCCACAGACTGGGTGGCTTAAACAACAGAAATTTATTTCCTCTTGATGCCAGAGTCTAGAAGTCCAAGATCAAGGTGTTGCCAGGGTTGGTTTCTTCTGAGGCCTTTCTCTGTGGCTCATGGATGGCTATCTTCTCCCTGTGCCTACCTGTGTCCTAATCTTTTCTTCTTATAGGGGCACCAGGCATATTGGATTAGGGCTCATCCCAATGAATTCATGTCAACTTAACCACCTCTTTAAAGACTCTATCTCCAAATATAGTCACACTCTGAGGTTCTAGGGGTTAGGATTTTAACATATGAATTTTGGGGGGACACCATTCAGCCCATAACAGCCAGTTAGGTGTGCTCTGTCTCTTTCTCATTCTCTTTTGCTGTAACAGGCAAGGCTGTAATGAACATCCTCGTATATACTCCTGTGAGCACATGGGACTGATATGGTGACTTGGAATCCTGGATGCAATGATGTGCACACTGCGACTTCATTAGATGTTGACAAGTTGCTTTCCAAAAGAAGCCTATAATTTGTACTCTTATTATCAGTGTGTGAGTAGTTCAGGAATGCTCAGTATTATTATACTTTAAATTTTGCCCATCAGATGGCTGTGAAATGACAATATGTTGTAGTGTTCATTTTAATTTCCCTGATTGCCAACAAGGTCTTCACCTTTATATATATTTAGTGGCTATTTGTGTTTTCCATTCTACCAATTGTCTGTTCATATCTTTAGTCTGCTTTTCTATTCTGCTTTCTTTCTTTCTCTTTTTTTTAAATTGATCTGCATGAAACACTTGTATGTTCTAGATATCACTCCTCAGTTGAGTGTAGCAACCTCTTCTCTGGTCTCCTTGCTTTCCAGTGTCGATTCCACTTGCCGGTTTTCCTCCTTTAAGGATCTTCATTCTCTTCTCAGAGACCACATTATAAAATTCAGACTCAATATGGTCTTCCAGGCCCTGACAGTCTGGCTAGAACCTCACTTTTCCCTCACCACTCTCCCCACAGGGGACCCCACAGGTCCCAACCAGCTGGGACCAGCCCCATTTCCCAGAATGTACATGGTGCTTATGCTTCTGGGTCTTGGCATGCGGCTCCTGCTTCCTGGAAGGCCTGGCTCCTCCCTTGTTGACTGCAGAAATAAGACACGCCCTTCCAACTGCAGTTACTTTGTCAGCTCTTGAGTAAGGCCCCTCAGTCCTGGGGCAGACATGAGAGTTACCATTACACCATAACCATGGCGACTGCCACCCACTCCTGGGGTTGGTTGTTTCACTCTATTTCCTTGGCCAAAACATGAGTCCCACCAAAAGCAAGCCCTTCCCCTCCTCACTTATTCATCTCATGTTTTCACTATTTGTACATGGTAAGTCTTCCATGTTTGCGAAATTTTATTTTTTAAATCCTGGCATGTTATTTAAAAGATTACAATAGTTAATGAGTAAGCAGTGGTAATAGAATTGTGTAGCTTATTCTTCTTGTCTGAAATTCACTTATTATTTCTAAGGTCATAAACCTGGGCTCACAAACAAACTTCGCAGGGTCTATAATGAGAGAGATGTAAACTAGCAGCTGCACAAGGGCAAAGAGGGAGGAGATTAGGAGAAAGCCATGATAAGTAAGCACTGAGAAGTGGTTGCTATAAATGCTAACATATGCTGGGATGTAATAATAGAAAAGTAGTGTCTAGAATGAGACAATGGTTCTATTCTTCTCTCATTAGATCACTATTGGAGTGTTGTGTTCTGAGCATCATACTCCAAGAGGGAGGAACACAGACCAACTAGAACACCTTCAGGAGAGAGGGCAACCAGGAGAGGTAGGGGATTAGATTCCACAACACCCAAAGGATGACTGACAGACATCTCTAGGGCTGTGTATCCTGGAGGCTAGAAGAAATACAGGGGGGATAATACGGTCTTCAAATATGCAAGGGGTGTCTTTTGGAACAAGGAATAGAATTGTCTTGTATCATTCCTAGTACAATCAGGACTGATGGAAGGAATTTATAAAGAGAGAGATTTCTGCCTAACAGAGTAAGACATTTTAAACATCTAGAGCATTAGAAGATGATTCGGCTGCTTTGAGCAGTAAGGATGTCTCTATTAGGGGAAGTACTTGTGTAGTGGCTAGATGAACAGTGGGCAAGGGATGATGTCCAAGGGGTTCTGGGATCAAACGGAGATGGGCGCGGTGGCTCACGCCTGTAATCCCAGCACTTTGGGAGGCCAAGGCGGGCGGATCACGAGGTCAGGAGATCAAGACCATCCTGGCTAACATGATGAAACCCCATCTCTACTAAAAAATTGCAACAAATTAGCTGGCGTGGTGGCACGTGCTGGAGGCTGAGGTAGGAGAATCGCTTGATCCTGGGAAGCAGAGGTTGCAGTGAGCTGAGATAGCACCACTGCACTCCAGCCTGGGTGACAGAACGAGACTCTGTCTCAAAAAAAAAAAAAAAAAAAAGAGATGGAGTTTGGAATAGATGACCTTTAAGGTCTTTTCCAAAGTTGAGATTTCACAAGTTTATGACTTCGAGTCAGATGGATCTAACTGGGGACCAAAGTCTAAATGTATCTTTGAGTCTTATAAGTGAAATTTACTCTTTGATGGGTGGTACCCCTAGCTGATGGTCTTTCACTGCTTTCCCCAGGCCCTGATGCCATTTTAAGCAATTCCATATTTATATAGATGTTCCAGCAAATATGCTGTGCTTCCTGCCTCCAGTGATCTCATCCCCCATTCTCTTGGTTCTTTTCTCGCCTACTCATGTGGCCAGACGCGTGATCAATGGTCCTCAAACTTTAATGTGCACTAGAAAAATCTGGTGGGCTTGTTAAAAACAGATTCCTGGGCTCTAGGGGTGGAACATATCCTCTAGGTTTATGTCATGCAGCAGCATACTGCCTCACTGGGGCCCAAGTAACTAGTCCAGGGATTGGCATGTGAGTAAATCAGAGCTGATGAGATGTCATGAGACACTTTAGGGCAAATAGCAGTGTTCTTTTCTATTGATCAAGATACCGTAAGGGCTGAAGCTGTTGTCAGAAGGAGACTAGAAGCAAAGTGAGGAAGATCAACATGTAGGAAGAAGGAGCTGAGAGGTTAGGAAAACCTCATTCTAATAATATAACTTGAGCTCTGAATCCAAAAATACCTGAAGCCAGACTATTCCTGGGATTTGTGGTTATCTGAACTAATTAATTTGGTCTTTTGCTTAAGCCAATTTGAATTGGGTTTTCTGTCACCTGAAAGCTCCTAACTGATACAGAACTAAACATCATTCTTTGTCTATAGATTTGGTTGGGTTGGGCTGGTAGAAGAATTGTGCATAACTTGTAAAACATGTGCCTCTGCAAAGGAGCATGGCTTCTATCCCAGCCCTAGTGAATCAGCATCTATTTGTCATGGGTTGAGGATCCAGCAGGTGCCAAAGCATTTGGGCAGATGCTACAAGTGATCAACAGAAATAGGAGATCTTGGTCCTTCCCTTTGAGGAGTTCATACTCTACCAGATGCAAGACCAAATTAGGAAGACAAGATAATATGGGGCAAGTGTCAAGTGAGTGATGAGGGTTGTAGAAACTTGGAACGGTCATTGTGGCCTGGGGTGGTCAAGGAAAGCTTCGTGGACAAGAGGACTTGAGCAGGGCCCTAAAGAGGTGACTAAAAGACAGGAAAGCAGCTTTATCAAAAGCTGGAACCCCATCTCCAAGCACCTTATATAAACTGTGAGCAGTATGTACACCATAGAGTGAAAATGAAGAATTAAATAAAATTTCATGTAATTATACCACATATTATGCTTTAGATGATATAATTATACAGACAGATGTGTCTGGGCAGAAAGATGAAGAAAACCTAAGTGTCTAAGAAGTAAAGACCTTTGGGGTTATGAAAACACAAACCCTGTATGGTTACAGTGGCATAAAATGTTTAATTGGATAAATTACATGCTTGGAAAGTTGTCAGGTCATATGAGTTTCTGTGATTCTTCAGGTTAATTCCTCTGTTAATTCCTGAATGGGGCTTAACTCTTCCAACACTGATTGATCTTCATAGCTTTTCTCTTGCTTTCCTGGGAAAACTGGGGTAGAGTTAACCCTGAACCATGCTCTGTGCTCAATTCTGTTTTTCGAATGAGGTTTGCAAGGATCCCATCCATTAGGCCTGCTCTCCTGCCTCCATAACCTGGGAACCTCCACTTCCTAGGGCGAAGAACCCTTGGGTGGTACCTAAAACTGGTCTTTTCCAGCCCTTTGCCCAGTGACTTGCAATCTTGGTGCCAACTGGTTTGGTTCTCATTCTGAATGGAACACTTGCAGACCCTTGCTTTACTTGTTTCTGCTTTACCTAGACAATGACTTCAAAAGATCCTTGGAGAAAGGGTCATACTGCTTTTCCTATGAAACTATTGTCTGGAACCCTTTTCTAGTCACCCAGTGCTTTGTACAGAGTAGGCACTCAATACGAAGTTTGCTAAATATATGGCTATGTCAATTTAATTCTGCTATTAGAGCTTGGAAATTCATCTTATTCCTGGCTGATGAGAATTACTCTTGGAGTCTGGATCATAGTGAAACAGAGCTTTACCCTTCCCCCATGTCCCATTTTCAGCTCCAGGTGGGCACCTAGAAGCCCCCGCTCCCTTGGAATCTCCCTCTTCAGTCACTTTCCCCAGGCTCATATTTCATTCATGGCTGCTCCTTGAATGTGCACTAGCTAGTCCTTTTTCCCTGGGTCATCGTCATAGTCTTCAGAGTGGAGTTCCTGAAAGGCACTCTTGCTCATGTGCCATATGTCATTAGACTAAAAGATGCCATCCCCATCAGCTGAGGGTAGGCAGGGGCACAGAGATAATGGGTCCAGATATTCAGATCCTTGGAAAATAACTGCAAATCCATTAAAAGGGTGTTTTATGGTGACTCCCTCTGGCAAATGTCTGCCCCTGCCGCAGCCTATCTCTGATGCCCGAATTTTCTCTTTTGGGGTTAAAGCACTGTTTCATGTTAGACTGAAGACTCTTTTCACCCATCACATTAAACTATGATCACGTATGATCATCTTTATGCAAATACATTTGTATGGGCTTTCAGGTGTACAGATGATGAGAGGGAGGAGGGACGCAGAAGAAGCAGCAGTAATTGGGATACACTGATGGAGTGGAGCATTCCAAAGAGCCAGGGTCAGGCTAGAGGCAGAGGGTGCCTAGAGGTCATGGGGTAGGGGGAGGTGTGGCCAGGGAGCATGTGAAGGGGCATTCTCAGTGTCAGTCCTGCATTTGGAGTGAGGGGAGTAACTGAGCCATGGGTCCTAGGTCAACAAGCCTCACGCATGCTTTTCTTCACTAGCTCAACACAATTTACCAAGTGGGTAATATTTTGGGTGGATCATTTATTGGCTAAACTGTGGCACTTTTTAGGATGAAAGAGGGTGTTATTAATTTCTACGCTGGGACAACAGGCAAACTTGGATGTACAGTCACCTTAGTAACATCTGCAAGGCTTTGTGCAAAATCTGCTCTATGCCAGACACCTGCAAATGAGAGGCAGAACAATCAAAGCTAATACTTAGCACTTTTTAATGCACCAGGCACTGTACTAAGTGCTTTTTTGTGACTCATTTAATCCTTTCTGTAGTTACTGTTAATAAAATAACTGATAAAATTATTTATGTAACTAGTATAATATAAAAAATAATCCTATTACACAGATGCAAACACTTGTTCAGCCCCCATGGCTGGGCAGAGGTGGAGCCAGAACTCCAGAGCAGGTTGCCTGCTCCCAAGCCAGGCTCTTTGATACCAAGAGAAGAGATGCAGTGCCAAAAGTGTGCCAAAGAAGAAGGCAAACCTCCAGCTGCAGGAAACAGTGGGGTCTTCTTGGCAATGGAGGCATTTAGCTTGCTCTGTGAAGGAGATAGAAGGAGAAGAGCATTCTGGTGGGGAAAAAAAGGTGGGATCAAAGGCATAGAAGCAGGAAAAACATAGGCATGTTTGGAAATGGAAAGGATTGGGTTTTGGCCAGAGCATTTTAGAATTAATAATAGGTAACTGTTCTCAAGGGCTTACTTACTAGGGATTGTGTCTTCTGATTGCCACAGCAACCTTGTGAGGTTGCAACTATTTTGCTCCCAACTTACAGATGAGAGCCTGAAGCTTAGAGAGTTTAAATAATTGGCTGCAGGTCGATCAGCTGGGAAGAGGTGGGACTGGGAAGTTTGTCCTGGTAGAGTGACTCCAGAGGGCACACTCTTAATCTTTACATCACCACACCTGGGGTGGGTGACACAGGATACTGGAGAAAGATTCTAACTGGATTGAGAAGGGCTTAACTTATGAATACAGGGTAAGGAAGTAAGGGAGGAAAGGGTAAAGGGCCATCTGTTGACGCTCTGTGCTGTTTGAGGAGAATTGGGGAAGTTCATGTTCATGGGGCTGTGTTAGTTTCTAGTTTGTTGGAGGATGGAGTATTTATTGTTTGTGGGTGTCCTGCTTCCAAATCTAACTCAAGAGCTCTAGCAATTTTTCATAAGGCCTACTGTAGGGCTTTAATTTTCTCTTTATACAAACAAATGAGATTCTCTAAGCAAGGGACTCAAGGACATTAGAATATTAAGTAACTTAGTTGACTCCTTCAAGAGGGTCAGGAAGGGAGATGAATGTGTCTCATTACGGACTTTAAAGTGGCTAGGAATCTACTGTCACCCACTTCTATTAGAGATTCTGGTTTCCGTAAAGTCCCCTAAAGAGAAGATAGAAAAGGTAAAGGGAAAAATATCCTTGATGTCTTTTGAATCAAATGGGAAGGACTTCCCTCCTGATGCTGCAATTCTTCGACATTTCCCCAGTCAAAGAGAGGTTGTGAGTCAGTGTTCAAAAGAGTCAGCAATTAAAAGCCTCACTGTCCGCTCCCTCTGATGGATGTGAGTTCCTATTTCAGCAAACGCTGGCTCCTCCTGAGGTTGGAACTGCTACCAAAAACCAGGTTCTATCTTCTTCCCATCCCTGGGGTGCGATAGAATGCTGTTTTGACATTTGCTGTCACTTTCCTTGGGCACCATGCCTGTGAGGCCGGACGGTATTCACCTGGCCCAAATGATTAGGATTCTCAGAAGGGTTAGCAGTATCTCAGATCTAATAGCACATGATTACAAGCAATTACATCTTTTCTATAGAAATCAACACTTGAATTAAAAATACCACCTATTCACTAACATTCATGCTAGAGCTGTGAGCAAGAATTAGAGAAATACAAATTCTAAGTGCAACTGATAGCTTGGCACCATTCCAAATATGATCAATTGCTGTTCAATTTTATTCTGGTTTTCTATTCTGCTTTAAAGAGAACATAACCTCTCATTTATTTATTCCACAGATAGTTAATAAATGCCTCCTGTGTCAGGGACTAGCTTTCTGGTGGGGATTGGTGGTGAAAAGGCAGAAGCATCTCTTCCCTCATGGAGCCTGCAGTCCCTGGGAGGAAGAGGAGGCATGAAGTAGACAGCCACACAAGCAGCAATTAAAATTGCGATAAAGTCCACAAAGAGAAGCTCCATGCTGAAGGCAACCAAACCTTCCAGCTTGCAGGCATGGCCTGAGTAAACATGCCTACTACCTAAGTTTTTTTTTCTATAAAACTTCAGGTTTTATGCCATTGTATCTGAAAGGCCATTTCTTGTGCTATTATAACTCTCAGAGGTTGCAGCAAATCTTTTCACTGGGTTGACTTATTTTCCCCAAATGTATGATAAATTCCAGCCTGATTCCTGGAGCATTCAGGAGATGTTTTGCGATGAACCCAGAGAGACTGAGCTAGAGAACCCTCTTTTCCCAACCTGCTGCTTAAGCAGCTGTGAACGGCAGTGAGCCCATCAACAGCTGCTGGAACCACTTCCTCCCAGAGGTTGTAGCTGCCATGAACTCAGTTAGAAAAGGCTATTTTCCTTGCATATCTTTGCTATAAATTGAACCTAATTAGGCAAAGAGAAGGATGTTCTCCTCTCCAACATTAAAAAGATGGCACATGAGGTAATGTAGGGTGTTTCTCACCTTGCCCAGGAACTTCAGTTTCCTGAGTCCCAGGTCATGGCTGTGTTGCTACCCTCCCATCCCAGGTTCTGAGCCAGCCCAAGAGCATATCCAAGGACAGGTATTAGAATCCTGCTACTTCTAAGCTGTGTAATTTTCCACCTCTGAACCAGGGTCTGACTGAATGCTGTGGCATGCTCTCTCAATAGAGGCTCACCAAAAAATAGGGACCAAAATGCTTCTAGGGCTTGTGTGGCCAGGACCCCAACAAGTGTGGAGACAAAGCAAGGAGGCCCTGCCTCTAGGGGAGGGTGGCAGGGACTCAGCTCAGCAGCTGTGGTTCCCAGGGAGACCTGGCCTACAGGAGGCGGGGCGGATGCTGGAAGGAGCCCTCAGCTGGAAGCTTGGTGTCTGGTGATACTGGGGAATGCAGTTGCCGCAGTGTGACACAGTGACATGGTAGTCTCAGGCTCCCCAGCCTTCCCCACCTCACAGATTCTGAGGGTGGTTGGCAGTGTCGGCTGAGGCTGCTGCTGACATTTCAGCCTGGCCAGGTTGATCTGGGAAATAGGGTGGACCCAGATCTGGCATGTATGTTTTGAGGGGCACCTGTGAATCCAGTTTTGGGGCTTTGTGGGAGACACTGGCAGAGGAAAAAAGGCCTTGCCACAGGTTCTCTAGGTCTGTGGATTCTTCCTCAGAAAGCACGAATGCTCAATGGTTCCTATGTCTCCACATCTGAGCACCAGCCCCAATGTCATTCTGTCTCTCTCCTTCCCCGGTACCTCTGCCTGCACACCACTCTCCATCTACTCAGATGGTGTGGTAAGCAGAATTCCATGCTGTTCCCATCATAGCTGCCCCTGACATTAGTCCTGTGACTATATTACATGACATGGCAAATAGGAGTTTGCAGGTGTAATGTAGGTTACCAATTGGTTGATTTTCAGAATGTGAGATCACCTGGGTGGTTCTAACCCAATTCCATGAGCCCTTCTAAATCAGTGTTTTCTCCAGCTGGTCACAGAAGGGGCTTTAGGAAGCTGTGAAGCCCAAGAAAGATTTGAGGTGCCACCACTGGCTTTGGAGATGAGGGGGCCACATGGAAAGGACGAGGAGGGGCCCTCAGATACTGAAGCAACACCTGCCTGGCAGGTGGCATAAAAAATGGGTATCTCAATCCTACAACTGCAAGGAACTGAATTCTGCCAACAGCTTGTATGATCTTGGAGGTGGATTCTTCCCCAGAGCCTGCAGGGAAGATTCCAGGTCAGCCAACACCTCGATTTCTGCCTTGTGAGATCCTAAGCAGAGAACCCAGCTAAGTCCTCCTGGACTTCTGAGCTACAGAAACCATGAAGTAATAAATGGGTGTTGTTTTAAGTTACTAAGTTTGTGGTCATTTGGTATGCAGCATAGAAAACAAATACAGATGGCCTCCTGCTTTGCTGCCAGTCATCCCTTTTGGGGATGTGAGAACAGCTCACAAACAGGAATCCAAGCCCTAGAGGTGTCTTCCTAAACCAAACTCTGATCTGACATCCACAGGTAACTCATTTACTGCGCAGAAGGCCTCAGGTCTTAGCAAGATGTCCAAGGCAGTTTGTGGCTCCAAGATATCTCCACCCCAACATAAAATGCATTCTGGGGATGATGCCGACATTAAAGATGTATCACCCTGGATTAAGTATAGGCATTATCAGTCTTTAAGCATTCACAGTTCAACACACAGAGCTAATTTTCTATCACTATATTCTCCAAAAAAGTAGTTTATCAGCTTCTTAATTCCTTTCCATCTCAGGAATGGAAAATGAAAGAGAGAGTTTTCAGAGGAGACTAATGGAGATCTAGGTCTCAGGACTCCAGAGCTGCGGGGAACCCTGAAGGTCATGTGGTTCAGTGTTCTAATGGCTGGCCTCCTGGGTTGGTGATTGCTCCAATCTCTCCTGAAGTAAATCCAGCAACAGTAGATTCACTGCCTATCAGCTGATGTCACCCGTGCCATCTTTGCACACTTGGATAGACATATCCTCCTTGTGCTGAGTTGATTTCTCTCCCTGTAGCTTCCCCACATTCTATAACACTACCCCTTGAGACCTCACAGACTCTTGTCCTTCACATTCATTCACTCAACAAACTTGTAGCAAATATGTGTTATATGCTGGGCAAGGTGTGGGGTTTTTAGAGAGTAATAAGACTCAGGGATGGCACCAGTAGCAAAAATGGAGCCCCAGTGTTTGAGGAGGGCAGCTAGCCCTCCCCACATCCTCTCTTCCCTAATGGGACCATCCTGGAACATTCAGAGTCTTTACTGGACATTTTGGAGTCCTTTCAAGGAGGAACTCACTGTGGTGGTTCTTTTCAAGAACACCCTGTCCTGGTCAGAAGCTCCCCCTTCCTCCCTCTGCAGGGCTCTGAGAACAGAAAAGGGTCCTCCAAGGGGCTCTGCTCAGCACAGAACAGTGGGCTTCTTGCTCCTCATGCTAGATGCACTGTCATTTTCCATGCAGCAAAGACTGTGGACATACCACAGGCAGCCACAAAACCATTGCTGTGCCTCGGTTTCCTCAACTGTGTGATGCTTGAAGAGGAAATGAGTTAACACATGTGGAGTGGGCAGTATAGTGCCTGACATGAGTAAATGTTCGATAAATGTCAGTATTACTACTGTTGTTTTATCGTTATTATCACCCTACTAGCCATACCTTTGAAGCTGATGGAAAATAAAACCCTTACGTTTTCCTTTGATGTTCACATTTTTCTTCTCTGTCTCATACTGGGTAGAAGTGGAGAGTTTGCTTCTGACCCTAAGGAATTTATCTTATTAAAACTGGTTCCTCATCTATCTGCTGAGATAATAGAAACAGTACCCATTATTGAGTACTACATGTGTGTCACACATGTCACCTTGAATCTTTACAACAACCTTGAGAGGTAGATGCTATTATCTTCATTTTACAGACTAGGCAACTGGGGCTTCAAGAGATGTAAGTGGCCTAAGGCCTCATTGCTAGTAAATACCAGAGCCCAGAATGCATATCCAGGTTGGTTGTTTCTGCCCAAGTCCATTCTTGTCATCAGTGTATGTCCCTTGCTCGTTATCTGCAAGTCACTCACAAATGGTGGGTCCAGAAAGCCTTGTGTACCCATGTCCAGGCCATGGCTGAGAGTTATGAAGCCCCAAAAAGCTCCAGATACAACCTGGTAAGGACAAGCCTGGCCAAGCTGTGCAGAGGGCCTTGCGGGATGGGAATCATTGAGTGCACAGAAGCTGCGGAACTGAAAGAGGAGCTCAGACTTGCAGGGACTCTGAAGCCAGACTCCCTGGGGGCAGGACTACCACTTGCCCACTGTGTAATCTCTGGGTCTGTTTGTTTGGCTGTAAAATGGAGAAGAAAATAATAGTATCACTTTATTGGCTGATTGTGAGGATTAAATGAGATGCATTTTATAAAGTTTTTAGTGCAGAGCCCAGTCAATATTAGCCATTGTTATTACTAGTAATATTATTAGCTTCCAAGCAGGTGAGTGACTGCTGCTAAGGCATGCACTGGCAGCCCAGGGGAAGATGCAGTCTGGGAGCAGAACACCCCTCTCCCCTTTCCCTGCCAGGTTTCCATTGCCCGCTCAGACCCAGGCTCCAGCTCCAACCTGCGCATACGCACCTGAGAAATGCCACGTGCGTTGCCAAGAAACCGCCTTCCCCATCTATTTTAAAACCTTGATGAGCTTTCTGTTTAATATTTTAAAAGGTTATGTTCTAAAGAGGGTTATGGTTAAGTAAATTACGGCACATCAACCTGATGGGATATTAAACAGCCATTAAAGTGATAATTATGAAGATTGTGTAGGAACATGGAAAATGCTTATGGATTAATATGAGGTGAAAAAAATGGGATTAAAAAATTGGATTACACAATAATTGCCACTAGCCAACACCACATGCCTATGAGCAAACATTCTTTCCCTATGAGGGAAAGAATGGCGTCCTTTAACTTCTTTTATTGTTGTTCTATTGTTTTTATAATAAACAAGTAAATAATGGTTGGTATCATTGAAATCATGATTTTATAAATCAAAAACTGAAGAACTCTATTATATGGCCTGCAAAAGCAGACACTGTGCTTAAAAGAACTTCCCAGGCCATGGGTAATGGGTCATTTGCTGCTGTATTTACATTTCATGTTAATAACTGGTAGGGAATGAAGGAAGATTTCGTTTTTCAAGTAGAGCAGATAATTATCCTCCAACCCCCCTAGTTACTGATGGTTTTAAGAAGGGGGATGCACTCTCAGAATAAAGGTGCTTGAATCTAATATTTCTTTTGGCTTCTGTGCTGGGAGGGAGGCAGGAGTGTGAATTAGGGACAGAGACTTAGGTGGGGGCTTCATGTTTTCCTTCCCTCACGCCTGAAGGATAGAAGCTGACACAGGAGCAGGGACGTGGGCTCCCACACACCCAGGAGAAGAGAGACCTGAAGGGCCTTGGGCAGCACGAGGCTGAGTGCTGGATGCAAACTAAAGCATGCAGGTACAGAAGAGGGTTGAAGTTTCTCTACTGACCTCACAGGGGGAAAGGAGTTTGGAACCACCGTTTTTCTTCCTTCCTTTCATTCCCTTCCATCGCCTGCCCTCTCCCTTCTTTCCATTCTACTTTTTTTCTCTCCTCCTTGTTGAAATGGGAGGAGAGCATACAGACAGGCAGGCTGTGGGGCTCTGACCCCATGGCAGTGTCTAGGGGTGAATGTTTACAGCTGAAGCCCCAGTGGGCATGTGTTACAGGGTACTCTTTTAGTTTAGCCATCCGTAGGCAGCTTGTGGTAGTCAGCTCAATTAGACCCCTGCCTTATCACAAGGACAGAGGAATTTCTGTATCCCAGGGTTCTTGCCTTGGTGTACTGGAAGAATCAGATCTCACGTGGGCTTGGAGAAGGAGCACAAGGTTTTACTAAGTGGAAGTAGCTCTCAGCAGATGGGGGAGCCGGAAAGGAGATGGTTTTCCTCTGGAGTCGTCCACTGGCTGGCCGGACTCTTCTCCGATCGCCCTGGCCAAACTCTGCGTCCTTCTGCCGGTCAGTGGCCTGCTGGTGTGCCGGCGTCTGTCATGTGCTCTTCCACCGATGTGCTCCCCTTGACATCCTCTCGATGTCCAGACACTTGTGTCTTCTTCTGCCGAGGTGTTCCTCTCGAAGTCTAGCCACTTGTGTGTGTGCTCACTAGGGTCTCGTGGTTTTTATAGGCACAGGATGGGGGCGTGGCGGGCCAGGGTGGTCTTGGAAAATGCAACATTTGGGCGCCAAGGTAGGAGTGTCTGTCCTCACCTAGGTCCATGGGCACAGGACCAGGGGTGGAGCCCTCGCCAGGGACCTGCCGTTCTCTACCCAGCACTTCCCTGCCCCCTTCTGTATCTGTCATTTAATAGCAGTTTATTGGGCTCCTACTCTGTGCAGACACTATGATCATCACCCAATTTAGAGAGACAAAAAGACAGTTTCTGCCCTCAAGAAGTCTAATCTGCAAGACAAATCTGAAAACAAACAATCCTGGCAGGTCTCAATATAAATAATTCAGTGTGACAAAGAAAGTAATTAATCAGCTCAGAGCAGTCAGCAGAGATTCCCCAGTTGGTATCCCAAGTTGAATAGGAAGGGGAGGAGAGGAGGGTTGGGTTGGGGGCCAAGGTGGGGAGGAGGGAATAGCATGCTCAAAGGCATGGAGGAGTGGGAGGACAGGGCTGAAACCTCTTTGGACCTGTGGGCCATTTATCCTGGCTTCTGTGTCCAACAGGGAGATCAAGGGATTGCATGTCCACCTGACATTATTCTCATAGGTCTGGTGCAACTTAACCCCACAACTATACTTAGGACCCTGTTATAGCTCTGGTATCCAGGAATTTATCAAAACCATTGTGAATCAATTGATTTTTTCCTAGAATCTGTGGATGCTAGCGTTGGGAGAAGCTTCAAGGAGTAGCTAGCCCCCTAATCATGCTAACCACCCAGGGAGCAGTTGGAAATGGAAATTAGCCTCAGTTCAGGGTATGTGGGCACTATTGATTGGGTTCATTGCCCTCATTTCAGAGCTAAGGAAGCTATAGCCCAGAAAGGGGAAGTCCGTTATTCATTCAAAGTCACTGAACAAATTACTAGCTTCTACTCAGTTCTTCTGGCTCCAAACCCAGTACTCTTTGCAGCACATAAGGTCTCTTTTTCCAAAAGAGGGTGATCTAGCCTCTTTCCATGCCCATGAACCAGGAGCACGGTCCCTCTTTGCTCCATTCTTACCTTTCCTCAAATTCAAGGGTGCACAGCCCTTCTTAATACTGTAACATCTAGGCCTGGTGGGGTGGCTCATGCCTGTAATCCCAGCATTTTGGGAGGACAAGGCGGGTGGATCATGAGGTCAAGAGATCAAGACCATCCTGGCCAACATGGTAAAACCCTGTCTCTACTAAAAATACAAAAATTGGTTGGGCATGGTGGCACATGCCCATAGTCCCAGCTACTTAGGGGGCTGAGGCAGGAGAATCTCTTGAACCAGGGAGGTGGAGGTTGTAGTGAGCTGAGATTGGGCCACTACACTCCAGCCTGGCAACAAAGTGAGACTCCGTCTCAAAAAAACAAAACAAAACAAAACAAAACAAAAAACCAAATACTGTAACATGTAGCTAACAAGCCCTCCTCCCCACTCATGACCTTCATAGTTGTATCACTCCATGACTTTCCTCTTTCTAGGCTGCCTGGTTAGGACAATGCCTGATCCCCTCCTTCTGCTTGCAGGGAAATGCCTCTGGGCCTCAAGGTCATGTGAACCATCCCTTCTCCACCTCCTGCAGCTCCCTTCTCTCCACTGAGAAAATGCATCTAAGTAAGGCATTCTGGCTAGAGTAAGGAGAAGTGGCAAATTGGGAAGGAATCCAGGGCTCCAGCTCTTTTCCATAAATCAGCTCAGAAGTTCCCCAGAGCAAATCCTTCTTGACTCTGGTCTCATCTTCTTTATCTGGCAATGGCAGGCACTAGGAGAGTCTGAACTACATGACCTCTAGCCCCTCCAGACGTGGGGGCCGATGGGACTCATTTTCTGTGAGTCTGCAAGTAAAGGGACGATGGGGACCAGCTACCGTAGATGAAACCTGCCGTTCTCAGTCTTGACCCACATGCCTGGGAACTGGGGCATGATGGAGACCAGAACTTGAATGTCATGACAGAAGCTGGGAAAAGAGGCAAATAAACCAACATGGACTGCAAAGAGCTTGTGGGCCATTTGCCACTTGTTTTTCTGTTTTTCCACCTATCAGTCTGTACACTTGCTTTGGCATTTATGTGGTTTCAGAAGGCTATTATCTTGTCAACATTGTTCTACAGCATTGACATTATCTCTTAATTACACAATTACTTTGTTATGTACTGTAGATCTAGTAATAAAACATTTGAAGTGTTCAAGCACAGACAAGAATTTTTAAAATATGATTTGAGTCAAACCATCTTGTAAAAACCACTAATAAATGTCATAACCAGAGGAGACCTCTGTTCATTCCCCCACTGAGAGGAAGAAGAGCTAAGGCCCAGGGAGAAGGGACCTGCTGCTGGTCACACGGATAATTACTAGAATGAGTTTTGCAGACATGAGAGCTCACTGCAGATCATACAGCAACTGAGAGCAGAGTTGGGACTAAAGCTCAGGCCTGACGATTCCTGGGTTACTGCATTTTTTCTTTTTCATAAATAGGTTATACCCTTTTCTCCACCATGTCACCCTGAAGGTCTGTTTAGGTCACACAGTTAACCCTGAGTTGGGGAGCCAATCCCCAAAGCACTGGATTACTCTAAGGGTCAGGTCCCACTTCTCCTAGATGCTTAGTGGGTTAAGGAACATGATAAAGCCCCACTGGGCTAAATCTGTCCTCCATATTAAAGAATTTTGTCTCAAGAAGCTCCCATTTATTAAGAAGCAAATGGCCAGTTGGCACATGAAACTATTTGTGCTGTTGGCAATGACTAGTTTATTAGCCAGGAAATTCAGCCTGAGTTTATGGCACACAGGACTGGTGATGATGGTGGCTGAGGGAGCAGGAGGGAGAAGATACACAAAGTGGATGACCTGGGAAAGTCAGGCTGACTTGCAGTACAGATGGGGAATTTTGGAGCTGGAAGCATCCTGAGAATAGTCTGAAGGACTCCCCAAAGGGACAGGATCTACCCTTTGATGAAATTCACTCGTTTTCCATTGCTTGTGATCCAAGTCTAAACTGAGCAGGGCTGGCACTTGTCATAAGTCCCCTGCAGTGACTATGGAGAGCCCTGCAGATCTGTTACTTTCTATCTCTGAGCTTGGAGACATCCTTAGAATTCTTAACTAAACTTCCACAGTTTCCTCAGAAGAGGAAACTTATTTAATATCTGTTGTGTATTGAATTGTGTCTCTCAAAAGATATGTTGAAGTCCCAAATCCCTGGTACCTGTATGTATGACCTTATTTGGAAATAGTCTTTGCCAATGTAATCATGTGAAGATGAGGTCATACTGCATTAGGGTGGGCCCTATATCTAATAACTGGCATCCTTATAAGAAGAGGGACATTTTGACACACAAGGAGATTTCCATGTGATGACACAGGTAGAGTTTGCAGTGATGTCTCTATAAGCTCAGGAATACCAGGATCTAGAAAGAAGCAAGAAAGGATCTTTCCTTAGGGTCTTCAGAGAGAGCATGGCCCTGATGGCACCTTGATTTTAGACTTTGTGCCTCCAGAACTATGAGAGAATTAGTTTCTGTTGTTCTAAGCCACCCAGTGTGGTATGTTGCTATAGCAGCCTGGGAGGTGAATGTACCATCTCTGGAAATTGTCTCTCTTGCCTCTGTGTTTCCCATCTCCCTTTCTCATGCTCTTGTGGTGTCATCTCTCCCTGTCCCTGACCTCCTCCTCCTATTCCCCACCTGAGTCCTTCTTGCCCATCAGGTGCAGCCTAAATGGCTCTCTCTATGATGTCTTTCATGATCCTGTCCAATATGCCTTTGCCCTTTTCTGGCCTGCTGCAGTGTTCTCAATGCTTGTATCTCTATCTAAACTCCCACAGCAGAGGGGGGGTCCTAAGAAGAGGAAGGTGAGAGAGAATGCAGACAGAGACATCTCTGTGGGCTTCAGCATTCTGCCTTTGTTCAACCCAGCAGTACCTGGGAGTGGGCGGTGGGCAGTGGTGGGAGGACCCATCACTCCTTCAAAGCATGAAGCAGTTTCTTCAGATAAAGGTCCTAAAATTTCACAATAGTGTTTTAAGAGCACAGGTTGTCTAGCTTCTTCTTTGCCTCAGTTCAAGGTGTTTCTTTTTTTAATTAATTTACTTTTTTTGAGACGGAGTCTCACTCTGTTGCCCAGGCTGGAGTGCAGTGGCACAATCTTGGCTCACCAGAACCTCTACCTCCCAGGTTCAAGCGATTCTCCTGCCTTAGCCTCCTGAGCAGCTGGGACTACAGGCACGTGCCACCACACCTGGCTAATTTTTGTATTTTTAGTAGAGACGGGGTTTCACTATATTGGCCAGGCTGGTCTCAAACTCCTGACCTCATGATCTGCCCACCTTGGCTTCCCAAAGTGCAGGGATTACAGGCGTGAACCACCGCACCCAGCCTAGTTCAAGGTGTTTCTAAGCAAACCAATAATCAAGTGCAGCTGGGTCTACCTCTGAGTCTAGTAGTTCCTGTTGTTTGGCATTTTTCAGATGGACTCGGTCAGGAGAAGAGAACCACTCTACAGCTGGGAATCTCAGATCAAAGCTTCCCAACCTCAAAGTCCATCCAGTGATGATTTGCTCTGTATATCCTCACGCAAACAGGGAGTTGTGGGGAGCTCAGGGAGATGCATGTGGGTGTATACCCCCGACACCATGACCTCTGCTCTGGCCATCTTATTATCTCATACTGCTCAGAGCATACTGTGCCTTCTCTCAAGCCCCAGACCACACAAGCTGTTCTCTCTGTCTGGAATGTTCTTCTTCACCAAGCACAATTTTACATCTTCCTTAAGTCTCCCTTCAAACAATGCCTTCTATAGACCACATTCTCGGGGCCCCTTAGACTAAACCAATCACCCTCTCCTCTGTGCTCTGGGGCTCTGTGTGTCCACCTCTGCGGTTGCACTCACCACATTGTGGCATGGGGTCTTACAGTCTTGGGGACCATGCCATGGCCCTTCCACAGAACTGAGACAGGGCTCAGAATGGGGAGAGGGTTAGGTACATCTGTGTTGAATAAATTCATGCATGCATCTGTCACAATTTGCAGGGCGTTTTCATAGAGCAGATTTTAATTCATTTATAAAGCAGATTGTATTTATTTATATAATAGGTGCAAAATCCAAAAGGTAGGACAGATGTATTGTGCCAAGCCTATGGTCCATCTCCATCCTCTAACCACCCAGTTCCCCTCTCTGAAATCAGTATCTGAATCCTATTTTGTATGCATCCTTCCGGAGGGTCCCTACTAACATAAAGGTACATGTATTTCTTATATCCCTTTTGCACAAATTATAGCATCTTGCTTTTTTACATTTTACTTTTTAATATGCCTTGTAGATCCTTCAATATCAGCCCATTGAGAGTTGCCTTATTTTTATTTTTATTTTTTTGTTTCATTAGCTGCATAGTTTTATTCCACTATAAGGGTGCTTCATGATTAGCCAGTCTTCTAAGGCTGTTTCTAATTCTTTGGTAATTCTTTGCTGGCATGGATAACCTTGTGCATTTATCAACAGTGCTTATTTTTTTTTTTTTTTTTTGATTTGGAGTCTTGCTTTGTCACTCAGGCTGGAGTGCAGTGGTGTGATCTCGGCTTACTGCAACCTCTGCCTCCCGGGTTCAAGTGATTCTCCTGCCTCGGCCTCCTGAGTAGGTGGGACTACAGGTGCTCACCACCACGCCTGGCTAATTTTTTGTATTTTTAGTAGAGACAGGGTTTCACCGTGTTGGCCAGGATGGTCTTGATCTCTTGACCTCGTGATCCACCAGCCTCGGCCTCCCAAAGTTCTGGGATTACTGGCGGGAGCCACCATACCCGGCCAACAGTGCTTAATTTTAAGAAATTATTTTCAAATGGTAGACTTTCAGGCTTCAGTAAGGTAGGCAGTGTGACTTTCCTGGCACTGTTCTCATAACTGCTAATTGGTTTATTCAACACTTGTTTCAATCCCTCTCTAGCGTGCTGAGACTGAAGAGCTGGCAAATATGTTTCCCAGGCATCTTTTGCAGGTAGATTCAGGGTGTGGCCTTAGGATCCACCAAGCAGCTGTAGTCAGGTAAGATTTGGATTTGGATCTAAGTCACTGAGCAGAGAGGTGGAGTGTGTGGACATTTACTTGGCCAGTGGGTGTCACTGCAGGAGTGCTAGCTCTGTTGCTAACAGCTGTTGGTGGCAGATGTCAGATACCGCAGCTTCCTGGTTGCAGGGGAGGCCGCAGCTCCTTAGGCGGCCCGATTCTGTGCTGTAATTTTGGGAGCCAATCCTGGAAGTTCAGTTTAATGCCTAGCATCTCAAACTGTTGTCCACAGATCAGGAGTAGAATCCCAGGCACCAGCCCACTCCTAAAGAATCAGCTACACCCCCAGGTGATTCACACACCCAGTCAAGGTTGAGAAGTACTGGCCTAGACTATACTGGAGCTCTGCCAAGGCTCTAATTAGAATCACCTGGGAAGCTTTGACCACTGCAGGTGCCAAGGCCACACCCCAGATTAAGTCATAATCTCTAAGGGTGGTGCCTGGGCATCAGCATTTTTAAAACTTCCCAGGTGATTCCAGTATGTAGCCAAGGTTGCGACCCATTGGCCTGGAGTAATAGCTCTGAATCTTGGTTATACACTAGAATTACTTGGACCTTTAAAAAAAATACTACAAATTCTGATTTAATTGGCTTGAACAAAGACATGAGCATTTTATTTTTGTAAGCTCTCTTGGCAATTCTAATGTAAAGCAAGGGTTGAGAACTATTCGTCTAGATTTGTTTCTTCAGCCTTCTTCACTGTTTTTACCTCTTAATAAAGACCCTTGTGTTTAAATCCACTAGAGTGAATTCTGTGGTCTGTAATTAAGAACCTTTGCATCATATGAGAAGTCACCTGTTTGAGCTGCACTGGAACTTGGGCTGGCTTATGTTGGCTTTAGTTACCTTGGAACAAATAATATAATTTAATTTAAAAGGGCTTTTGAGAAAACCCATTGAGAAGAATCAATCAGGAAACCACTTTCTGATGAACTGACTAAGAAGGATGGGTTAGAAAGGAGGCAGGCAGGGCCAGAAACACAATGAGCCATGTCTGAAGATCAAGGAGGGTGGGGGTGGAGGGCTGCAGAACTTTGGTGAAAGGGAAGAGTGTTACCTAACTAGACCCGTGAGTATAAAAACAAGGGCCCATCCAGCCAAACAGCTAAACAGATGAAAGCTTCATATTTCTTTTGGGTGGATTCCTGGTTGTGCAGTGACCTCTGGGAGGAGAAGTCAAGGAGTTTGGGGCTTGGAGGAAGGGCCAAGAGGGACAGGGGTTTTTGTCCTTTGCCAATATGGCCCTCCTTCCTCTCTGTGTTCTCTCATCTTTTGGCTTGTAGTTCAGGACCTGCCTGCATCCCCTGCTCTGGTTTCTAAGCAATAGCTGGTGACTTCTTCCCAACATTTGAACTTGCCTTCACAGTGCCCCCAGTCCTTAGGGTGGCTAGTTAGCAGATGCCTGACTAAGCATTATTAATATCCAGGCCCTGTGGCTGCCTCGGGGGTTCACAATAGGAGCTCACAGGCTAATGAAGAGGCGATTGCAAGGCAGTCTGAAAAGTGCTATAACAAAAGCATAGGGTGTGTATGGCATTGAGGAAGGGTTGTCAGTCATGGCAGTTCACAGAGAAGGTAAACAATTAGGTGTGTATATTATAGAGGTGAGCCACAAAGGGTCAGAAATGATCAGGAGAGACAAGTGCAAGCAGGGGACATGACAGATGCAGGAATGCATGACTATAGGCTCCTTGAAGGCAGCGAGGGCTCATGCATTTATCGATACTGTATTCCTGGTGACTATCTCAGCTCTCACATGTAGAAGTGCTTATGTGGATGTGAATAATGAATACATGAAAAAAAGTGATGGTATATTGGTTAGAAAGCTATCAGTTGCAAGTAATAAAAAAACTCTTAAACATCAAACAGAGAGGGAAGATATTAGTCACATAACAAAGAGAGAGTAGGTGGTAGGATTCTGCCTCCACCTCTTTACAGCAGTTTTAGGCCACACATTCTAACACAGTGATGTCCAAAGGCAGAAATAGGGCTGTCTTTAATGGGATCTTTATCTTAAGGGCAAGAATTCTCATAAGGGCTCCAGTGGAACTTCTCTCAGGTCTCAGTGGCCCCATGCTTAGCTGTAATTCAATCACTGGCAAGAAGAATAGGGTAGCCCTGATTCACTAAGACCAATAACTGGAGCTTAGATGTTGTGTCATCCACTGAAATGAGAAAGGCTGGAAGTGACTCTATAAAGAGATTCTGGGACCTTTAATTTAACTTCATCTTACTCTTTAAAAGAGATTGCTGTGGTCACTGAAGTATAATTTCAATTGCTTTAGATTATTCTTTTAAAAGCAGAACTTCTAAATTTTTTAGAATTTGAGCTTTTGTAAAATCTTCAACAATTGTGTCACTATTGACATTTATAGGGATATATTTGAATAATAAATGGATAAAGCTTTCTGCAAATTATTTTCTGAGAAGGCAATAGGTAAACTTGGTAAAAAAAAAAATGAAGATACAAGGAGATTTACCATGAGAAACAACTCTGCTCCCATCCCTGTCCTCCCTCCAACCCTTGACCTCCCCAGAGCCAGTCACTACTAAGGATTTCTTGCGTGGGCTTCCAGAAATACTATATGCATGTTCAAACATGTATGCATTCATATTCACCACTTCAGTACTAAACAAACAGTACACACTCTACTTTACCTTGCCTTTACACTTGGATGCCACTTTAAAATGGACATTCCTAGCTTTTATATTTTGCCTGAGGTGGTAAACTATTAATTCTAAATGGACTGTGAAAAAATGTCCATGTATATTACACTTTATAGAGAAACCATTAAAAATAATATGAAGAGAGATAGCTAAAAAGTTAAAAGGTATATTAAAATATAATACTAAAAATATTCAAATAATGCAAGAGAAGGCAGGAAAGGGGAAACAGGAGCAAGAAACAGAGAGGGAAAACTAATGAAACGATAGATCTAAATTCAATCATGTCAGTTAAATTACATAAAATCGCATGAAATATAAATGGTCTTAACACACCGAGAGTGTCAGAGTGGAAAATAACAACAAAACAACATCCCACCTCTATGTTGTCTATGAGACAGACTTTAAATATAAAAATACAAATAGGTTTAGTTTAAAAGTAAATAATGGAGAATATGTACCATTCAAACAGTAATCAAGAGATAACTGAAGTGATATAAAGTGGTGTGGCCAATATGGAAAAAGTCTGGTGGTTCTATTTAAAATAGAATTATTATACAATCCAGCAATTTGACTTCTGGGTATAGATCCAAAAGAATTGAAAACCAGTTCCCAAGAGATATTTGTACCCTCATGTTCACAGCGTTATGTACAACAGCCAAGAGGTACAAGCAACCCAAATGTGCATAGACAGCTGGATAGATACATGAAATATGGCCTAGCCACACAATGGAATATTATTCAGCCTTAAAAAGGAGGGGAATTCTGACACATGCTACAACATGGTTGACTCTTGAGGAAATTATGCTAACTGAAATCAGCCAGTCAAAAAAGACAAATACAGTATAATTCCATTTGTATACAGTATCTAGAATGGTCAAATTTATAGAGGAAGAAAGTAGGATGGTTGTTGACAGGGGCTGTGGGGAGAAGAAAATGGGTGAAATGTTGCTTAATGAGTACAGAGTTTCAGTTTTGCGAGATAAAAACATTCTGGAGATTGGTTGCCCAACTATGTGAATATACTTAACACCACTAAACATCACTGAACACTTAAAAGTGACTAAGGTGGTAAATTTTATGTTATGTGTAGTTTACCATAATTTAAAAACATAGTTGAAGTGGTTAGATTAATGTCAGAAAAGATAGATTTCATAACATGGAAAGTTACAAGGGAAAAGAAGAATACTACAGAAGAGCAAAAGGGTCAATTCACCAAAAGACATTACAATTCTAAACATATACGCATCCTACCATAAAACTTGAAAATAAATAAAGGAAGAATTGACAGAACTGGAGGATGAAACAGAAAACATGCTATCATAGTTGGAGACTCCGGCATGCCTCTCTCAGTGATTGATACAACTAGATGTAAAATCAATAAGGTTATGGAAGACCTAAACAACTCGAGTAACCAATTTGACCTAATGAACATTTTTAGAAAAAGTCCATAGCAGAATACATATTCTTTTTAAAGGTGACATTCTGAGTGTACAGCAAGTCCTTCCAGCCTTTCTTTCTTCTTTAGTTCTTCGTTCATGTAATTGTTTCTCTCTTCCTGTCTATCTTTCTCTCTCCTCCATCTACTGCTCCCTTTTCCACTTATTTTGTTACTCTCTTCCTTTTCCTCCCATCTCATTTCTTTTTGTCTTTCTCCTACCCTTTAATATATTCTATCTAGTACTAATTTCATAAAATTAGATGCTTACTGTTTTAATTTAAAAAAGAGGTGAATGTTTTCTTTCTGAACAAAAAATAAACAATTTTAAATTAAGTTGATTTTTTGTATGTGAGGTGTTCAGTTGATTTCTCCCCCTAGATCTGGCCCTGACTATCTGCTTTAAATTGCTTTGGAAATTCATAGCAAGACCATTTATGACTGCAGTTGCTGGGAAAGGAAGGCTTCCTGGAGGAGGTAGAATTTGGAGTTGGATAAAGCTTGGATTGATAAGGGTGGTTTAAGGGGAACTTCATTTTAATTTATCTGTCTGTGTTCAAAGCATTGTAAATGATCTGTTTGTCCACATGGCGTCGAATGAAGTGAATGCACAAATGTGGGCACCCATCCCTTCTCCATCTCACAGCTGCTATTTTTGGGGAAGAATCTCTCCTTTCTTAAGTGCCCTTTCCCCTCACTTTTCAGAGCCAGGCCCACTGTAATAACTGTAGGTTTTTCCCTGCTGGAACTCTCCATTTTGCCTAACTGCTTACCATTGTCAGGTATGCAGTTAGCTTTGCCACTTCTCTTGGAGCTGCCAGCTCATTATTTGTTTGTCTCTGGATGCCCTGCGGCTTCTGCTGCTCTGCCTCACTGGCCTTGGATCAGGCTCCTATGCATGACCTGGCAGCGTGCCACCTGCTTCCTGAGGCTCCTGGAGACCTCTTCCTGGCCCTCTGTCTCTCTAAGTGAGGGATACTTTCCTCTTGGACTGGGAGGCTGCTTTTTTAAGCACTTTCTGCTGTCTCATTGTGTGTGCATGTGGATGTTTGCACTTATGGAAGTGTGTGTGTGTCTGCCAGAGGAGGATGTGCTCATGAAATAATAGCCTGACCATGCAGCTTAAATCGACAGCATGTGCTTGGTGGTACAAATGAAGACCCATCTGGAATCTCCATCCCAGCCTACTACTTCTCACAGGGTCAGTCTGTCCTGTGAGTTCCTATATGTTTATCAGGTTCACATAGAATCTGAGCTGTGATTTGCAGGGACCCGGGAGGATCTTCTCTACTCCAAAACTCCTCCTCCACTGGGGCCTGAAGTTTTGCCATTTGGCATTTCTTAATTTGGGTTGAGCATTGCCTTCTAGAGACTCCGTTTTAAAAGTGCAAATACTTCTGGAAGGAGGCACCCAGAGCCAGAAAGATGGAATATTATATGATTAATTTCCTTCACATTTTTACAGACAAGGAAGGAAAGCAATGTGCCGGTGATGTTTCTGAGGTCACTTGGCAAGTACATGGCAGAGCCCTAGTTCATTAGTCATCGCCTTCCTGAATCACAGGGCACCACCTTCACAATGTGCCATAAAGGCATTCACCACAGGCTTCTTTACCTAATGGGGCCATTATTGGGAACATGATGGGCAAGACCAATTGGAACAAAAGGTGCTGATAATGTTGATAAATTTGGACTTTTCCATAACTTAGGGAACTGGTTTTCTGTCTAGACCAGTGCTATTCAATGGAAATATAATGTGAGCCACAAACATGAACCATGTATGCAATAAAAAACTGTCTAGTAGCCACATTAAACAAATAATAGGGAAAAAAGGGCAAAAACAAAGCAGGTAAAATTAATGTTAATAATTTATTAAACTTAACCCAATAGTATAAAAATATTATTTTCACATGCACTCTAAAAATGCACTTTTTAAAAAATTAATGAGATATTTTGCTGTTCTTTTTAACAAGGTCTTTGAAATGCAGGTGTATTTTACACTTAAAGCTCATCTCAATTTGCACTAGCCACATCCAGAGCTCAATAATAGTACATATGACTAGTGACATCTGTACTGAATGGCAGCTCTAAACCATCCCTTTTGGAGGATTTTGTACCTATCCCTCTGACCAAGGCATTGTCTGCACATGCCTTTCTCCTCCAGACCTGATGTTCATAGGCCTGTAGGTACCATAGGAACCATCCAGTCCAAGGACTTCACCTTCTATTCCATGGAATCCTCAGAGATGCAGACAGGGGTGGAGAGTTGGGGAGAGGAAGGGTGCCTGTGGCTTTGCTTCCAGTCATGTGCATTGCTGTTATATGGGTGTCCTGATGAATATCTGCAGATTACCTTACCAAATGTCACCTAAACTAACCCCCACAAAAGAACAAACTGCTTAAACATATCCCTACAGCAAAACCACAAGTTGAACACAGTATCTGTAAGGCAAGCCCAAGTGGATGGTGAGAAATAGCTAAACTGGCATTTTCTTACTCCCATGACAAACCCTTTGTCAGCCATGTGATGAGACTACAACAGCAGTGGTAGGGCCAGCTTCTGCATTTCAAAACTATCAGTAAAGCTATATGAAATGTGAATGTATATCCACTGTCATTAACAAAGAACTTCACCCTAAGAATGGCTTATGGCTTGGTATATTAGTGTGTGATATGTCTAATTTGTTACATATGTTTTATCATGTAGGCAATATATTTGTTTCATAGATGGACACAATTTAGACATACATACAGACTTTGAAAACATTAGTTGGATCAGGTCACTCCTTTGCTCAAAAGCCTGCAATGGCTCCCCACTCCACTCAGGGGAAACCTCAAGGCCTATGATGGCCAGTGGGCCCTAACCCCATTGTGCCTGCCTCACCATGTTTCTGATACCATATCCTCCCACTCTTACTGCCTTTCTCTCTGCTCCAGCCACACTGGCCTTTTTGCTGTTTACCATTTTTATTAAACCCATAACAACAAAATCCATTCAGTTTTGCACATTTTTGAACTTTTTAGAAGTGCAGTCATACTGTACAAATTCTGCCATCTTAATCAATTTCCCTATTCTTAAGATTTATCCATGGTATTTTATGTAGCTATAATTCATCCATTTTTACTACTGTATAGTATTCCAGAATGTAATCGTTCCTCATTTAAAAAGACATCCTCCCACTGTAGCTTCTAGTTGCTTTTTTTCTGTTCAAACTGGCTGGGCCACTATGAACATTTTGTCTTTGGATATGTGTCCTAGGGCTCATGTGCCCACATGCACTTAAGTCATAGGCGTACACATTATCTACATGCCTTTTGTCACTACCTTTATATATGCTTGTCACTAAGTTTGGAATCTCTTCCTCCTCTGCCAAACTCCTGCTGGTATTTTAAGACCAACTCACATGTCACCTTCTTTGAGAAAGCTTCCTCTCTATGTCTTGAAACTTATTATTTGTCAAAAGATACAATTTCAACAAATTGAGTTTAAAGGTGTAATTGGCTTTTATTAGCAATTCATGAATCAGGCAGCATCCCTTCTGGAAAATAGATATCAGCTCTGATGACCTGAGTAGAGGCAGTTGGCTTTACAAGCAGAAAATGCTGAAGAAACCAAAACCGAGGAACAAAAAGCAGACTGGTCATTTCAAAGTTACAGAGTTCACAGAGAGGACTTCCTTATCATGCCTGCTCAAGTAGACTGCCTGGTGCTGTAAATCTCCTTCCTTTCCTTTCTTTTCTTCTCTTTTCTCTTCTCTTCTCTCTTCTCTTCTTTTTTCTTCCTACCAGCTCATCTTAAAGGTATGTTTGATTTTGCGGTACCTAGCATGAGTGGTTCCATTGTGATTTGGTCTGGTCTCTTGAGGCTTACTGCAGGAGCTCAGTCCAAAACAATGGCCATCCATACATTTTAGCACTTGTATGTGATGCATCCTAGTATACCTCTCTCTCACTCTGTACATTAAGTGTAGTGGCATTTCTCTTAAGTAACCTCTGCTGCTATTATTCCATTTAGGCTGCTGTAACAAAATACCATAGATTGGGTGGCTTACAAGCAACAGAGATTTATTTCTCACAACCTGGAGGCTGGGAAGTCCAAGATCAAGGTGGCAGCAGATTCAGTGTCTGGTGAGGTCCTACTTTCTGGATCATAGATGGTGCCTTCCTGCTGTATTCTCACAGAGGGAAGGGGTGAGGGGGTTTCTCTTGAGCCTCTCTTATAAGATCATGAATCCCATTCATGAGGGCTCTGGCCCCATAACCTAATCACTTCCAAAAGCCCCACATCCTAGTACCATCACTTAAAGGGGTTAGGATTTCAACATATGAATCTGGGGGGACAAACATATATACCATAGCATCTACTTAAAGCCCAAACTTCTGGCATAAGGCAAGCTCTCTGCTCACCCTGTGATGCATGCTAATCAATGTCTGAGGCCCAGTGAACCCTTACAGTCGACCGGCTTCTAGCTATCACTTCTGCTCTTACCTATTGAGTTAGACACAAACCATGAGCTCCCAAACCTGCCTAGCCTAATTCTACCTGTTATAGTAGTTGCATGATCTAACTGAGTGTGGCACGGACCAATGAAGTACAGGGGAAAAAGAGTGAGAGTTGTTTTTATACAACCTAAAAGTTGAATGCTTCAGGAAGACACATGGAAAAGCTGATGCATGAAGGAGTTTGAGCAAGCTCATTTTCATGAGATGCTATTGTGTGGTCACATGTGTATCTCCTCAAGACTGAACTCAAAGACAGAGACCATGGTGGCCCCATCTTTGTGCCTCATGTTCCAACCAACAGCCTGAGACGAGTAGGAGTTGATGAATGGATGTTGATTAAGAAATGAATGAATAAGTCAATGTTGAGATTTTCAAAGGGAAAAAAGGCTCCCTAAATGTGAGTCATGAAATCAAACTGCTGGAAAATTAGGTGTGGGTGGAACAACTGTAAAATATTAGAAAACAGCCTGCAAAAATCTCAAGATATTCTGCACTTGAATTGCATTAGCAAGTGTCCTTAAATTCTCACTCCAATTTAAATAAAAAGAAATAGGCAACTCATAGTCTACACATCATGGATGTTGTTTATGAATGAAAGAGGACATGGAAATTCAACTAGCAGACCCACAACCAAAGAAAAGATCTTGGCCTTTTAAGGAACAGGTGAATTAGTACGTGTGTGCGTGTGTTTGTGTATATATATTTTTTAAGTTGAAAAAATGTTGAAGGGGTATATGTTAGTAGAATCACAGCAGGAAAAAAATTACATGCTCAAATTAGATACTTTGAAGAGGGTTTAATAAAATAAAAGGATTGTTTATAAAACTGTAGGTAGAAATTAGGAAAACCACAGGATAGGACCTCAAGTTGGGGGAATGCAGAAGGGCTCCTGACAGCAGCTGAGCTTCGGGATGAGGGAGGCAGCCAGTGTGCCAAGGTGCTGCAGGGGGGAAACAGGGAATTAAATGCCCTGGCCTCTCCCTTCTTTCTTCCTGCAAGCTTCTACCAGTGTCTCCTATTGGACAAACCCATCAAGAAGGAAGAAGGAACAGGAGTCCGTTGATACAGTCCACAGAGTTGAAACCCCCAGTGTAGAGAGCAGACAGAGGGTGGAGGAGAGGGGATTGGGGGCAAGTGGAAGTTGTCCAGCATGGTAGGAATTTTTATGATTCTCCATTTTGATATTTTCAATTTTCTGGCAAACTTTGAGTTTTAAGTCCTGCCAGATTCAAGGGCTTCTACTTTGTTATTTTTTGTTTTTTGACACAGAGTCTTGTTCTGTCACCCAGGTTGGAGTGCAGTGGTGTGAATATGGTTTACTGAGGCCTCAATCTCCTGGGTTCAAGTGATCTTCATATCTCAGCCTTCTGAGTAGCTGGGGCTACAGGTATGTGCCACCACACCCGGCTAATTTATTTTATTTTATTGTAAAGGCAAGGTCTTTCTATGTTTCCCAGGCTGGTCTCAAACTCGTGGGCTCAAGTGATCCTCCTGCCTTGGCCTCCCAAAGTGCTGCGATTACAGGTGTGAGCCACTGCACCTGGCCTCTACTTTATTTGTTTTCATATTTATCTGTTCCACTAGACTGTGACTATCTAGAGGCAGGGACTCTATCCTGAGCATCTTTGGATCTCCAAGCCTGGCTCAGGGCTTGGCATGAGGAAGAAACTCAATAATTAGTTGAATAAATACTGAATACATTGTAAGAAAAATTATTTGTCAAAAAAAATCAGTAACCTACTACTTACTTATTCATTTAGGAAATACTTGTTGAGTCCCTACAAGATGCTGGATGCTGTTCTAAACAGAGGATACAGTGGTAACCACAAGGCTACAGTCTATTGGGGAAGGCAGCCAACAAATGCTTTCACTCATTCGACATTTATTGAACAACAACAATGTGCCAGACACTGTCCTAGATTCTGGGGGTTCAATAATGAACAAGATAAAGCCACTGCCCTCACTGAACTTACATTTGAGTGAGCATGTTTTGCCCTTAAGTAGCCATCTTTAAAGCTGAAGGTAAGCACAGGGGCACCAGTTTTTTTAGAAAGCAAAGCAGGTCTGTGGCTCCTGATAGATGAGAGGCAAGCAGGATGCCACTTTAGGTCATGGAAAGACAATCCCCTGAGCTGATTGGAAGCCAGAACTTGGAGTGAATGTCCTTATGGGTCAAGGGTGTCTTTGCTAACCACATCTGAAGCCCTTGGCATCGGGGGATTGGGATGGGTCCCAAGTAAGAAAATCTGAGCTTTTCACACTTCTCCAATGACAAAGTCTTACACACAGTAGGTCACTTAATTTCTGTGGGATTAAGTGACTCTTACCAGTCATTTATCAAGATGTGGGCTCCTAGAAATGGAGCTTGAGAGATGAAGGGCTAGATGGAGCCCAGTGGAGCTCTGGCAGAAGAAGGGGGATAACATTGCCTTGTTTAGATGCTCTGGATTTTTTTAGAGCATGTGTCATTGGCTCTGCATGCTGGAACCAGCCTTTTCTGGGAAGCTAAAGGGTAGACTGAACCCAGCATTGTATCATATTAATATTCCCCATTCTCCTAAGCTTTGGGAGTCTGTATTCCTCTTATGTGTAAGTACCAAATTGCAGGGGAAATGGTATTTCTCTGCATAGAAGGAAGTACCTTCCATGGGATTTTCCAGGGATGGAAGGCTGGATTCCAGGTCTGCATTTCTCCCACGTTGGTGTGAGGCCTTCAGGACTCAAATGAATGAAGTAATCTCTTAGTGTCCCTTTCAACCTCGCCATTCTCTCTTTTGAGACATTTCTCTCATTCCCAGGACTTTGGCCATTGCAGTTGGGCTGCTCCTTCTCTCTCGTGCATCTTTGGCCACCAAAGAAGCTGCTGTGAATCAGTAGGATTGGTTTTAAGCACTGGCGTTTGGAGACAGCTGCTTACTCAGTGTGATTTTGCAGGCTCAGGGAAGGGACTTTCCTCCCTACGCAAGTCCCAAAATACCTCCTTTATCAGTCTTTTGGTGTTTGGGACTGCTTTACTGTGGACAAAGCCTTTCATTCCACAATGAAGGATCAAAAATAGAAATGAATGCACATGTGTTTGGCATTGCCCATAACAAGCTGTTCTTGGCCTTCATGCTGTTGCTCGTGCTGTGCCCTCTGCCAGGAATATCCTCCCCATGCCCTCGTTTCCCTTATACTGATCCTTTAAGAGTCAGTTTAAGCATTTCTTACCCTAGAGGATGCCGTAATTGGTTTCTCTTGATTGCAAGAAACAGAGTTACTCAGAGTAGATCAAATAAAGGCTGGTTGAGTGGGGTTGTGACACTCGGAACATGAACCCCAGGATGAAGATGAGGAGGGGACCTAACTCTCTGCTTCGACAGTCTGTCTCCCCTAAATAGACTTTCATATCTTGAAAGTAGGGGCTATGTCTTACTCGTTTTTGAAAGCTCAGACCTAGCACAAAGCCCACCTCTTAATAGATGTTTGTTGAATAAATGAATGAATGAATGAATAATTGAATCCTAAGTATGGATAGAAGATGTGGGTTCTGTCTTTTAGAAATTTATAGTCTAGTTGGGAACTAGAAAATAGGTAAAAACCTAAGTAAACAATGGTTAAAAACTGGTACAAAGCTTGCAAGACAAACACATTAAAGGCATCTTGGGGGGATGAGATTTAGTTAGCAGATAGCCCTGAGAAAGACTTCAGTTCATACTCACATGCAATTGACTAAGATGTTTCTGAGTGCAGAACACAGACTTTTAGTTGAGAAATTGAAGTGAACATTGAACTAATGTATAATTTCCTAAAGGGTCCCACAAAGGATGACTAGGGACAGTAAAAGGGAGCCAGGGAAGCCTCAGAGTAGGACTCAGAGGTCCTTATTACTTGGCCAATGGTTGGCCTGCCCCATCAGGTGCCTTAGAGCCCACGCCAATGCCCCTGGACTCATGAGTGACCCCCGTGGCCTTATCTGAGTGGCTGATCTGACAGAGCAAGGTGTGTGCTTTGCGCCTGCTGAGTTACTGCCAGCTGCCTGTGGTGGATAAACAGGCAGGCCTCTGGGCGGCCCTCAGGACTCTATAGTGAACAAAGAAAGTCGTTCAGATGTTTTCAGATTGTATTGAGTTAAATCAAAGGCCAAGAGAGCAGAGGTCTTTGCAGTTCTTTGTTGTAGAGGGTGGCCCCTGGGCGAGTCCCTTATCATACTCTCTTCTATTTAGATGTGTTTCTTTGAACCTTCCCGCAGAAAGTGATGCCCTTTGACAGGCTCCCTCAGCTTGCCAAGGATAAGCAGTGTGCAGTTGTGAGGGATTCCCAGGGTCTCTTCTCCCATAACATTTATTGTCAGTCCTGCCTACCTGAAACTTCATCTTTTCTTGTACTCAAAATAGAGAAAGTGGGTGCCTAAGTGAACCCACTGAGCCCAGCCCCCTCAATGAGGAAACTGAGGCTCAAGAAAATGAAACTTTCTTCATATTCATGTAGTGCTTTGAGTTCATCCTGTTTTGCCACATATGCTCACGTGGTTTTCCATTTCCTTCATTAAACAGCCCTTTATGAAGGGCCTACTGTGTGCCAGGCACCGTTTAGGCATTGGATGGGTGTATGGGTTTGGCTGCAAGTTACAATACTCAGCCAGTAGTGGCCTAAACTCTTACCAGAAAGGGGTCCCAATCCAGACCCCCAAGAGAGGGTTCTTGGATCTCGTGCAAGAAAGAATTCGAGGCAAATCCACAGAGTAAAGTGAAAGCAAGTTTAATAAGAAAGTAAAGGAATAAAGAATGGCTACTCCATAGGCAGAACAGCCCTGAGGACTGTTGGTTGCCCATTTTTATGGTTATTTCTTGATTATATGCTACCAAGGGGTGGATTATTGATGCGTCCCCTTTTTACACCATATAGGGTAACTTCCTGATGTTGCCTTGGCATTTGTAAACTGTCATGGCACTGGTAGGAGTATAGCATTGAGGATGACCAGAGGTCACTCTCATCGCCATCTTGGTTTTGGTGGGTTTTAGCCAGCTTCTTTACTGCAGCCTGTTTTATCAGCAAGGTCTTTATTACCTGTATTTGTGCTGACCTCCTATCTCATCCTGTGACTTAGAGTGCCTAACTGTCTGGGAATGCTGCCCGGTAGGCCTCAGCCTTATTTTACCCAGCCTCTATTCAAGATGGAGTTGCTCCAGTTTAAACACCTCTGACAAAACAATGCAGGCATTCATTATCTCATCTAAAATAAGAAAGAAGTCCAGGGCTGTGGTCCTTAGAGGCTGTAGGGTCCACAGCTCAGCAGTGCCATCAAGAACCATTCTTGGTGGGTCAGTGATATCTCCCCTCAGATGGCAAGATGGCCATCATAGCCCCCAACAACATCCTAATGCTCAAAGACAGAAGCAAGACAGAACAGGGACCTTCACTTTGCTCTTTTTTTTTTTTTTCCATAGGGGAAGAACACCTTTCCTAGAAGTGCCCAGGTGCCTTCTTATTATAACCCAGTGACCATATCTGGATCACATGCCTGTTTCTAGACCAGTCACAGGCAAACCAGAATGGGATGCCATAAATGGCTGCCTTGGGCCAATTGTGATGTGCTGTTCATGGGAAAAGCAGTGAGTCTATCATGTCCACTAAGAGCACAGGCTCTGGAGCCCGATGGCCACAGTTCAAATCATGGCTCCATCACTTCTGATTTATATAACCCTGGGCAAGGAGCTTAACCTTTTGTTCCTCAGTTTTCCCATCTGTAAAATGGTGATAATGATACTTCACAGGTTGATGTAAGGATTAAATGTTTAATGTACATAAGGTGCTTAGCACAGTACTTGGCTCACAGTAAAGGTTAACTACTAATTATCTATTGTATATTTCAAAGGAGCTAGAAGACAGCAATTCAAATGTTTCTAGCATGAAGAAAAGACAAATATTTAAGGCAATATATATCCTGAGTATGATGATTTGATCTTTACAAGTTATTCAAATGTGTTAAATGATCACATGTATCCCCAATGTATGTACAACTATTATGTATCAATAAAAAATAAAATTTCAAAAAGTTAAAAAAAATAACGATCATCCTCAAGACTGAGCAATTTCTTGCCTGAATAAAATCAGGAAAAGGTCCTAGGTTTTGGATGGACAACTCCAGTGCCTGCCATGTGCGGTTGCCCTCCGGTTCACAGACAAGTAAACAAGCAATGTTGAAATCTTGTGCCATGGTACTAGATACTGTGCGCCGCCCCCCTCAACAGGAGGGGTGCCTGGTCCAGACTTGGGGGATGTCAGAGAAGGCTTCTCAGAGGAGGTGGCACTGATGTAGGTTTTCAAAATATATAGCAGTGGCTCGGCAAAGGCAGAGTGTGGGTGGGTGGGAAAGGAAGGTTCTCCAGGCAGAGGCAGCAGTGGGCCTAGAGACACTGGAGCGTGGTGCTCTGTGGTCTATGTAGGACAAGTACACACAATTGATTGTGCCCAGAGAGTGAAGTGAGAACCTGGGGTGGCTCTAGACGTATGTGCTGCCAGGCTGGGGCGGGCTTGGATATCGAGCTAAGGGGTTTGTGTCTTTTCCCACAGGCTATGAATTTTGAGCTGAAGGTAGCCCTAGATTTTTATTTTTGGTCAGTGACTCAGGCTGCAATGAGAAGGGTGGATGGGGGGCGGTGGGACCCATGTAGGAGGCTACAGCAATATTCAAGGGGACTAGGGCAACAGCCTGAACTAGGGCAGGTACTGGAGGGCTGGATAGAGAGAGAGAGAGACCAAGCAAGAAAGTAAGAAAGTGGGATGGGAAAGGGGGGAAATAAATACAGGCAGGAGGATGGAGAGAAATGGAGGATGGTGCATTCAAATTTGGCCAAGTTGGATCTAGGGGCAGCTGGAGATGTCAGCAGGCCCTCACATGCACAGAGTCTGAAGCCAGGAGAGAGACCTGGGCTGAAGACAGCAGGTGCAGAGGTTATCATCATGGAGGAAGTAGATAATAGACAAATACTTGCGATAGATGAAATTGTCCCGGGAAAATAGAAATAAGAGCAACAACCCTGCAGCTCTGAGCATGGTTTGGATTTTGCCAAAATGTTCTGTTTTGTTTGGACGCTTTATCAGGCTGGGTATGGTTCAAGGCCTGTAGCCAGGCAAAGGTTTTGTTTGGTTGCTGTACAAGCAGCTATTGTTTAATGCTCAGCCTGCTGGGTGAATTTCTGCACACTGCTTGTGGTTATTCAAATCTCTAAGCCCTGATGTGGGGGGAGAAGAGAGGTAGGTTGAAGGTGGATCCCTATAGAACACCAGCATTAACAGGGCAGCTTGAGGAGGAGATCAAAGGGAACATTAGGGAGGTGGGAAGGAACACACGAGAATGTCCCAGGACCCAAGGGAGGTCATGGAGTGCACTTCATGTGTTAGTCTCTTCAAATGGACTGAGGATCCTAGCAGACGTATTACATATTTCTCTTCTTCCCAGCAGAGTCCCACTGTCAGCTATTTGGTATATTAAATTATATTGAGAATCTATATTAACTTATAGTAAGAATCAAGATCCACAGTAGAGAGGATGGGGAAGCAGTTTATCTTCCTGACCATCCCCTGTGGGTGGGGTTGATGCCACAGGTTCTGGGCCACACAGAGCTGAGATTGAGAACTGGCTGTCTGTGTGATGTTGGGCAGCTTACTCAGTGACTCTGGGCCTCAGCTACCCAATCCATCAAACAGAGATACTAACACCTACCCTAAGGATGTTCAGACAATTACATGAGATACTGCATGCGAACATTCAGCATATATGAATCCTGTCCAGTAGCAAGTGCTTGCTAACTGGTAATCACTATCGCCCTGAGGTCCTTTTCTAGCACCCAGCTCAAGATTGGAGCTCTAGCATCATGTTTTGAAGGAAGAAGGGAAAATAATTTTGCTAGTGAAAAAAAACCTGGAGGAGCATGGGCTTGCCAAGAGTTAAGGGAGCAAGCATAGACCAGGGTGTGAAAGATAAGCAGAGAGCTATCTTGGGAAGAGCTCCGTTAGGACTCTCAACAAAGGCAACATCACAGAAACAAAAGCAAAAGGATTCTCAATGAAGAACAGACTGGCCACAGGAAGCTGGTTATAGAGAGATCCAAAATGGAGGCGGAAACTAGTATGAAGAACTCCAAGTCTGGGTCCTACAACTATTCTGTATCTTTGCTGTTTCTTAGCAATTCAAATGTTTCTAGCATGAAGAAATGACAAATATTTTGTCATTTTGTCTTTGTGGAGTCTGCTCTGCCTCCTTGACCATTCTGTCATGTTTATGTAATTAGCATGGTAGAAAGAACATGCATATTGGAGTCAGAGAACTCTGGGTTTGAGTCCCTGCTTTATCACTTACCCACCTGTGTGATCCTGTCAAAGTTATTTAACTCCCTGTGCCTCAGTTTCCTCATCTGTAAAATGGGCTAACTCACTTCAGCCAGTTACTATGTGGTGTAAATGAGATTAGTGTGCATAAACTGGCTGGCACAATGCTGACGCATAGTAGGCACTCAGTAATTATTTTTGCCTCGTTTTTCCTTGTGCCGTAAGTAAGGAAGTTTCTATTGCCCTTGAGAAGAAGGTCTTAAAAGCATATTTTGTCCTGTCCGGAAAACCCGTTCTGAGGATGGAAAATTTTGCTGATGAGTGAACTTGGAAGGATCATGTTTCCAGGGTCAGGGCAGAAAGGAAGAGGCCCAAGCCCTGGGGAAGGAATGGCATCAGGGCACAGCTTTGTGGTGGTGACCCACAACCGCGGGCCCAGCAGGCCCTGTGGAACTCCCACATTGACTTCCCTATCTATGAAACAGTGCCAGTAACTCAGTCTCAATGCTTCCTTCCCCTTCCCTGTCCCCTGAGGATCCCGGGACTGTGAACTCCAGTTGTGGCGGCTCCGTAGCACCTCCTCTGCTGCCTCCCAGAGGTCACTTCCAGGATGGCCGTCCCAGAGGAGCCCTCCTTCCAAGATACAAATGGCCTTGGCCCCGCTTCACCTGACCCAAAGGCCGATTAAGAGGTCTGTGGGGGTCCGGAGGGATATCTCTCAAAGGGCCCCTCCCACCGCCCAATATATCGTAACTCACAATTGTACAGCACTTGGAAGTTGTCAAAAACGCTTTTGCATTCCCCATAATGTAGGCAGGGAAGCTATTTTACAGAAAAGGGAAATGGAGCCTCAGAGAAGAGACCTGCTTCTGACAGCATGGCTAATAAATGTTGGAACCAGGACTTGAACCCAGGAACTCCCAGCCCAGGGACATTCTGTTTTATAAATACGGAGGGCACAACGTTCCATCCCTTTGACTTGTAATTAGTGGGTGTTGTATGTATGGTTATGAGCTTTACCCATATTTTTTGGTGCTAGGAGGGAATCTGTCTTCCTTCCCCACTACTCTTCCTCTCCCACACCACTGTTTCCTTGAGTCTTTAAAAGGTGTCCTGAAGTACAGAACTCCACCCCCCATCTCCTGGAGGGCCTCACTGACCCACCTGTGGTTGCCTCTAACACCCAGGCTTGAGGAGTGAAGCCATTTCCCAACCTGCTAATGGCACTGCTGGGAGCTCAAGAAAGCTATGCTTTCAGGTGACGCATTGTCATGCCGGTCTACACGAACATCTCTGTCCCCTGTAACAGCATCTGCCATAGCAGCAGCCCAGCTCAAATGGCAGGCAAAAAAACTTGTCTGGTGCATTCCATTAGAGAGCAGGAAGTTACCAGCATTGATTGAAATTCTCAGGTAGAGTGAGTACCAGGTGGCATTTGAAGAGGATAATTTAATTCAATAGTTTATATTCCACTTAAGTTCCTCCTCTATCTGACTGCTAGTAAACAGCTGTAAACCGCCTCAGCTGTCTTAGAGGTGAAGAGGAAACACAGTCTAGAAAGTAAAATGGTGATAGCAGGACAGAATCTCAAGAGACCAAAAACCCCTGGGAAAATAGGCATAGGTGGCCTGGTGTGTGAAGGGTGGGTGTAGGTGCAGGAGGCCCCATTCCCTCCTGGGCCCCCACTGTGCAATCATGAGCTCACAATCAATGATCACTGACGGTTCCTCCTGCTCTGAACTCCACACTGTTACTGGGGAGCTCAGTGGAGTGGGGAAGGAAGCTGAGAATGTGGATTCAGAAAACCAGAGCTCAAACCTGGTCTTGGCTCTTACTTCTTGCAGGACCTTTGGGGCAATCCACACTGTCTGTCTCCCTCCAGGGTGCAATGAGAGGCAAAAGAAAGAACGTATATGACAGCGTCTTATGCCCGAGAGGGCCAGTTGGATGTTAGTAGTTACTGTTGCATCGTTATTGGAACAGAGAAGCCCCCAAAGGCCTGCTTCCCATCGTTCTCCTTGCCCAAGGGCTGGGAATCCTGCAGGAGGGCCAGATCTGTGCTCAATCCAGGCAGGCAGTCACCCTATGATTTGAAAACTGTCCAAACTATGCCCGGCCCAGCAAAGCTTGCCTCCGCATAATGGACCTGTTGAAGCATGGTAGTCTGTTGCCTTAAAAGGGTAATGGTGACATTTTCTCAGCCCCTGACACCTAAGCCTCCTTCCCTTCCCTGATTGGTTGGTTGGCTCTCACCTTAGGAAGCAGAGAGGAGACCCCTGAAACGGGTGGGACTAGGATGGGTGAAATGTAATCATCTTGACCATCCTCAATTCACTTTCTCCTGTGTTCCTGGCACTGTTCTGGGGTGGGGTCACAAAGCAGCACTCATGTCATCTCTCCATTTATTCCTCCATTGGTTCGGCAGGCACTGTGAGAGCATTGCCTATGGCAGGCGCTGAGGACACAGAGATGAAGGGCGTGGCGGGAGCTCAGGAGCCTGGCATCTGGCTGGTGGGCCCGGCACACACACAAAGGATCTAAGTCCTCCAGTTGGGCTTCCTAGTTCCTCTATAACCAGAAGCGAGGCTGCCTGTGGGCACCTCAGGAATTCTGCCACCATCCAGTTCCTGCTCACTGCTTAAAAAGTCTAAATAATTGGAAAAAAGTGATATGATCTGTTTAATACAACCATCTAGTTAAATGCCACAGAGTTCACCTACTCTTCATTGTCACAGGTAAACTGCGATGTCTTCTTCTGTAACGGTAGCCCTGTGCTGACACAGTCTCGGGTTGCTTTCTGTAAGCGTCATTTGAGTTAAATATGTGAAGAAGTGGGAAGGAGGGGCAGACAGCCTCACTGCAGGGCTGGACCCCCATCCTGAGGATGGCCTGGCAGCCTTGATGATGGTGGCTAGTTGCATGTGTGTGAGCCTCAGCCACATGAGGAAGACGTTTGGAATGAGGGCACGTGAAATGATGGGTCCAGCGTCGCTTTAGGGGTGGGGAGCCATTGCTAAGGGAGGTGGTGAGAGCTGAGTTCAGAGTATCTGAAATATAAACTCTAAGAAAGATCGCTCCTCACCAACCCAGTCTAAGTCAAAACCATCGCACACCGGGACTATTGCACCGGCTTGTGGTCCGTCTCCCTGTTCTTACCCTTGTACCTCACCTTCTGCCGGCTGTGTGTGACCTGACTTGCTTCCCTCCCATTCTTTCCTAGCTCATTCTGCCCCATCCCTGGGCTTCCCTTCACAGATTAAGTGCATCGCAGCCTGCCCTATGCCCTTTGCACCTGCACTTCTGTTGGTCTAGTCTCCCCCTCCCGAACATTAGGGCCCTGCTCAAATGTCACTTCCTCAGACTTCCCCACTTAAAATCAGACCCCAACACCATTATATCCCAGGGCCTAGAAAAATGGCAGGCAAGTAGTAGGGATTGAAGGAATATTTGTGAAGGAATGAACTGCCCTAATTAAAGGGGGTTGGGGAAAGAGACCTCAGGACCCAGGAGCACAAGTTTGGAGAGGAACAGAGGACTTGTGCACCAAGATGTTGCCTGGCTACTCTCTGGGTGCTGAGGGGGAGTGGAGGTCATGGAGAGAGGTGGGGAATGAGAGGTATGGGGTGCCTGGGTCAGCGTGGCTGGCACCCCTGCTCTCCCCAGGGCCCTCCTGGCTGAGGTCATACCCGCTTTCCCAGCTTCCCTTCACGCTTCTTTCATTTCCACCCTACCAGCCGCTCCACAGGACTAATGAATAATGACAGGCCTGTAATTAGACTGACATTGGAGCCTGCGTTGTCCCAGATAGTTGCTCTCCGAGGCGAAGGTCTGGTCTCAGCTCCCAGCTGGCACCTCGGCTTTTCCCTCCACATCCTTGCTCACAGCCTTGACTTCCTGCAAAGTGACTTGCCTCCCAGATCCTGAACAGTCAGATAGGAACCAGATGGGATGTTGGGACATCCTGTGTGGCACAGAATTGGAGAGACATGGAGCTCCTCTCAGCTGGTGCCAGCATGTCAGGCAGAGACAGAATGAGTGAAGAGCCCAGGGCTGGGATCGTGGCACTGTTGCTTCAGCTCCCAGGTCTCAATTTGGTTTTCCATAACCCCTCAAAATGTTGGCCAAGATCAGCCGTTTTGTACTACGCATTTGGAATACTCTGGGAATGCAAGTTATTGAGTTCTGCATGAAACCAGAAGCAGCAAGAAGATTGTGATCATCACCTGGTTGGCAGGTTTTCACCAAGGTCTGTGGACACCTGTGGGGCTTCTGAGGGGAGCAAAGGGCACAGTGCCTAGCACATAGTAGGTGCTCACTCATTATTGACTGACAGACTTGAGAAAGGTCTTAGCATGAAGCACATCTCAGTGGGAGGAAGTGGCCAGGACGTGGGGAGCTGGGACACTTGTGCAGACAGGCCAGGGGGTGGCTCCACCCTGCCCCTTGAAGCCTGCTCTTGTTCCTCCTGGGAATACCTGACAGCAGCAATTAGCAGGAGGTCCTTTAGTGTCCCCCTCTCCACTGCATGCTTCCCCCACTAAGGCAGGGATGGTGCTTCATCTGAGTGACACCTCATTCAAATGGGAATGAGTCCTCAGTCTCATCCAGAGTGGAAGAAGCACTCGTTGTCTCCTGATTCTGCTTTAAGACCATTGCCATCGCTCTGACGAGCCACGATTGTCCTAGCCTCAATGGGGGACATCATGGAGAAGAAGGTGGGCGCAATGAGTCACGCAACAGCAGAGGCTGAGGAGGGGAGCAAGGGCCACCAGAAACCAAGAAGGAACCCCAGAGTGAACCCCACTGAAAGAAAACCAAGAGTCACAGCACAGCATAAGAGAAACTCGTGTCTCGCTGAAGTAATGGGAACTTCAAATGTAGCTCTTCTAGGAGTGGGGATCTGAGCCCCTCCATCAAGCTGGCTCAAACATTCAGCATGTGCATTGATCTCACGTAAGGAGCAGTCCAGAGCAGGGAGGGGCTTCAGGGCCTCACAGCTGAGAGCAGCAAAGGCAGGATTGGAAGCTGGCTAACAGGTCTGGGACCCTGACATGTAGCGGGGAGGCCTGGGCACCTTCCTCAGCTCACCCTGCTCAGCACAAGCCCCTCTGGGCCTCAGTGAGGCAAGGGTGGCATCACAGCCTCTGTGGAGATGGGATGGGGCTGATGGCCTGTGTCCTTAGCTGTAAGGCTGACCATAACAGGGATGTCTGTGGGGGAAGAGGGGAGGCAGCCTTCACAGAGGTCTGGGGTGGATGCAGGGACCAAGTCTTGAAGGGATATCTGGAACAGGAGCAAAGTGAGCTATCGGGAAAATGGGGTTGTGGGGGTAAAGGACCCAGGCCTCAGGGCAGGGCAGATGCCTTATGAACTCAAAGACCACAAAAGAAGGAAAGAAATTTCACAGACAGGGGCAAGTATTTAATATCTACCATCTCTTTAATCCTTAACATAGCCTTGTGAATTGACGGGAGAAAACAGACAGAGAACCGTTAGGTAATTTGTCCAAGATCATTCAACTGGGAAGTAGCAGAGCTGGGATTTGAACCCGTGCCCAGAGCCATTGTTTTTCTACTTGCCAGATTGGCGAGGGTCATGGGGGAAGCTGCTGCTCAGTGGACATGGGTGTATGTGAGACTCACCCCATATGCATTAGATGTCACGGCTGCAGAATTGCTTCCAGACTCCACTGGCTGGCCAGTTGGGAGCCCAGAACTTTGCAGGCTATCTTGACCCAAACTGGTTGAGGGTCTGGATGGGCCAAGGGCAGATGGAAGGTTCTCATCCCTCTGAGCAGGGCTGGCAGAGGTGGCAGGAGCCATCAAGGGTATTAGTCTTTGTTTCAGTAAAGTGGTTTATGCATTTTGTGAGCTTCTCAGCAAAACAATAAAGCAGTTTATGCATTTGTGAGATGCGGATCAGAGGTGGAATTTCCTTTCTTCTCACCACCATGATCCACTTTTTATTTCATTTTTATCCTGAGTGTGTCCTTTCTGTTTCTCAGGCGGCTTCCACAAGCAACACCTAGCCTTTTGGGAGTCCTGGTGTGCTGTCATTGTTTACTTGATTTCTCAACACCTTTCTCCTGCCTGAAGTGCTGCCTAACAAGGATTTTAAAAAATTATATTACTGTGATTTCCCTTGCTCTTTTATTTTCTCTCTTTTAACGTGAAAGGAAATATGTCTTTATGCAATCCCCCCACCTCTCATCTTGGTGGGGTGCTTCTCATCAAGTAACAATCCTCTCACACCCCTGAAGGTGTAACCAGAACAGCTGCAGGTGGGGCCAGGAAGGGCAAGAGTGGATCCCAAGATCCTCCAGGTTGACACGTCACTCCTGAAAACATTCTGCTTTAAACAGAAGCCACTTCGCTGCTCTGACGTGAATTTCTATAACCAAGACATACTCTTCGACCTAGAGAGATCAAGGCATGAAAAAATGGAACTTCTCAAGGGTAAGCTGTGTTTTCAGTAGTAAGCCATTTACTGTTTTACATGTACATTTTAAGGTGTTGCAGGGAAATAAAGCTTCTCTAGCAGCCAGGATGTAAAAGAGCAAAAACTTTGCAAGTAGCTGTAACAGGATTCTCGAGTGTGCTGCCCAGAGCAGAGGAGACTTACAGAGTGGTGAGTTTGGGGGTGAAGGGAAGGGGAAGGCTGATAATTTGTAACAAAGACACTTAAAGAATTTAGGACTTTAACAATTTTACTGTAGTAAAGAATGTATTAGTTAGGGTAGAGGCTAAGCTGCTGTAACAAAGAAACATTCAAAATTCAGTGGGTTAACTTTTCTCTTATGTGGCCATCCAGAGAGAGGCAGCTGGTTCATGGTGGGCCGGTGGCCCAGCTCATAAGGTCATCAAGGGTCACAGACTGCTTCTCTAGATCATTGCCCTTGTCTTCATAGTCCCTGCAGGTTCCTGGCACTGTGTCTGGGTGATATAGAGGTGTCAACACTGAAACATTAGAGGGGTAAGACCCATAAGTTCAGGACATAATTTATCCTTAAATCCCCTGGGAAAGAACTTGGCCCCATAGCCAGCTGCCGGGGGGCCTGGGAAACTCATGCTAGATGAGAGGCCAGAGCTGAAATCTGGGTTCTGTTGGCAAAAAGAAGGGAGCATGCGTACTAGGGGCTGATCTGTAGATTCTACTACAGAAGAAAAAGTCTTCTAATCAATCCCTTACTTTATCTTTAAAAACAACAACAGAAAAACACCCTCTCTCCTTTCCCCTAAAATACGACTTTAAATGAACCACGGCAGTGAATTAAGATGGCCTCAGAAAAAAGAGGTAACTCTTGCCCCTTCAAGCTGATCTCTAAACCCTTGCAGCTGCCTTGCTTGGCGGCACCCCACAGGACTGAGATCTTATTTTTCCCTCCAAGGAAGCAAGAGGAACAATAAATAGCAGTACACAAAACAGCACACATTTTATTCTGCAAAGGCATAGCAATTCTACCTCGAGGCCTCACTGACAAGGCTTTCCAATCTTTCCTGAGACTTAATCCAGAAAATAAATTCAATTTCAGCACTCAGTGGCTGCCTCATGGTGGGCTGTCCGTAAATGGTTGTTTAATAAATGCTCTGGAAACTGGCCATCTGGATAATGTCTGGGGTATCATGGAGGAGGGGGCTGGCTCCCATGAGCACAAATGAGTTTTCTTGTCTTATTTGTGCAGAGAGAATGGAAGGTGTGGCTTTGCTTGCCACATCCAGGCCTTACCAAGCAGCCCTGTCCCCTGGGCCACCCCAATCCGTAGTTGGAATGACAGCTATGTTCACGTGGGGTCGGGGGCACTATCTGTGCAAAGTCTTCTTTTATTTGTTTCTCCATCACTTTAGTAGTTAAAAGTTAGAGGAATTAGTATCACAAACATAGATGTGTACAGTTAATGTTTTGAAAAGAATAACTGGAGACGCCTGCTGGGCTGCAATTCTCAGAAGATTGTTGGTTCAGAGCAAGGAGCTACAGAGACACCAACATTCAGAATTAGGCAGAGAAGCCCAGCTGGTGAGACGCCAGAGAGACAGCCAAGAGCTAGGAGAACATCAGTATCCAAGCGGAGGGCCAGGCAGGCGCTTGTAACCCAGGAAGAGAGGAACCAATGCTGTCTGCAGGAGCCACAGGGGCAGAGCAGGGCCTGCTCAACTGTCCAGACAGGCAGGTCTGTAAGAACGAGGAGAATAACAAAACCAACATTTATATAGCATACAGCGAAGTGCTATTTGTGCATATTGCATTTAAGAGGCTAGTACAAGTCTCATTCATTCCTTTTTTTTGCAGATGAGGAAACAGACTTTGAGAGGTAAAATAACACGACGGAATCTATGCACTACCTGATGGCTGAGCTGGGACTTATCCCCAGGTCCAGTGGCCTCTAGAGCACAGGTGTGTTACTACCACCCCATTCTGCCCAAGTGAAGCAAGCAGCAGAGAAATAATATGCAGGCAAGTATGGCTGGGCTGACTGTGATGAAAAAGGGCTTTGGTGATGGAGGCATCCTTCAGCTTCCTGAGCAAGTGTTGGTTCACAGGCAGGTACAAGAATCACCTGGCAGGAATGGTCAGTGAGGGGACCAACAGAAAGCAGCTGCCACCACCAGTCAGCCTGACTCAGGAGACCCCAGACACTAGTGGACCCCAAAACTTAAGTGCAAAAGTTGTAAGAGAGGAGCTGGCAGAGAATGGATTGGGAGACTGGGACCAGGTGCAGGCTCCCCCTACCATCAGCTGAGATACCAGTGTTGCTCCGAGACGCTGACTCAGGCCCTCCTCTCCTCTTCTCCCTCTCCTCAAGGCTATGTTTTACATTCCCTGGTTTAGATCTCTCCTCTGAGCTGCAATTCTATACATCCAAAAGCATGTGAAACATCTCTCCCTGGCTTTCCCACAAATCCGAGGTGTCCAGATGAATCTGTCACCTCTTACCCCACCAGGTCGTTCACCTGTGTTCCCTGCCTTGGCTGAGAGATGATATCACCATCCCTTTAGACATCCAACAAAAAGCACAGGAGACTCTCCAAACACTACATCCTGTACAGTCTACTTCCTAAACATCTCCAGTGTCCCCTTCTATCCACACCCCCTTGGTATAACTTGTTTTCCCTCCACTGGTCTCCCTATCCAGGTCCAAACTACAGAGAAGCCCAGGTGAGCTAATGAAATGTGTATCTTTCTATGTCTTTTTTGTTTGAAATCCCTTGGTTACTCCCCTCACCTACCAGAATCCCCTGAGCTCCTGCACCCAACCCACTCAGCGCTGGGGGTCAGGTCCTTGCTCTTCCCCAGTGGTTTCCACAGCTACAGCCGGCACATTCTCTCTGCATCTACACGGGCCTCCTCCATACTTCTGCCTCGCATCTTGGCCTGGTTAATGCCGATTCCTTTTCTGAGCTGAACCTTCTTGCCAGAATGGAGACTCTTCCTAGCTCATCCTGTGTGCTCATCAGTCTACGATTCCATCCACCACTTGTCGCCAGGATTCCCTACCTCCCTTCTCTCTCTCTCTCTTCCTCTCTCTATCTTTCTTCTTTCTCTGTTATAAAAATTCCAAACATATGCAAAACAGAGAGAATAGTAATAAACTCCTCATAGTATAATGAACTCCCCATAATTGGCTTCAACAATCAGTAACTCATAGACAATCTTACAATCTTGCTTGATCTAGACACCCCCCTGCTGACTCTACACACACACACACACACACACACACACACACACACACACACACACGGCGAGTTTAAAGCCAATTCTAAACATCATATTATTTCATCCATAAACATTTTAGTTTCTATATCTAATAGATAAGGAACTTAAAAAAACCACAATACTATCTCAACATACCTTATAATTAGTTAAAATAATCAAATATCCACAAATGTTCCAGTTTTTTTGATTGCCTTATAATAGTTCTTTCTAACAGCATTTGTTTAAATCAGGATCCACATAAGGTCTTACATGATGATTGATTGATATGTCCCTTAAGTCCCCTTTAATCTATAGATCTTCCCTCCCTCTTACTTTTGCCCGTTGTAGTGTATTTACTGAGGAAGTCCGGTGTTTGCCCTGTAGTTTCCCGCTGTCTGAATTTTGCTGATGGTGTCTTTATAGAGTCCTTTAACATGACCTCAGCTCCTCATGCTTCTATAAATGATTCCACTGGGTAGTCTCACTGTCCACTTCTCAAAGATGGAAGTCACCTTTTATCTCTGCATCTCTAGAACCTAGAGCAATGCCTTCCATACAGTAGGCACATGAGAAAAACACTTTGGAAGGAAGGAAAGAAAGAAGGAAGAAAAACAAAGAGAATAGAAGGGCAGGACCAGGGTGTAACAATGGGCCAGTGTTTCTCAATGTGATCCACATACCAGAATTATCTCTAATTGATCTGTTACAAACGATGGTTCCTGGGCCAGTGTTTCTCAATGTGATCCACATACCAGAATTATCTCTAATTGATCTGTTACAAACGATGGTTCCTGGGCCTTATCCAAACTCCATGACAATCAGAACCTCTGAGTTCTGAGCCCATGAATCTGCATTTCTGACAAGCTCCCCAGACATACTTCTCATTTTGTGGCTCTGAGTCTCCTTGTCTGCACAGAGAGGACCCCTTCACTAAGGTTCCTGCCAACTCTAACATTCTGAGCCCAAGCCAGGATTCTAGGATTCCGAAGAACGGGCTACTTCACTTCAAATGTCATACATTTGAAGAAAGCAAAACCTAGCACCTGACTCTGCGCCTGAAGTCAACTGTTCTTGCCTTTAGTAGGTTTCCTCCATTCAGGTTGTGGGTTTCTCCAGGGCGCAGCCTTCAGTTTCCTAGTCTCTTTGGGTTGGTGATGTGACCCACCTGTCGTAGAGCCGCTGGTGAATCCCACTGTCTGTCAGGCTCCTGGTCAACCCCCTTCTCTGGGCCATCCCCTCTCCAGCTCCCCAAACACCCAGGCGTATTCCGCACCTCTGCACATTTCAAAATCTGCCTTCCCCTCTCTCAAGTCACCCTCCTTCCTTTCCCTACCTTAGGGCTATGGGCTTTGGTTTCTCCTCTAATCATTATTTGTTTGTTTATCTTTTCCCTGGTTTTTAACCCCAGGGACAGTTCTCCTCACCAGGCCAGTTTGAATTAATTTTGTAGGGACAATTCCACAAGACAGTGTATCAACTGCTGTATTAAAATCAAGATGTATTGCATCCTTTCCATCCTTCCCATCTCTTAATTTCTTAGTTCCCTCAAAGGCACAATCAAGTGTTGTCTGGCATAATTTGTTCTTTATAAACCCAGACTGCTCATTGCACGGACTTATAATTTGAGAAAGATTTTTGGCAGTGTTTTATTTCTGTAATACTTTTCTTTATTGTATTTGGTGATTGAATCTCAGTGATTAAGGTGACAGTGAGGTGGACCTCAGGCCCAAGCTCCCTCACTGAGGCCTTCTCCCAGACTTTGTCCATCTCATTCAGTCCTCTGCCCTCTGGCCACGATCTAGTCATGCCATCGCCTGAAGGCTAGGGCCATTAAAAGCGAGGGACACAAGCTACAGGGGTCTTTGTCCAGCGTGCAGTGGACAAGCTCAAAGGATAAAAATGGACTTGCAGAACAAGGGCCTATAGGGTATGGAGGAGTGATGACAGGCATGGAGGGTGTTACAGATTGAATTGTGTCTCCTCAGAAGTTCTGTGTTGAAGTCCTAACTCCTGGTACCTCTGGATGCAGTCTTACTTGGAAATAAGGTCATTGCAGGTGTAGTTGGTTAAGATGAGGTCCTTAGGATTGGCACTGATTCAGTATGGTTGGCGTCTTTATAAAAAGGGGACATTTAGACATGGAAGTGAACACAGAGAGAGTATCATGTGAAGATGAAGGCAGAGCTGGGTTGATGCTTCTACAAGCCAAGAAATACTAAAGATTGGCAGCAAACCGCAGAAAACTAGGGGAGAGGCATGGAACAGATTCTCACAGCCCTCAGAAGGAACCAACCCTAGTGACACTTTGGTCTTGAATTTCATGCCTCTAGTACTGTGAGACAACACATTTCTGTTGTGTAAAATCATCCTGTGTGTGGTACTTTGTGGTACTCTTTTATTTTTTATTTTTTTTTATTTTTTTGCAGCTCGAGGAAGCTAACACACTGAGTATGAATGTGGGCTCTGCAGTTAGCCAGACCCAAGTTTGAATCCTGGTTCCATACTTCATTAGCCATGTTGCCTTGGACAAGTTAGCTTAACCTCTTCTAACCCCTGATGCCTCATCTAAAGTAGAGTTATCTAATACTTTCCTTAGTGGTATTGGGAGGTGTGGCAGAGGCTGTGAGTGTTCTGTCTACATTCCTCTAGCCAACCAGGCAGTGAGGGACCAAAGCTTTTTCTCCTCTGATGAGGGGACAAACCTGAGCAGTGTTTCATATGGTCTCCCTGAGGCTTGAACCAGTTTCCCAGAGCAGTGACTTCTACATTTACATACCCTTTATGAGCTTTTCTTCCCTCACTACCTTGCTCCCCATTCCCTCATAGTAATTCCTGCATCACCTCCCAACTAAACTACTTGCTCCCGAATTTTTGTTTCAAGGTTTGCTTTCCAAGGAACCCAAATGAAGATAGAATGACTCAAAGAGAAGATGTATAGAAGTACTTACAGCATGTGGCACATGGTAAGCACTCAATTTGTTTTAGTGAGTCTGATGTTGCATTCCTGCAGCATAAATGATGTGCAGTCAGCCTGTGGTGTTTGGAAATGGAAGGTGTATGTGCGTGCACCCAGCCTCCAAAGTTGGTAACATAGTGTGAATAGGGAATCTCCACTCTATAATTCATGCACCGTCTGGTCTGATGGGTTGGTCATGTGGCCACCGGGAGAGAGCCGGAACTGTGTGGATATGCAGGCATTGAAAAGTGTACTCTGGGTGTGCAGTAGGAGTACTGTGTTTAGATGTCATGTGAGAGTACAGATTATAGGGAGTATCTACACATGTACAAATGTCATTGTGCAGTGTATAAGGGGAAGCTGGTCATCCCCTCACCCTTGCAGCCTCAGTGCCCAGCCTTGAGTGTTTGGAAGCCCTAGGAGAGCTCACCCAGACTCAGGCAGAGCCGGGCCCATCACCATCAGCTGGCCCGCTGCCAGGAATTGCTTGATTGATTGCCACTCTGCCTGGCTGCTGGAGCACTGGGAAACACAGCAACTGTTCCTAGGAGGTGAAAAGTCCAACCAAACCAGTGGTTTTTCTCCACTCCACACTCACTAGCAGTTTTTCTTTCTTCCCATGCTGCCAGGACTTGCCTGGTTTTGTGGTAGAATGAATGAAAGACTTTGTGTCACAGAAACCCCTGTGATGTGTGCTGAGGGCCACTGCCTGCTTTGAAGCACTCCTGTCTCCCAAGCAAAGAATACACACTCAGGGAGTTGGAAGGAGCCTCAGCTTTCATTTGAATTCGCCCATCATTGTACATATGAGAAAATGACTGTTACTTACTGCAGAGAAGTGTTGACATCTGGGGTTAGACAATTCTTTGTCGTGGGGCTGCTCTGTACACCGTAGGATGTTTAGGAGCATCCCTGGCCTCTACCCACTCCATGCTGGCACCACCTCCTACCCCCAAGTTGTACCAACCAAAAATACCTCCAGGCATTGTCAAATGTCCCCCTGGGGGACAAATTGCCCCGGATGAAGAATCATTGCTGTAGAGAAATCAACACAGAATGAGCGTTTGTGAACAAACTAGGGGCGCTTGCTTATGAGTCCTGGATGATATCAGCTTGCATGGTAGCTGAAAACAGGTGATAACGCAATCTGTAGTGATAAATATCTGGCTTCAAATTTCCTTTCTCATTCACCAGCTTTGTGACCTTGGATATAAAATGAAAATCTAATCATACCACTCCCCTGCTTAAAACCATCCCCTGGTTCCTCATTTTTCTTAAAATACAATCCATCTTCCTTACCATTGTCTACCAGACCTAAACCTTGTTGTATACCACTTCCTGTTCTCACATGCTCTCCTGCAGCCACACAGAGCTCCTTCTGTTCCCTGAGTAGGCAAAACTCCTTTCTGTTCCGGTCCCCAGGTTTTTGCACTTGCTGTTCCCTCTGGCTAGAACATCCTTTCTGCAGATCACTGTGTGTCTGGCTGCCTCCCCATTGCTCATGCCTCAGCTTAAATGTCTGTTTTTCCCACAACAACGTAAGCTCCATAACAGGACCTAGAAGAGCATTAGATAAATAATGTACTATCATAGGTTTGTGGTGAAGATAAAATGAGAGAATAATAATAATAATAAATAGCAGTAATACTAAAGCACTTGGCAAGCAAGCTCAGGGCATATAGTAAATACTCAATAAGTGGTGATTATAATATTATAATTTATTTTTATCATGAAGTTTAGAGATAATCTGTCATTGTAGCTGGCCCAAATCATCTGACCTCCTCTTCACATTTTGACAGTTCCCCACAGTGTGACTCCTACCTCCCCAGTGCTTACTCCAAAAACACTACATTTCCTAGCTAGGGTGACCAATCTGTCCTGTTTTGCCTGGGGCTTTTCTGATTTAGCACTGAAAGTCCTGCAACATGGGAAACCCCCAGTCCCAGACCAGCTGGGATGGCTAGTAACCCTATTGCTAGCTTCCAATATGACTTCTCGTTAGGTGTGACTGAGACATTGACTGGGGAGTGAGTTAAATGAGAGACCAGGCAAGGGGTAGAACACTCTTTGTGCTGGTGGCTAGTGTGTGTGTGTGTGTTTGTGTTGGAGTGGGGGCGGTGGTAGTGATGGCAGCTTGCCAACCATGACACAGGTATAGGTTTCTTTACTGGACCAGTTCTAAGGTTTGTTCAGGTATTTGTTTCCAGTAACTGAGCATAGAGGGCGTTTCTTCTGCAGTTCCAATGATTTTGTGAGCTCTCTATAACTGTACTAAACTGCTCTCTGCTTAAACTACCTAGAGAGTATTCTGTTGTCTGCAACTGAGAAGCTCGACCAATACATACAACAATTTTGCCAGTGTCTTCAGCAAGTAAAGAGCTTCTCAAGGGATGTTTGAGATAAATCAGTATCTGACAATCCAGGGGGTTTCTCATCACCAGTCCTTTCACTTGATGAGATAAGTGGCTGTGTCCGTCATTTCAAATGCTCCAAAGACAGAGTCTGCTGCACTGTGTGGCAAGATCTAGCCCCTGTCAGTGTGATCAGGCCATCAACACAGACCTCTTGCTTTCTAGGTCTCTGTGCCTGGGCACCAAGCAGACTGTGGTATCAATTACAGTGGACCCTGTGCATCCCTCAGCCATCCAGGCAGGTGCAGACACTCCTCAGGCTAGGGATAGCCTCAGGAGACTGACTCAGCCAGAAGGTTGCCCTGGAGAAGACCAGGTAGTCCCTGTTGGCATGCTCAGAGGACGTGTAGATCTCTCATGGATGGTCAGGACAATCACCAGTACCAGGATATCTGGATCAGGTAAAAGATATTCCAAGAGGAGGTTCAGTTCAGAAGGCAAATGGGGCAGCAATCAGCACTGAGATCCCTGTTCATACACAATGGGTAAGAGACCCAGGGACCTAATTCAGCCCAAGGGAATGGGTTCAGGTGGCGTCTGGGTGAGAATCAGGGCCAGCGACCATCATCTGGGACTGAGAGGACAACTCAATTCAGAGGCAGAAATTCAGATTTCTTGAGGGGCAATCTAGCATTTATCTTTGAATTAGCATGAATTCTTATAGAAATGCAGTGTTGCTTTATATGTATATGATTTTGAGTTTACACAAATAGTACAGTATTATGAACCTTGTTCTGTATTTCACTTTTTAAATCCTAGCACTGATTTTTTAAAAACATTTTCTTTCAGGTATATTTGTTTATTTATTTACTTATGTATAACTTTTATACAGTAACATGAAAAATATTAAGTGTGTAGCTCAATGAATTTTTAATAACAGCTTTGTTGAGATCTAAAATCTCAATCACTGATCATAAAATTCACAGTTTTAAAGTTTCAGTAGTTTTTGGTATATTCACAGTTGTGCAATCTTTACCACTGTCTAATGCAGAATATCTTCATCACCCCCAAAATAAATCCTGTACCCATTAACAGTCACTTCCTGTTCTTCCCTGCTCCTCACCCGTGCACCCATTAGTCTACTTTCTGTCTTATGGATTTGCCTCTGCCTCTGTGGATGTTGGATATTTCATATAAGTAGAATCATATATGACCTTTCATTTCTGGCTTCTTTTACTTAGTATAATGTTTTCAAGGTTCACCTATGTCGTGGCATGCATAAGTACTTCATTTCTTTTTACTGCTCAGTAATATTCCATTGTATGGATATACCACATTTTGTTTATCCATTCTTCAGTTGATGGACATTTGGGTTGTCTCCACATTTAAGGTATTATTGACATGAATAATGCTGCTATGAACATTCATGTATAAGTTTTTGTGTGGACATGTAGTTTCAATTCTTTTGGGTGTATACCTATGAGTGGAATTCCTGGATCACATGCTAATTATATCTTTAACATTTTGAGGAACTGCCAAACTGTTTTCCAAAATGGTTGCACCATTTTACATTCTCACCAGGAATATATGAGGGTTCCAATTTCTCTACCTCCTTGCCAACACTTGTTATTTTCTTTTTAAATTATAGCTATCCTAGTGGGAGTGAAGTGGTATCTCATTGCACATTTTTTTTTGCATTTTCTGAATGACTAGTGATGTTGAGTATTGTTTCATGTGCTTATTTTAGTGACCATTTGTATATCTTCTTTGAATAAATATCTACTCAAGTGTTCATTGAATTTTGACATGTGTCAAGTTACCCTCGTGTAACTATCACCCAAATCAAGATACAGAACATTTCTACCTCCCTAGAAGACTCCCCTGTTCTTCTTCCCAGTCAACTTCTTTCCCCAAGAGTAACTATTATCCATTTTTATTTATTTATTTATTTATTTTTGAGATGGAGTCTCACTCTGTCGCCCAGGCTGGAGTGCAGTGGCACAATCTCGGCTCACTGCAACCTCTGCCTCCCGGGTTCAAGCAATTCTCCTGCCTCAGCCTGCCGAGTAGCTGAGACTACAGGCGCATGCCACCACGCCCTGCCATTTTTTTTTTTTTGTATTTTAGTAGAGATGGGGTTTCACCGTGTTGCCCAGGCTGGTCTTGAACTCCTGAGCTCAGGCAATCTGCCCGCCTCAGCCTCCCAAAGTGCTCGGATTACAGGTGTGAACCAACATGCCCGGCCTGAGTAACTATTATTCTGATTTCTATTACCATAGACTAGTTTTGTCTGCTTTTGAACCTCAAAGCAATGGTACTGGATGAGGTTTTTTTTGTTTTTGGTTTTTTTTTGACAGAGTTTCGCTCTGTCACCCAGGCTGAATGCAGTGGCGTGATCTTGACTCATTGAAACCTCCGCCTCCCAGGTTCAAGGGATTCTCCTGCTTTAGCCTCTCACGTAGCTGTGATTATGTGTGCACCACCATACCCAGCTGATTTTTTTGTGTGTTTTGGTAGAGATGGGGTTTCACCATGTTGGCCAGGCTCGTCTCAAACTCCTGACCTCAAGACGTCCACCCACCTCGGCCTCCCAGAGTGCTGGGATTACAGGCGTGAGCCACAGCGCCTGGCCATGGATGAGCTCTTTAATATCTGGTTTCTTTTACTCAATACAGTGCATGTGAAATTTATCCAAGATGTTCTTTGCTTTTTTGGTCATTACTATGTAGTATTCCATTGTATGAACATACTGCAGTAGGCTCACTCATTCTACTGTTGAGGTTGATTTGGGTTGGTGGTAGTTTTGGGCTATCACAAATAAAGTTTTAGCACTTTGAAAAGTCTGTTCATTCAGCTGGTCTCTCCAAGAGTACAGATTAGCTACCTGGGTCTCAGATCTGGCTGCCACCAGAGACTTAGTGATGGGGACACACCTGAGAACCCAGTGGCAGTCAGGCTGGGATGCTGGTCCTCAGTCTGAGGAGGGTGAGCCAGTTGCAGGGTGGTGGTGTGGTGGCATCAAAGTGCTGAGCTGTGACTTGACAGAAAAGGTGAAGGTGGAGGAGGCAGGGGGTTTGAAGGCTGGGGAGCAACCCTGGTGGAGACAAGACTGCAGTTACTCACTTCTAGAGATGAGTCAGAGATGAGCCAAGGGGCCTCACCTCTCCCAAGGAACTTTAATCATGCAGTGACTGGCATGGGGACCACAGACTTGCACTCATGTGAAGGGCCCCCTGGGCATAACACAGAAGAACACAGTGTGCATGGTGTCCCTGGAACTGGGCTACTCGACCCTGAAGGGGCATGGACATTTGTGGGACCACAAGCAGGAAAGTTCCAGCATTTTCTTAGGCTTAGCTGTGTCTATGAAGGTAAAACCACCAAACAAAATGAGTATTTTCCTAGTGCCAATGCAGAGCCTACCCACGCACAGTCCTTGGGCAGATCAAGGCTGTGCGTGTTCTCTCAGCCAGAACTGCACTCTGGACATGAGCTACAGGGTGACCTCATGAGGGTCCATTGCGGATATGCACATGGATGTTCTGTGTAGTGATGCTGTGGCAGCTGGGATTGGAGGCAACACAGGTGTCCATCGTTAGAGGAATAGAGAGGTGGCATGTGGCAGAACCTCCTGCAAACTCTGAGCAGCAGCCAGAATGATGAACTCCATCTGCACATAGCTTCTCTGCTAGACATTTTGAAATAGTGCTGAAGGTAAAAAAAAAGCAAAGTAAAAAGAACAGAGTCTGTAATGCAATACCATGTGTATGAATTAAAAAGGCATGAATATACAAATCTAATCTCAGGGTACACTACAAAAGATAGAGTGGTTGCCTATGGTGGGGGTGGTGAAGGGTGGTAATGGCAATGTGGGTGGGAGAGGGGTCCTGCATGATGATCTGAGAAGGTTGAGTGACCTGGCCAAGACACTTAACACTCACATACCTGCACAGAAAGAATGGGAGGGAGGAAGGAAGAAAAGAAAGAAGGAAGGAGAGGAGGAAAAGAGAAAGGAAGATAGAGAAAAGGAAGGAAGAAAGGAAAAAAGAAGGGAGGAAAGGAGGCAGGGAAGGAAGAAGGGAGAAAAGAGAAAGGAAGGAAAGGAAAATGGAAGGAAAGAAGGAAGGAAGGAGGGATGGAAGGGGGAAGGGAGAAAGGAAGAAAGGAAAACAGAAAAAGAAGGAAGAAAGAAAAAAGAAGGAAAGGAGGGAGAAAGAGAAGTCACTTCTGCTCTCTCAGACTTGCTCGAGGACCTTCACTGAGGTGGGGGCTGCCAGTGTAATGTTCAAAGTTGTTGCCATTTCCCAGGAGTTTCTGGAGGGGCAGGGAGGGCTGAACGGTGCGATTCCAACCACCCAAGGAGAAGGGAATTAGCAGTGCTCTCCTCCTCTCATTAATTGAGCACTCATCTGGGCGGGCCTGGGCTTACTAAGTTTCCAGTTCATCAAGATTATAAATGAGATTTCTCCTCCTTCCTGTGGAGCAGGTTGAGATTTATACTGCATCCTGGGCAAAGGATTCTCTGGGCTTCATCTTCCTTTCTGGGGCTTCTTTCTTTAGAAAGGTGGGTTGGGCTCCCTTGACCAGAGAAATCCCAAAGCTGAGAGAGTCCTTCTGCCCACCCCCAGCCCTCCCCCAGGCAGGAGTTGGTCCTGTGAGGGAAACAGGTTGTACCTAAGCTTCTGCCATTTTCTGTCTCATGTCTGTCCCTCCATATGCCCCCTCCCTCAGTCCTGCCCCCACCCTACCTCACATCCCTCAGCAAGCTCTCCACTCAGACCCTAGCTCCAGTTCTGGGGAGGGGAGGCTGGTGCAGAGTATAGGGGATAGCGCAAGTGCTCTTCAGGAGCCACAGACAGAGATCTGCTTACCCTGAGCACATGGCAGCTGGGGCGTTCTTCTTGCTCGCCTATTTGTGAAGGTCTACCCAGAGGAAATGGGCTATGGCACCACAAAATGGTCCAACTGGAAGTCAAACATGAGACACTAGAAAGTATCCTACAGGCTGCAGTGCTTGGGACTTGAGACCCCTGCCAGGAATCCCCAAGGAGAAAAGAGGAGTTCATGGACTTGTGGCCTTGAGCCTCTTGTGCTGTCACTTATACCCATTTCCATAGAATTACAGAGTGTCGGTGCTGGACACTAGACAGTGTAACATCGTCTTGTCCAACTACCACTCATCATGTAGAAGGGATGTGAAAAGGAAGGATGCTTCCCAGGGAATGTGGGAACAGAAGGAAGCCACGTCTCCCTGTGCCATCCTAGACTACCGCTGTGTGTGTGTGTGTGTGTGTGTGTGTGTGTGCTCACACACACACGTGAGCAGCTCCTGCCTTGACCTGAGCCTAGAGTGTTCCTCCTTGGAAGGGGACCCTATTTCACAATCCATCTGGTCCTGGAGACCAGTGGGGCTAAGTTTTGTTTAGGGATGGGGGGAGAAAGCAAGTGAAGGAGAGACAGAGAAAGAGATGAAAAGACAGGGACAAAGACCTCTTGACAGAGAGAAATTATAAAATAGGGCAAGAAAGAGAGAGAAGAGCAGACACAGGGTTGGAGAAAATGAAGAAGGAGGAGCCAGAAAGAGAGGAATGAAGGGTGACCAGCAGACCAGGCAGAGCTCACAGCCCACCCTGGCATGGTTTCTCTTTGCAGAGGGTTGCTCTCCCCATCACCACCCTCCTAGTCATTCTCTGGAGCCCCTGGTCATAAGTGGGTATTAGCTTAGCCCAGTGCTTGTGTTCAACTGTCATCCAAGCTGAGCCTCCCTTACTGCACCCACAACTACCTGGTTAAGTAAAGCCTTAAGGAGGGGTGGCAGGGAGGAGGTCCATGTGAGCCAGTGCCCTGGGTAACTCCCACCGTCTTCCTTGCTTTCTTCCTATGCCTGAGACCAGAGCCTAAGCAAGCCAGTGTGTGCTTTGGCCCCAGAATCCCTGTTGGGGGCAGCAAAGGAGATACAAAGTGATGGAGGAAGCACGGTGGTAGCCCTGTGGCTTCAGTGACCCTGTGTGAGACAGAAATCAGGGTTGGACTGGAAGAATGGGGAACAGGTATTTCCTGCGGTCCTGCTGAACAGTGGCTCAACCAGTCCACCCAAAATGTCAGAAGCAGAGAAACTGTAAACATGAACAGCGGTGCCATAGCAAGAGCTGGCCTGTGGAGGCTGGCACTGTGAGCCCAGGCACAGCACCCCAATGTACAAAGAGCCCCCACTTATGAGCCATGTGAGGGCAGGCAAGGTACTTTAACTTCCCTGGCCTCAGTTTCCTCATTGTGAAATGGAGCTAATAATAATAACCTAACAGGGTTGTAGTTATTTAATAAAATATCCCAGCACTGTTTCTGTTCCCTAGTCAATGTACAATTCACAGTCTTTTCCCCCATTCCCTATGAGAAGGCACGGGAGCTTCTAGACTCTGGGCAGAGCCCCAGACACAGCAGTCAGGATGCTCAGATGGAGAAGAAAAGCCCTTAAAGCTCTCTGTAGCAGCTAGCGCTACCTGTGTTTGGAAGGCAGCCAGAGCCCCACAGACATGCATGGGAACACCCAGGATTGTAATGGAAGAGGTACAATGCCAATCATTTAAATTTAGGTGTTCTTGGTGTCCTAATTTGATGGAAGGGTAAACTGAGGCAGACAGTGGGGAAACGATAGATAATGCAGAGTGAACAAGTCTTACTTTGGAAAAAACAGTTTCCCTGGTGGGAGAGGAAGGGAGATTGTGCTGTGACTATCACCCAACTCAAATGTGGAACCCAAGATGGGCAAGAAGCTCAGGTGGGGCTAATGCTGTACAAAACACCTGGTTAGCTCCGATAAGCAGCTGTCCCAAGCCAGGACTCTGCCCCGGCTGCACTCATCCAGCCCGGAGGGGCCATCAGTCACTCCTTTCTTCTTGCTCACTCTGTCTTCATCCCCAGCTGTCAATTCATGTGTCTCAAAATGACACGAGTTAAACATCTTAAAGAACTAGGGATTTATCATATGGCGATGTCAACTCAGAAAGCAGAACCAGGGATTTGTATCTCAGTAGTGGATGATTACAGTTTTCTTGGTGCTATGAAAGCCCTATATCCTCATGTGTCATGATCTGATTAATAGGCAGTGTTGGGGTTGAATTACATCCCCCCAAAAGAGATGTTGAGGTTCTAACCTGTGAATGTGATCTTTTTGGAAACAGGGTCTTTGAAGATATAATTAAGGTAAGATGTGGTCATTAGAGTGGGCTTCCACCCCATATAGCTATTATCTTTATAAGAAGAGAAGACAGAGAGAGAGAAGGAAGATGGTCATGTGAAGATGGAGGTAGAAGTTAGAATTATGCAGCCACGAGCCAAGGAATTCCTGGGGCTACCAGGAGCTGGAGGAGACAAGGAAATATTCTCCCCTGAAGGTGGCAGAGGAAGCATGGTCCTGCCAACACCTTAATTGGCAACCCCAGGAAATGAATACAGTAGGAAAAAAAATATTTAAGTGGGAGGAAGGAGGCTGGGAGGAAGGAGGGAATTCTGTTTAAGGGAACCCTGGAATCTCTTTTCTTCTACCCCCATGTCTTTTTCTATTTTCTATCCTCTACCTCCTTTCAACTCTTCAGCCAATGGATCTTTAATTCTTAATCAATAAGCATCGGTGTCCTGCCTCCATGTGCCTGGCTTTGTGAAGGAGGCAGAAGCGGCACAGCGACGTGAGTTGAACTCCTTGCCTGTTGACCTCTAGCCTCCCGAAGGCAGTTCTTGGGAGTGGGAAAGGGTGCCAGCTCCAGGGTCAGAGCACCTGGGCCCAAATCTCGCTGTCTGGGTGACCTCAGGCATGTGATTACATAGCATGAGCTTGCTTCCTCCTCTGCAAAATGGGGAAAATAACACACCTATTTTGTGAGGTTCTCTTGAGAATTAAATGAGATAATACATGTTAAATGATTAGTACAAGCAATCAATCAGCATTAATTATTGTTATGACTGTTATTATTAGCGTAGGGAAAAGAACATGAACAGCATTCAGCTGACTACAGGATAAAGTGTGATAAATGCTGGCACAAAGGTGCAGATGAAGCATTTAGAGAAGAAAGAGAGATGAATTATTTCTACCCAGAAATCAGGGAAGGCTTTGTAGAATCACAGCATTTGAATAGAGCCTGAAAGGACGGGTAGATGTTACCCAGTGGAGAAAGGGGGATAGTATGTGTGTAGGTGGAGAGGGGGCTTGGGGGAGGGATAAGGGAGTTTCTCCTGGAGGAAACTGCATTCACTGAGGCAAGGAGGGCTGAGAGGTTCAGCAGAGAGAGTAGATCTATGTGTGTGAAGCATCCTGTGTGCGGTGCATGGTGAGAAGTGAGACCTAGGACAGGCTGGGTCTAGATGGTTGTTGCTTTGGTGTCAGGAGGAGTCTGGTTTTTATTATGAAGACAGTGACCCCTAAGGGAGTTAGAGCAATACGATGGAGGAAGCTAGGGTGGGGGCGGGGAGGCCAGCAAGTTCTCAGTGGTCCACTCCAGTGACAAAGGAAGTCTGAACCAGGCTGGAGTGGTGAAAAGGAAGGGGCAGATTAAAAAGTCATGGAAGTAATACTGAGGGGATTTGATAACTGGTTGGGAGTGAGAGGAGAGGGAGAGAAACATCTAAGATGGTTTCTTGGTTTCTTGCCAGAACTATCTGGAAGGAAAGTAATGGGAGATTCTAGACTCCACAAAGGCTGAGGCCTCATCCTTTCCCCTTACCCCATCCCAGCACCCCACAGGGCCTGCATGGGGTGGGTGCTCAATACATAAATATTTGTTGAATGAATTTGATGCCAGCAGTGGGGAGGGGGACCAAGGGAAGGATAACAGGCTTGGAGGGGTGTTCACAGTATGGTCAACGTTAAGATACCCACAGGACCATCATGTCAGGCTGGCCTGTGGGCTGCCAGACATGCAGCCTTGGAGAGAGGTGCTGGAGGGAGATATAAACTTTGGAGCCAATAGCAACCAAGTGAAAACAAAAGCCACACGTGGGTTTAAAGTCCAGAGATGGCTCAGATCTCTCAGCGGGCTCCATGAGATTTGTCATAATAATTAGAGACAATCTCAGATGCTGGGTGTAAAGGGAGCACGGTGACAGATGAATGTAAACTAATTATCCTCACAGCAACCTTGAGAAACAGGAATGTGCATGCATGTTTCCTTGCTAAGATACGGAGAGGAAAAAGGACCAGGAGAGTTGCATGATGTCCCAGAAGGCTGCCAGAGCCCTGGCACAGCTGCAGGAACACCCAGGAACTCCTTCCTCCACTATCCACCCTTGGAAATGTCAGCATGGGTACTTTCCTCATCAAGGAATGATTTTAAGAATTTGTTTTCAAAATAAAAAGGGGTTTTAGAGTTGGGAAGCCCTGCTGGTTGTAATCAGATGTGTTTTATGGGACCATTCACCAGCACTTGAAGAACAGGGATGACCTATAAATGTATTCATGGATTCAGACCCAGGGCAGGTTTCATGGGCTGATTACAAATGCCTTGGGGATGGCATCAGCATTCAGGAGACACAGTCACCCCTGAACACCAGCCACAGTGCCATACACACCTTCACCACCTGCACTCCCACCTCCTCCTCATCCCTGCTGCTGTGATGCCAACTCCTCAGTCTCAGCAGCTCCTGGAAGCTCTAGGACACCTTTCAAGAAAACCACAAGTCCTTATCCAGATCAGGGCAGCCCAGGACATTATCTTTGTCCCCTCAACCCACATAAGCCCAGCCTATTCAGCCTAATCCGCATGACTTCCTCAATCAGCCTGGCATCCCACTCTACCAGGTCCCCCTCCCACCTCCTCCACCATAATAAGTTTTATGCAGAGGGTATAGCACTTGAAGCTAGGCTGACCTGGCCTCCAGTCCTGACCACTTAGACCCTGATCTTGCATGAGTCAGTCTCAGAGACTCAACTTTCCCATCCATGAAAGATCTCTCTCCTTGTCTGTACCCTCCTGGGCCTAGCACCATGCTTGGTGCACATTTGGTGGTGGTCCACAGATGCCACGTGGATGCATAAATGCACGGCTTCCTGAGAGGATGACACAGATGCACGTGGATTTTTATCACTTGCTGAATGGAAGTGAGACTTAACAGGGACCTCTTAGGAGCCTATGGGCTCCCCCAAGCATAAAAACAAAAAAACAAAAAAACTTCTTCCTTTCCTTCAAGGGAAATTTCAGGCACCTAGCTTTCCCTGAGAAGTAAATGTGATAAGGAAGAAGGTAATACTAGCTTAAGACCATAGCCAAGGAAGTTAGAATCATGGGATGCTTGGTTCCCTGGTAGAAACTAGAGATAACATCTTAACACAGGTCACTGAGTTGTTTTTCAGAAACCTGGATCCCCACCAAATGGATCTGCTGGCACCTAGACTTCAGGTAAGGGGAAACTGATGCCTGGACTCTGACCACTCTTCTTTGTTCTAAATTTCTCCCTGAGGGGCCTGGAGAAAGTCACATCCTCCAGCCAGAGCTAACATCCCTTTTTGCTGATCCCACATTTTTAGGCAATCCTTCCTAAACCAACAATAAATCAGAAAATCTTTGAATCCACTTCTGACCTGTGGATTCCTGTTTTGAGATGTCCCACTGTGTTAGGTCAAACTAATGTATGTTCTCCATGTATTGATTTATGACTTTGCCTGTAACCTCTGCCTCCCTGCCTTTAAAAACCCTTACCTGACAGCCATCTAGGAGTTGGGGTTTTAAGTGTGACCGCCCAATTCGCCTTACTTGCTGCCCTGCAAATAAATGCCTTCCTTTCATCTGCTGCAAACCTTGGTGTGGACGTTTTGGCCTTACTCTGCCAGGTAAGCAGACACCAGTTAGGTTTGAGAACAGATGCGCTTAGTAAAATAAATTGCTTCCAGATGCTGGTGATACCATCTCGGCCTCCTCTTGGTATCCTGGTTGGCTCTCTATTTGAAAGCCTCGCCCAGGCATGGTGGCTCAGGCCTGTGATCCCAGCACTTTGGGAGGCCAAGGCAGGCAGATCACCTGAGGTCAGGAGTTCGAGACCAGGCTGGCCAACATGGCAAAACCCCATCTCTACTAAAAATACAAAAATTAGCTGGGTGTGGTGGTGGGCACCTGTAATCCCAGCTACTCAGGAGGCTGAGGCTGGGAGAATCACTTGAACCCAGGAGGTGGAGGTTGCAGTAAGCTGAGATCATACCATTGCACTCCAGCCTGGGCAACAGAGTGAGACTCCATCTCAAAAACAAACAAACAAAAAAACCCAAAAACAAAACAACAAAAAGCCTCTGTCCATCTTCTGTTGCACAAATCCCTCCTCACTCTCTGAGTCCTGGTGGAGCTCCATGTTCCTCATGCAGCCCTCCTGGCTGCCCCCAGCTGGCACAACTCCATCGTCTGGCTGCTATCCGCCTTTTGGTCAGTACACTTAGTTTGCACTAGACTGGCATCACCCAACTGAGTTCTAAGGCCGACAAGGTGCTGTTTCATATTTTCTCTGTTTTTGTTCATTACATAGACCCCAAATACAGGCAGGCTGAGCAGTCAGTTGCAAAATCAGTCACCAGAAAGGATTCTGAGATTAATCACCCTGTAACATAATCTTAAAATACTGATTTTGGACTTGGGACACCGCCTAGGCACTGGTATGTTCATGGGTTCGTACATACATGTACACATGTGTGCACACCCACTTTGGGGATGGGATAGTATTTGCTTTTCTTTGAAGTTTCACTGAGCTGCCTCCCAGTACAGAGGGGCCCAGGTCTGGGCCTGGAGATGGTACACATGGTGTAAGAAAGGTTTCTCTATCCCCTGGGGCTGGTTGACTGTGATGTGGCTGCTGCTTTCCCTACTGATATGAGGTGCATGAGGAGGAGTGGAAAGGGACAAAGCTGTGCAGCTTGAGCCCAGGAAGGGACACTGCTGTCAGGCCTCTGAGCCCAAGCTAAGCCATCGTATCCCCTGTGACCTGCACGTATACGTCCAGACGGCCCAAAGCAAGTAAAGAGTCACAAAAGAAGTGAAAATGGCCGGTTCCTGCCTTAACTGATGACATTCCACCATTGTGATTTGTTCCTGCCCCACATTAACTGAGTAATTAACCTTGTGAAATTCCTTCTCCTGGCTCAGAAGCTCCCCCACTGAGCACCTTGTGACCCCCACCCCTGCCCGCAAGGGAACAACCCCCTTTGACTGTAATTTTCCGCTGCCCACCCAAATCCCATAAAACGGCCCCATCCATCTCTCCCTTTGCTGATTCTCTTTTTGCACTCAGCCTGCCTGCACCCAGGTGATTAAAAAGCTTTATTGCTCACACAAAGTCTGTTTGGTGGTCTCTTCACATGGACACGCATGAAATTTGATGCCATGACTCGGGTGAACGGGAAATAGTTTTTTCTCTGGCCCAATCTCACGCTGACAACCACTGGCTCCACGAGCCAGACCTTCAGGAAGGCATTAGAGCAGTTCCCCGAGAGGATCCCCAGTGGAACTATCAGGCAGATTCCCCAGGTACAGCTAGGTGAGATTACATGATTTCCTGCCTAGTTGAAGGGCTTAAAAGGCAGCTTACAAAGCTGTTAATTATGACAAGCTTAAAGAAACTACTCAAGGTAAAGAAGAAAACCCAGCCCAGTTCATGGCTTATTTGGCAACAACCCTGAGACGCTTTACAGACACAGACCCTGAAGGGTCAAAAGGCTGTCTCATTCTAAACATGCGTTTTATCACCCAGTCAGCTCCTGACATTATAAAAAAGCTTCAAAAATTAGAAACCGGCCCTCAAACCCCACAACAGGAATTAATCAACCTCGCCTTCAAGGTGTACAATAACAGAGAGGAGGCAGCCAGACAGCAACGCATTTCTGAGTTACAATTACTTGCCTCTGCTATGAGACAAAACCCAGCCACACCTCCAGCACACAAGAACTTCAAAATGCCTAAGCTGCACAAGCCTAAGCCGCACACGCCTAAGCCGCAGCAGTCAAGCATTCCTACAGGACTTCCTCCAACAGGATCTTGCTTCAAGTGCCAGAAATCTGGCCACTGGGCCAAGGAATGCCCGCAGCCCGGAATTCCTCCCAAGCCATGTCCCATCTGTGCAGGGACCCACTGGAAATCAGACTGCCCAGCTCTCCCGGCAGCCACTTCTAGAGCCCCTAAAGCTCTAGCCCAAGGCTCTCTGACTGACTCCTTCCCAGATCTGCTCGGCTTAGTGGTTGAAGACTGATGCGGCCTGATCACCTTGGAAACCCCCTGGACCATCACGGATGCCGAGCTTCGGGTAACTCTCACAGTGGAGGGTAAGTCCATCCCCTGTTTAATCAATACAGGGGCTACCCACTCCATATTACCTTCTTTTCAGGGGCCTGTTTCCCTTGCCCCCATAACTGTTGTGGGTATTGACGGCCAAGCTTTAAAACCCCTTAAAACTCCCCAACTCTGGTGCCAACTTGGACAACATTCTTTTATGCACTCTTTTTTAGTTATCCCCACCTGCCAGTTCCCTTATTAGGCCGAGACATTTTAACCAAATTATCTGCTTCCCTGACTATTCCTGGACTATAGCCACATCTCATTGCTACCCTTCTTCCAACCCAAGGCCTCCTTTGTGTCTTCCTCTCATATCCCCCAACCTTAACGCACAAATATGGGACACCTCTACTCCCTCCCTGGCAACTGATCACACGCCCATTACTATCCCATTAAAACCTAATCAGTCTTACCCTGCTTAATGCCAGTATCCCATCTCACAACAAGCTTTAAAGGGATTAAAGCCTGTTACCACTTGCCTGCTACAGCATAGGCTTCTAAAACCTATAAACCCTCTTTACAATTCCTCCATTTTCTGTCCAAAAACCGGACAAGTCTTACAGGTTAGTTCAGGATCTGCACCTTATCAACCAAATTGTTTTGCCTATCCACCCTGTAGTGCCCAATCTGTACACTCTTTTGTCCTCAATACCTTCCTCCACAACTCACTATTCTGTTCTTGATCTTAAAGATGCTTTTTTCACTATTCCCCTGCACCCCTTGTCCCAGCCTCTCTTTGCTTTTACCTGGACTGACCCTGACACCCATCAGTCCCAGCAGCTTACCTGGGCCGTACTGCTGCAAGGCTTCAGGGACAGCCCTCATTACTTCAGCCAAACTCTTTCTCATGATTTACTTTCTTTCCACCCCTCTGCTTCTCACCTGATTCAATATATTGATGACCTTCTACTTTGTAGCCCCTCCTTTGAATCTTCTCAACAAGACACCCTCCTGCTCCTTCAACATTTATTCTCCAAAGGATATTGGGTATCATCCCCCTCCAAAGCTCAAATTTCTTCTCCATCTGTTACCTACCTCAGCATAATTCTTCATGAAAACACATATGCTATCCCTGCCAATCGTGTCTGACTGATCTCTCAAACCCCAATCCCTTCTACAAAACAACAGCTCCTTTCCTTCCTAGGCATGGTTGGATACTTTTGCCTTTGGATACCTGATTTTGTTATCCTAAAAAAACCATTATATAAACTCACAAAAGGAAACCTAGCTGACCCCATAGACCCTAAATCCTTTCCCCACTCATTTTCATTACACACAGCCGAAGTGCAGGGCTGTGCAGTAGGAATTCTTACACAAGGACTGGGACCGTGCCCTGTAGCCTTTTTGTCCAAACAACTTGACCTTACTGTTTTAGGCTAGCCATCATGTCTCTGTGCGATGGCTGCTGCCACCCTAATACTTTTACGGGCCCTCAAAATCACAAACTATGCTCAACTGACTCTCTACAGCTCTCATAACTTCCAAAATCTATTTTCTTCCTCACACCTGATGCATAAACTTTCTGCCCCCTGGCTCCTTCAGCTATACTCACTCTTTGTTGAGTCTCCCACAATTACCATTGTTCCTGGCCTGGACTTCAATCCGGCCTCTCACATTATTCCGGATACCACACCTGACCCCCATGACTGTATCCCTCTGATCCACCTGACATTCACCCTATTTCCCCATATGTCCTTCTTTCCTGTTCCTCACCCTGATCACACTTGGTTTATTGATGGCAGTTCCACCAGGCCTAATCACCACTCACCAGCTAAGGCAGGCTATGCTATAGTATCTTCCACATCTATCATTGAGGCTACCACTCTGCCCCCCTGCACTACCTCTCAGCAAGCCAAACTCATTGCCTTAACTTGAGCCCTCACTCTTGCAAAGGGACTACGTGTCAATATTTATACTAACTCTAAATATGCCTTCCATATCCTCCATCACCATGCTGTTATATGGGCACAAAGAGGTTTCCTCACTATGCAAGGGTCCTCTATCATCAATGCCTCCTTAATAAAAACCCTTCTCAAGGCTGCTTCACTTCCAAAGGAAGCTGGAGTCATTCACTGCAAGGGCCATCAAAAGGTGTCAGATCCCATTGTTCTAGGCAACGCTTATGCTTATAAGGTAGCTAAAGAAGCAGCTAGCATTCCAACTTCTGTCCCTCATGGCCAGTTTTTCTTCTTCTCATCGGTCACTCCCGCCTACTCCCCCACTGAAATTTCCACCTATCAATCTCTTCCCACACAAGGCAAATGGTTCTTAGACCAAGGAAAATATCTCCTTCCAGCCTTACAGGCCCATTCTATTCTGTTGTCATTTCACAACCTCTTCCATGTAGGTTATAAGCCACTAGCCCGTCTCTTAGAACCTCTCATTTCATTTCCACTGTGGAAATCTATCCTCAAGAAAATCACTTCTCTGTTCCATCTGCTATTCTACTACCCCTCAGGGATTTTTCAGGCCCCCTCCCTTCCCTACACATCGAGCTCAGGGATTTGCCCCTGCCCAGGACTGGCAAATTGACTTTACTCACGTGCCCCAAGCCAGGAAACTAAAATACTTCTTGGTCTGGGTAGACACTTTCACTGGATGGGTAGAGGCCTTTCCCACAGGGTCTGAGAAGGCCACCGCAGCCATTTCTTCCCTTCTGTCAGACTTAATTCCTTGGTTTGGCCTTCCCACCTCTATACACTCTGATAACGGACCAGCCTTTACAAGTCAAATCACCCAAGCAGTTTCTCAGGCTCTTGGTATTCAGTGGAACCTTCATACCCCTTACCGTCCTCAGTCTTCGGGAAAGGTAGAACAGACTAGTGGTCTTTTAAAGACACACCTCACCAAGCTCAGCCTCCAACTTAAAAAGGACTGGACAGTACTTTTACCTCTTGTCCTTCTCAGAATTAGAGCCTGTCCTCGAGATGCTACAGGGTACAGTCCATTTGAATTTTTATATGGATGCACTTTCTTGCTCAGCCCCAACCTCGTTCCAGACACCAGCCCTCTAGGTGACTATCTTCCAGTCCTCCAGCAGGCTAGACAGGAAATTTGCCAGGCTGCTAATCTTCTCTTGCCCACTCCAGATTCCCAGCCATATGAAGACACCCTAGCTGGACGATCAGTTCTTGTTAAGAATCTGACCCCTCAAACTCTACAACCGCAATGGACTGGACCCTACTTAATCATCTATAGTACCCCAACTGCAGTCTGCCTGCAGGACCCTCCCCATTGGGTTCACTATTCCAGAATAAAGCTGTGTCTGTCAGACAGCCAGCCTGATTTCTCCTCTTCCTCCTGGAAGTCGCAAGTACTCTCCCCTATTTCCCTTAAACTCACTCGCATTTCTGAAGAACAGTAATAACCCTTATGAGCCTAATACATCCCTTCATTCTATTAAGTGTATTCATCCTTACCCTACTTTTTGCAACAGGGCTTTATGCAGTCACCCCCACTACTTGGACTGAGCCCCAAAAACTAGTCATCCCTACTATCTTCTGTCTAGTCATACTCCTATTCACTGTTCTCAACTGCTCATAAATGCCCTACTCTTGTTTACACTGCTGGTTTATGCTGTTTCTCCAAGCCATCACAGCTGATATCTCCTAGTGCTATCCCCAAACTACCACTCTTAACTCCCTCTTAGAGTGGATAGATGATCTTTGCTGGCAGGGCACCCTCCAATATTTTCACCCTGATGCAGTTCTATTCTTTACTTTTATACTCACTTTTATTCTCATTTCCATTCTTATGCCACCCTCAACCTCTCCCCAGCTATCTCCACAACACTATCAACCTTACTCACTGTCTCCTAGCCATTTCTAATCCCTCCTTAGTGAGTAATTGCTGGCTTTGCATTTCCCTTTCTTCCTGCACCTACACAGCTGTCCCCGCCTTACATACAGACTGGGCAACATCTCCTGTATCCCTACACCTCCGAACTTCCTTTAACAGCCCTCACCTTTACCCTCCTGAAGAACTTCTTTACTTTCTAGGCAGGTCCAGCAAGACCTCCCCAGACATTTCACATCAGCAAGCTGCCGCCCTCCTCTGCACTTACTTTAAAAACCTTTCTCCTTATATCAACTCTACTCCCCCCATATTTGGACCCCTCACAACACAAACTATTCCTGTGGCTGCTCCTTTATGTATCTCTCAGCAAAGACCCACTGGAATTCCCCTGGGTAACCTTTCACCTTCTCAATGTTCCTTCACTCTTCATCTCCAAAACACAACTACACACATCACTGAAACAATTGGGGCCTTCCAGCTCCGTATTACAGATAAGCCCTCTATCAATACTGGCAAACTTAAAAACGTTAGCAGTAATTATTACTTAGGAAGACACTTACCCTGTATTTCACTCCATCCTTGGCTACCTTCCCCTTGCTTTTCAGACTCTCCTCCCAGGCCCTCTTCTTGTTTACTTATACCCAGCCCCGTAAATAACAGTGAAAGGTTGCTTGTAGACACTCAACGTTTTCTCATACACCATGAAAATCGAACCTTCCCCTCTATGCAGTTACCCCATCAGTCCCCATTACAACCTCTGATGGCTGCCGCCCTAGCTGGATCCCTAGTAGTCCAGGTACAAGACACCTCTTTCAGCACTCCTTCTCATCTTTTTACTTTGCATTTCCAGTTTTGCCTCGCACAAGGTCTTTTCTTCCTCTGTGGATCCTCTACCTACATGTGTCTACCTGCTAATTGGACAGGCACATGCACACTGTTTTCCTTACTCCCAAAATTCAATTTGCAAATGGGACTGAAGAGCTCCCTGTTCCCCTCATGACACAACAAAAAAGAGTTATTCCACTAATTCCCTTGCTTGTCGGTTTAGGACTTTCTGCCTCCACTATTGCTCTTGGTACTGGAACAGCAGGCGTTTCAACCTCTGTCACGACCTTCCGTAGCCTCTCTAATGACTTCTCTGCTAGCGTCACAGACATATCACAAACTTTATCAGTCCTCCAGGCCCAAGTTGACTCTTTAGCTGCAGTTGTCCTCCAAAACCGCCGAGGCCTTGACTTACTGCTGAAAAAAAAGGACTCTATATTTTTAAATGAAGAGTGTTGTTTTTACCTAAATCAATCTGGTCTGGTGTATGACAACATAAAAAAACTCAAGGATAGAGCCCAAAAACTCTCCAACCAAGCAAGTAATTATGCTGAACCCCCTTGGGCACTCTCTAATTGGATGTCCTGGGTCCTCCCAATTCTTAGTCCTTTAATACCTGTTTTTCTCCTTCTCTAATTTGGACCTTGTGTCTTCCGTTTAGTTTCTCAATTCATCCAAAACCATATCCAGGCCATCATCAATCATTCTATATGACAAATGCTCCTTCGAACAACCCCACAATATCACCCCTTACCACAAAATCTTCCTTCAACTTAATGTCTCCCACTCTAGGTTCCCACCCCCCACTTGAAGCAGCCCTGAGAAACATCGCCCATTATCTCTCCATGCCACCCCCCAAAAAATTTTCACTGCCCCAACACTTCAATACAATTTTATGTTATTTTTCTTATTAATATAAGAAGGCAGGAATGTCAGGCCTCTGAGCCCAAGCTAAGCCATCATATCCCCTGTGACCTGCACGTATATGTCCAGATAGCCTGAAGCAAGTGAAGAATCACAAAAGAAGTGAAAATGGCCGGTTCCTGCCTTAACTGATGACATTCCACCATTGTGATTTGTTCCTGCCCCACCTTAACTGAGCAACTAACCTTGTGAAAGTCCTTCTCCTGGCTCAGAAGCTCACCCACTGAGCACCTTGTGATCCCCGCCCCTGCCCACAAGAGAACAACCCCCTTTGACTGTAATTTTCCACTACCCACCCAAATCCTATAAAACAGTCCCATCCCTCTCTCCCTTTGCTGATTCTCTTTTTGCACTCAGCCTGCCTGCACCCAGGTGATTAAAAAGCTTTATTGCTCATACAAAGCCTGTTTGGTGGTCTCTTCACATGGACATGCCTGAAAACTGCCACACCTGAGGTGCAGGGATAAGAAGGGTGGCACAGGGATCCCAGCCTGAGGCTGTTTCTGAAGGTAGGTTGGGCTTACTCATGGACACATTCATATCACACACACACACACACACACACACACACACCACAGAGACAATAAGAACATAGTCTCCAAACATTCCCTGCTTACCACGCACTGATATAGTGGTACAGTATGGGCTCCAGCTGGCTTCTCCTCATGGAAAAGTAGGAACAAGGAAGGGATGTGCTATGAAATGGAAGGGGCATGCACACACTGTGCAGCCTCATTGTCTATTGATTGGTAACATTTGTTAAGCAAATATTTACTTTGCACCTCCATGTTCCAAACACTGAGGATACAGATATGAAAAAATACATACACCTGTACAACACAGTCCCCTAATCGTGAAACCTCCACATATAAGCACGTTTAAATGTAGGCTCACTTGCATCACAAATGCATTCACACACATACACACACACACACACACACACACAAATATACATCCACAGACACCCAGCAGTGGGCAATGGGGTTTTGTCCTAGCACTCATAAGAAAGGCAAAATGGGAAGCTTATTGTTTTAACAGCCAGCTCTGGGCCCAATACTATTTCCCTGGTTACCTCTCCTGGGGCCAGGGGCCAAGTGTCAGATGAAGTGACTTTTTAATATCCAATTGGGAATACAGAAGGAAAAGGAGGTGGTAATAACACTCCCTTTTTAACCTGTCTGTCTCTCTAGTACTTAAGAAAATTGGATGCTATTAAAGTCAATTTAACTTTAAAGGGCAATGAACATGGAGACATGATGGAGACAGGAAAAGCGTACAGCTGCAGCCCCGAGGGCTTGCTGGAATGCTGCAAGATGCCTTTGTGGATAGGACCTCTGCAAATATGGATCTTTTAGGTGGTCCCAGTATGGTTTCTCCAGCAAGAGAGGTGTGATCCTAATCCAAACTTTTTGCAGTTAGTCACATTCACCCTTCTCTCAGCAGCTCCATGGACAGTGCCTTTTGGGGGGTTCCAAGTGAACTCAGGTAAAGGAGAGATTAGACCTGGCCCTTAGGGAGCTCCTCAGCTGATGGGAGGGTCATGGCTCTGACTTCAGTGAGCTCCTGGCCTCATCCAGGGGATATCCACATGGATATGCAAACATACGGGAGAAAAATAGTATTGGAAGATGAAGAAATATTCGTGCAGTATGATGAGCATTTATATGAAACTTAAAAGCATAAAAAATATTTTCACATATTGCTTTGATGGACATACATGTGTTGTATAAAGTGCACACAGTCCTTGCTCTTCCCAGTTCCCATGTATGAAGTTCTGTTGTGGTTTATTTGAACCAGTCCCCAACAACACGGTTAAAATTTGAATTATGATAGCGTATTGACTGTGTGTGGTTGCACAAAGTACAAATTTTGATGCCAATTCTTCATTCCACACATCTCTCCATGAATAACAGATGTGCATCCTGATTTCTTCTTTCATGGTCTATCAGGTGACTGGTCACGAGCATCTGCTATCCAGTTTACACACAGGCAGCAAAGTGTGCAGCTATGTTGCTTCCATGTCTCTGGGTAATAAACCTATGTTATGGTTTGCAAAAATAGATAATCTAAAGAGGAAGTTGACCTTGAAAGATGAAAGCATAGAAAAGAAACAAAAAGTGATAATGCTGCAAATGGAATTCAAATAGTATGTCAATGGAGCTATAGAAGGAAAAGCTGGTGGTGGGAATATGGACACCACTACTAGGAGAGGGACTCTAGATATGCAGCCAGAGGAATTTAGTGAAGGACAACTTAGTGACATTATGAAGAAAGTGGTTGTGATGAAAACGATGGGGATGTTCCAGAGGAAGTGATGCTGGCAAAAGTTTCACATTAAGGGAACTCTCAGAGACGCTGTGCAACACTGAACATTCAAAGGATAAAATGCTAGAAGTTGATACAAACTTAAGAGTATGATGATTTGCCAAGTATAGAAAAGATGTTTGCTCTGTATTGTAAGTTATGTGATGAGAAGAAGGTGAGCACTGTTCAAACCATTCTTGAAAGTTTTTAATGAAGAAATAAAACACCTTCATTCCCAATGTTTCTAAAGTTTTAAATTAAATAATTTGGATAAAATTAATATTTTAAATGCTGATTTTACTATTTTTAAAAAAATTTCCATATACTATTTATAGCCTACAGTAAGAGAGTTTTAATGTTTTTGACAAGAATTGTTAAAGATCACAAGATAATTGTAATTTTTTCTCATAGATTTTTAAGATGATTTTGCACAGTTTCAGCTTGTGTGGTCATTTTTATGGCCCTGCAGAGTGAGGCCTGCCTGTGTAAAGAATAATGTATGAAGTATAAAGAGATGCTTTGGATGACAAATACTCAATTCAATGTCTCTAGTTAGGTCTAGAGGAGAGGGAGAGAGAAGGAAGTATGATTAGGGAGGTGCACACAGGGGCTTTGACTGTGTTTATAATATTTTATTTCTTAAGTTGGAGTCCAAGTTAGTTTTATTTCTTAAGTTGAAGTCTAAGTTAGTTAGGCTGTTCTTGCATTGCTATAAAGAAATATCAGAGACTGGGTAATTCATAAAGAAAAGAGATTTATTTGGCTCATGGTTCTGCAGGCTATACAGGAGGCATGGCACCAGCATCTGCTCAGCTTCTGGGGAGCCCTCAGGAAGCTTCCAATCATGGTGGAAGGTGAAGAGGGAGCTGTCATCTCACATCGTGAGAGCAGGAACAAGAGTCTGAGGGACTTCTACACTGCTGGTGTGAATGTAAACTAGTACAACCACTACGGAAAACAGTGTGGAGAAAAGTAGAACTACAATTTGATCCAGCAATCCCACTACTGGGCATCTACCCAGAGGAAAAGAAGTCATTATATGAAAAAGATACTTGCACATGCATGTTTATAGCAGCGCAATTTTCAATTGCAAAAACGTGGAACCAACCCAAATGCCCACCGATTAACAAGTGGATAAAGAAACTGTGGTGTATATATGATAGAATACTACTCAGCCATAAATGGAATGAATTAATGGCATTTACAGTGACCTGGATGAGACTGGAGACTATTATTCTAAGTGAAGTAACTCAGGGATGGAAAACCAAACATCATATTCTTTCACTCCTATGAGGATGCAAAGGTATAGGAATGACACAATAGACTTTGGGGACTCAGGGGAAAGGTGGGAAGGGGGTGAGGGATAAAAGACTACAAATTGGGTGCAGTATGTACTGCTTGGGTGATGGGTGCACCAAAATCTCACAAGTCACCACCAAAGAACTTACTCATGTAATCAAATACCATCTGCTCCCCAATAACGTACGGAAATAAAAAAAATTAAAAAAAAGAGTCTGAAGGGGAAGATGCCACACACTCTTAAACAGCCAGATCTTGCAATAACTCACTCACTATTGCAAGGATAGCATGAAGAGGACGGCGCTAAACCATTCTTGAGAAATCCACCTCCATGATACAATCACCTCCCACCACGGCCCACCTCCAACACTGGGGATTACAATTTAACGTGAGACGTAGAGAGGACAACATCCAAACTATATCAATAGTATTTGTTGCATTTTTTTGCATTTCCTAATAAAAACTTAAATATGTGAGCTATCCAAACAAACATATCCAAATGGGCCCCAATATTTATAACTTATAATATGGTAGTGACTCATGAGGAAGAAATGATAGGGGCAGGAGGGCATTTGAGAAGGCAACAGTGTACAGGGCTCTGCAGGAGGCCCTGAGGTCACACAGTACACTGGAAAAGACTCCAGACTCCCTGGGATGGAGGCTGCAGGGATGGGGAAGAAAAGTGGATCCAGGAGGCCTGGGTTCTAGTCTTCCTCCACAGCTAAAAACTTAGTGCTCTGGACAAGCCCTTCATCTCCCTGGGCCTCAGGTGTCTCATCTATAAAATGAGCATGCTTGGACCTTATCTGGAAGAAATGCTTTCCTGATGTTCTTTCCAGGGCTTGCCATGCTTATTTCTTGCACTCTAGGATTAAGGACAAGTATTTTCAGTTCTCCCTACTACTGGCTGGCTGTGTGAGCCATTTCTCTGCAAACAGGAGTATTCTTGCTGTTCCTCTGGTCAATCCAGAAGCTCATGGGAAAGTGCTCTGCAATCTTGAACAGGAAGCAAGGAATGTGTCATCCCTACTAAGATCACCTTTCCTCTTCTCCTGTTCTCAGAGATCCCCAGAAGCACCCCTGGGTCAACAGCCACCTTTGCCGGTATTGACTGGGAAGAGTCCCCAAGAGTGGTATTGGGTCCAGGCAGTTGTAGCACATGAACCCTTGTGAGTGGAGGTTGACCTTCAGGATGGTGGTGCTCACCCCGCTGAAGGATTCTGGGCAAACTAAGCAAAGGGTTAGTTTACAATTTTCCCTCCTGGTTTTTTTTTTTTTTTTTCCCTTGGAGGCTTAAAGAAGAACAAATTCTTATCCGCAGTATCCTGTTCCCAGACTCCCATCTTCTTGCCTCCCCATGGGTCCTTAGCCTCCCTTAAATCCTTTAGAAAAGAGCTGGCTCCCAGAAGATACGGGGAGAACTGCAATTTGCCCTTTTCCAAAGCCTATCATTCATTCTGGGTCTTTTTCTCATCCCCTCGCTTCCAGTTCTAATTTGGTGCCTGGGGCCGCTCTCTTCTTGAATGATTAGAACCAGAGGGCAATCAAAAAGAAACGAACTTAATGCAGAGGAGAGAGGGGAGCCAGCAGCTTTGGGGACATTTCTCTTCCCTCAAGGGATGAGGTAGATTTTCCTAAATCTATAATTAACAAGATGAAAAAAGACACTTCAAGAATTCATAACTCTCGGAAAATACTCCAGTTTGGGAAACACTGGTCTGGAACTTGTGGTGAGTCAGCTCTTGATTCGTGAAGACAGAGATGCACAGTTACCACATTGAGAAGATAGTAGATGATGTAAACCCATTGGAGAAATGGAAACTTTCCCATGGGAAAGGCTGCATGGGTGGAGGAAGCAGTCCTCTGGTGGAATAGAATGATAACATACCATTCATCACAGCCCCAGGTATTGTGCTAAGTGCTTCACATTTAACTCATACAACCACCCATGAAGTAGGTCCAATTATTAGCCCCATTTTGCAGGTGAAGAAATAGAACCATGCAAATCTATGCAGTTTTCCTAAGACCCTACAGCCAGTTAAAGCCACCGAAGCAACAAATGCTGACATCTAGAAGAATGTGTGAATAGGTGGCTGGAGTCAACAAACGCCTAATTAATCAATTGGTGTCATCTTATACACCCATCCCTCCAAAAGTTGCTATTATTTACTTTCCCTGGCCCCAGAAAAAGGGAGACCCCAGGACAGTGTCCTGGACTGGAATTAGGACTGCTCCATTCTATAAACAGGTCAGCCCCTCATTCTGTGTGTGACCTTGAGTGAGTGAGACCCTTCCTGATCCTAGGTCTTGGTCTCTACATCTGTCAGAGGAGGTAGTGAGACCAGCTGGCTTCGAAAGTTCAACCCAGTCCCACCGTTCCAGTACATGCCAGTCTACCTGACTCCATGGGGGAGGTTTTGGGGGTGGGGTGGATCTTCACGTTGCAGCTGCTGTTTATGACTTTTCCAAGGCCCCTCCTGCCTGGGCTCCTCGCCCCCGTGCTTGGCATGCTTGGCTCTGTCTTGCAGCGAAGCGAGCTGTGTAGGAGTTTCTAGCTGCCTGTCTCTTTTGGGTTCTCCCTTTTGGGATGTCTTTTCACACCTCCAAGTGCTGGGTGGGAGTGGACGAATGCCACATGTTTGGCTCTGATGCCTTCCTTTCCCCTCTGTGGGATGCTTCCAGCCCAAGATCTGAGCATGGATGCCTCTGTGCTGACCCTTTGTGAGGCTGCTGGGTCATGTCTGCAGAGCAGCAACCCATCACCACAGCACTCTTCCTTACTCCCGGAAGGCCAGCAGAAGCTGCTCCTTTGCTGGAGCTTGTCCCCACCCAATGGAGGGGGCTGATTAATTATGTAGCCTCAGGCAAGTCACATCTCCTCATTGGGCCTCAGTTTTTACATTTGTAAAATGAAAGGATTAGACCAGACAGGCCCCTAGGATACTCCCAACTCTAATGTTGTGCAGTTTATTTCATTTCTGTTTGTTTCATGTCATTCCCAGTGCCCTCATATCCTTCGTGTCTTGTAGACATCATATCTGCCAGCTGAGATTTTTAGCTGCTTCAAACACCCCACTGGAGGGACATATCTCAGCATGCTAAGATGAATATTTTGTTGGAATAACTTGCTATTAAAACATGATTAATATTGAAGATTTGTTTATGGAATAACACTGTATGAAAAAGGCAGAACAAAACAGAGGGCACAGACATTCGTTAGAACATGGAGAAAATGTGTCCAATAGCACTTGAGAATGACCACAGGAAGATGTGTTGTTTGAGCTTCATACTCAATGGATTCTTTTGGCTGTAATGTTGCTTAAGTTAATAATTTCTAAAAATTGTGGCTGATAAGACCAAGAGGCCTTTCAAATTTCATCAAGGAGCCTGTGGGCCTTCCTTAAAATTTCATTAGGAGGAGACTAATTTAAAGATTAGCTAATGTAAGAGATGCAGTTATCTAATTAATTGGAGCAGGCCCATGAGGTAATCCAGTGAGAGAAGCTCCTGGCAACTGATAGAGACCAAAAAAAGGAGAGCTAAAGAGTAATGAATTGCCAGTGTTTCTATGGCCCATGTTCAGGGTGGAAGACTCTCTTTTCAAATGGTGAGTCCCAGTCATCTAAAGACTGTTGCCTCTCCATACTGGTGGAATGAGAATAACCTTGAGATGATATTTAACTTCTTTTCACATATTTCAAATTCCTCAATAGCCTTTTAATCAAATTTAGTCTCTGTGCAAACCTGCCCAAAAGGAAGAAGTACTCTGTGCAAATATTGCTGTTAAACTGCCAGATATATCTCTCAGTAAAAATAATAGCAGCAGCTGTGAGTTATAGTGCCTATGATGTAAAAAGTACTTCACATGCATTTAACTATAATTTTTGCAATAACCTTGCAAAATGGGAATTAATACTTCAGGGCTATCACGTACCCATGCAGATTGTGCACTGCGCAACTCTGGGGACACCGTTCACGTTGGAGTCTATGTGAATGGTATCTTCTGGAGTTGTATGGTGTGCAGCCTATCCTACTCTGCAAGTTTAATAACAATAACAAGACTTCTACAGTGTCATGTACTATTCTAAGCACTTGTATATATGTAAGTATATTTCATCCTCACCTCCACCATGCAAAGCTGGTGCTATTATTATCCTTGTTTCACAGATGAAGCATAGAGAAGTGGTTAAATAACCTTGTCCAAGGTCATACATCTAGTAAACGAGGATGCCCAATTTAAACCCGAGTGTGTCTGGGTTTCCTCTTGGGAAATTACTTTAATACACTATTACATAGTCTCCAAGTCAGCCTCTGCCTGTGACTGCCATGCATCTGTTAGAGTGTGACTGCACTGAGCTGAACCTGTGAAGCCCAGGACCCAGCCCTCAAGGGCAGTGACCCACTGAGGCACACATTCTGATAGGCTCCCCCAGGTCAACCAGGGAGCCACTTCCCATACACATCTGTTACCATCTTTGCCATGTGTCATGTCCCTCACTGAAGCAACAGCATACATTCCACATTTTAATTGAGTAAGAAGATAAACCCTCTTGAAAGATTATGAGTGGATGCCATAGTCAGAAGGAAGTGGAGGAACACTATAAGGATGACTCTTACCCCAAACCCTCCCATATGAGTTGACCGAAGAGGACCTACAGACAATTCTTAGATTACTAGATTTTTAAAGACTGACCTCTTGCTGGATTCGGCACATTGTGTTCTAGGAGTAGGGGACAGACCCATATCCTTTCAAGAGTCCACATCCCAGCTCCTGCTTTTGCTCAGATGCTAGTGTGATGTGTCTCCTACACAGGAAGGTAGGGGAGTTATTTTGTGGTTAAACTTGGATGAAACATTGAACAATGCCCCCAAGAGATAGGTGCACCTGTTCATAGGAAGTAATAGTGAGGGCCATCTAGCACCCACCACCCTAGTCCAGACAGACGACGCCGCTTTTCTGGTCTTTCTCCTCTGCTGCCCCTGCAGGTCAGTTTTGGTGTGACAGGCACCCTTAAAGGGGGAAGGTCTTCCTGCCTCCAATTCCACCCAGCCTCCAGGGCTTTCAAGAAGTCTTGCTGTTGCTAGGGTAACTCTACCCAGGCTGCCTGCTGCACATTTCTGAGTGCTGGTTGCATTCTGTCATCTTGTCCAAATGCCTGAGGCCAGCTTGAGTGGGGAAAGAGATAGAGGGAAGGTGGTGTTGCAATCAGACTGGACAGCTTCATGTCCCTCAGCCACTTGGGCTGGGTGGAAAGAAACACAATGCTTCAGTATGGTTTCTTATTCTCTGACTAGCCCTCTTCATCTCATCTACACCACGGGACATCCCCTGCTTAACTTCCTGAGACGTTCTTCCTTTTTCTGAATGTTCCTCAGGCTCCTCCCACATGTTAACGGTCACAGGCAATTCTCCCAGAGGCCTGCCAGGCCCTGCCCTGGTTTAGACTAGAGGTAGTTGACCTAGGAGCTTATGTCAAAATAATTGACATACAAACCTAAGAACAGAAAAGCTGGTTCTCTGGGTAGACCTCCAAACTCAAGATTTTGTGTCTTGATGGGGGCAACAAAAATGGGTGCACAAAAATATAGGAGTAATTGTCCTTATTTCTCCCCACATGTTAGAGACAGTTCCCAAAGACTAACTTTCCTTAAGTCATTCCCAGAATTAGTCTGGTCTATTTATGTTAATCCCACTTTTTTTTTCCTCTCAAAGAAGAATTTTGTCATAGTTACCTTGCTGAAAATTGAGTGTTGTTTTTCTTTTTTTCTTTTCTTTCTTTCTTTCTTTTTTTTTTTTTTTGAGGCAGGGTCTCCCTCTGTCACCCAGGCTTCAGTGCAGTGGTGTGATCTTGGCTCACTGCAACCTCTGCCTCCCGGGTTCAAGCTATTCTCGAGCCCCAGCCCCCTGAGCAGCTGGGCTTACAGGTGTCCGTCATGACACCCGGCTGATTTTTGTATTTTTAGTAGAGACGGGATTTTGCCATGTTGGTCAGGCTGGTCTAAACTGTTGTGTCCCTTAATACAGTGCTAAACTCAATTCCTAACCACTTGTCAGAACCAAGGCAACCCCTTTCTCTTCCCTAAGTGACTTGTTTAGGCAGCCCTTTGCATCTCGGAGAGCTGTGGAGATGGCGCTGGCGGTCCTTGGAGTGGACTCCACATGTTGGCTTCAGAGCTATGTTGGGTGCTCTAAGCTGCGGTCCCCCAGCCCAAAATACAGACTTAAAAATATGTGAAATTGACTTCTTTAGACATGACATGCATGCTTTTATTTGCCGCACTCTCACTGTGTCATACTGTCTTTTTACACTCTGATACATCACTGAGTGAGTGGCCTGATTGATCCACAAAGACATTCTCCTTTGCATCCTCTGGGACAAGAACTGGTCTCCCCTTGGTAAGTGACAGTATATCTCAGCTTTGCTGTTAACTCTTCTGTGCTGAGCTCAGTAGACTCCCACTTGCTGAATAAAGATCTATCTTTTGGAACTAAAGTCTAGACACAGGTATTATTCATATGCAGGGTTGGAGAAGGGAAAAGGCCCTGCTTTAAATAGGGACAAGTTCTCCTTCACATTATTAATATGCTGAGATAATTACAGGTCTCCTGACAAAATTTCAGGGGCAGAATAATTGATTTAGGGACTTCTTGGAGTCAAAGTCAAGCTGCCCTCTGATATAATCTCCCCAGGAACTTGGTGAGCATCATCACTAAGGCCATCCCCAGATGCAGTGGAGTGTGGGCCCTGGCTTGACTGCTCTAACTGGGCTGACCACAAGGGCAGGTGAGGGATGTGTGAGGAAGGACACAGCAAGATTTGGAAGGCAGAACACACAACATTCATAAAACCAGGCTCAGCAGATGAAGCTTTGGAATCTGAAAGTATGTGACATGAAAGGAAATGGTAAAGGTAGCAGACAACTCTCTAGATCTGGGCTCTTTAAGTGCGATCTATGGAAAGAATATAAAGGATCTATGAACTTGGACAGGAAAAATTACGTCTTTAACATCATTAGCTTCTAACTGTAATCTAGCGCTTCCTTCATTATGAAGGTAGACAAACCACAGCAGTGTTGCCAGAACCTGAGACTTTCCACCAATGGAAATTTGCTATGTTCATCATGTTATGCTTTGCAAATACCTTGTCATGTTGTTTATACTTAACATTATTCTAGATTATTTATTAGACCTGCTTCTAGATCTTATTAAGGTTTAAATACGTGTATAATTGTATTACAAATTAAAACATATTTTGATACCGTATATATAGTATAAAAATTCTCTTAGAATTTAGATGGTCTGAATATTAACATTTTGAGGTAACTGTAAAAATAGTAACATGATGAAAATAGTTGATTAGACATATAACTGTTATATATAACTCTTATACATGTACCTATTATACATATCATAGAGTATATGTCTAATCAGTTTTTCTCATCATGTTACAATTTTTACAGTTACCCCAAAATATTGTTAATACTCATCATTTATCTAAATTCTAAGAGAATTTTTGATATTATAGATATTATTTCATTTGTAATCCTATACATTTTACTTGGTACATTTAAAAACATTATTTCGAGAAGGGGTCCTATGGCCTTCATTACAGCGCCAATGAGTTCTATGTCATAAGGAAGGGTAACACCTACTGTAGGTCTCCCTTTAAAAGAAGAATCAACTTCTGGAACTTATAGTTAAGGCCAGACTTGAGGAGAAAAGCCTTAGAAACTCAATTTGGGCACACTTGTATATATAAAAGAATCTTAGGATGGTAATGCTGAAACCAAAGGAATACAATTCTAACAATGGGATCTCAGGCATTTGTGGAGAGATATTTTAGACTAGAACTTTAAAATACCACAAAGGGAAAATCCACTCCGTAGGCACCAGAGCTCCATTTCAGCTCAGATGGGGTCAGAGGGGTGATGACATGTAGTATTTAGGATGGGTTGTCCAATTATCCCATTACAGGGTGGAGGGAGAGTGTCTGTGAAGTTTCCCAATGTGTGGCTCTCTGGATTCTTTTTCAGGGAAGGGTGTGGTGGAGACTTCCACCTTGAGTCCAGCAACCTTGGAGCTACAGTGCCCTCCCTGTCCAGGAAGCCTCCTCCTTCTTTGGGTGGCTGCAGCCTGCTGAGCCCTAAGTGGCCGGAAGAGAAGTGTAAGGGGAGGGCCCCAGAAGCTTCTCTCCAGCCTGACTCCTGCAGTCTCCTCTCCTGGGAGGTGTAAACGAAATGTAAGCCACGCTTTCAAAGTTGGACAGAACATTCTGTAAAAGACTATTTTTTTCCAGTCGCAGGAAGCTACTTATTATTGGTTCATAAAATCAATTTAGTGTATCACAACAAGCGTTAAAAATAGAATAGAAAATAGCATGTGTCACACCCAGGTTACATATTATCTCATGAAACTGGTTTTTGTTTTATATATGTGCATGTATGTGAGTACTGTGTTGCCATATGATTTATTTCTTATTGTGGATTGCAGCCAAGAGTTTGAAAAACATTGCTGTCAAGATGCCTCTGTAGCCCCGCAGAGGGAAGAGAGTGTGAGATGGAAAGTATATCCTAAAGTAATAGGAGTTAATAATTATTTTTAATGCATATTAGAAAAAAATAGCATACCAAACCCCTGGGAATTCAATATATTGCTTAGTACCAAACTCAAATCAGGACCTTATCTTCCATGGACTTCATTAATCAGTGAGTGGTGCTTGGATGAATATAGCCAAAAATGCAAACAAGCTATGTGAATGGCCACATTTTGGGAAATGCTTAGAAGAGAAAAGAACTGAGGTGAGTAGAGTATAATTGAGAGGGCAGACCTCTGATTGGGGGTGGATCATAACCTAAGTCTTTGTTTTGTTTACTTAGACTTGTTTCTTAATCTCTAATATGGGGTATAATTATAGCAGTCTGGCTGACCCCATGGGGCTGGCATCATGATCAAACGTCATCATGTGGAAGAAAGCCATGTAAAGCATAAAAAGCATCAGGAATTATTGCTAGCCATGGGGGGAGGTCATTTTCTCCTCCATAGACCAGAGATTTCTAGTGGGTTTTTGGAGCTGTTTGCATTAACTTGAAAAAGAGTATGGGTTCCAGGCAAACAGGCCCTTCAGCCTCTTTCTCCTCTAGTTTTGTCCAGTACCATTCCCAAGTGGAGCGAAGAGGTACGTGCCAACAGAGCCCAGTGCAGCCTGCTGCTTGTGATCTGGAGATTACAAGAATAATAACCCAGCTCTAAGCCAGTTGTCCCTCTGCAAGCAATTTGTTACCCTTTTCCCTGTGACTGGGCCCTGCTTATCTAGGGTGTTGACTACAGAGTCCTCACAGAGGTAGGTGTCGGTGTGCAGATCACCAAAACCCACCCCTCGTGAGCCCCTGCACCACAATTAGCCTCAGGCCTGTGAGGCTCTGGGCCCCCTCAGGAAGCTGGCAGAAGAGAGAATAAAACAGCAAGAAGAATGTGAAGAGGTGGAGGGTGAGAGGTGTGAAAAATGGCGCATCTCGCTTAGGGGCTAAATTGTGTCCCTCCCCGAAATTCATATGTTAAAGTCCTAACTCCCAGGACCTCAGAATGTGACTGTATTAGGAGATAGCACCTTTAAAGAGGTGGTTACATTACAATGGGGTCACTAACAAGCACCCTAATACAATATGCCTGCTGTCCGTCTAAGAAGAGGAAATAAGGACACAGAAACACACTCAGAGATGACCAGGTGAGGACACAGGGAGGAGAAGATGGCTACCTACAAGCCAAGGAGAGAGAACTCAGAAGAAACCAACCCTTCCAGCACCTTGATCTTGGACGTCTAGCTTCCAGAACTGTGAGAAAATAGATTTATGTTGCTCAATCCACTCAGCCTGTGATACTTTGTTATAGCAGCCTGAGCTGACTAATAGAGATGGCAAGTTCTGCAGTCAAGATAGGGTGAGTGCCACAAGATGGATTATGGCCTGCTATAAACTAAGACAGAGGCACACCCAGGGAGTCGAGAGCCAGTGTGCAGGGAGCAGCTCGGCTCCAGGCTTAGGAGTGAAGATGAATCAGTGTTATGAGCTTAGATGTGATGAGTAACTGTGTAGTCTTCAGCTACAGGCATAGTTGTTGAGGCTAGAAAAGGAGAAGACTTTTACTTCGACGGTTCTCAGTATGGTTTCCAGGCCAGCAGCATCAGCATCACCTGGTAACCTGTAGGAAATATTACTAGGTCCTACCCCAACCTAGCTGTGGTTTATTAAGACCTCTGGGTGATTCTGATATACACTCAAGTTTGAGAACCACTGATTTACGTGTGTGTGTGTGTGAGAGAGAGATTAAGCACAAGAGTTTGTGTGGTTGCATTACACAGAGTAGAGAGTCAGGGAAATTTGTTGCCGTCGGAATTTTGCGCAAAGCTTTCGGAAGCAGCCCTTGTGACATGCAGTTGGAAAGGAGAAATATTAAGTGGTAGAGAGACAATTTTAATCCCATAGCTCAAATTCCCCCTGTCTCAATCAGAAGTAAGAGAGCTGGGTAACCACAGGATCTTAGCACTTGGCTCATTCCAAATTTCTGGAATTCTTTTCCTTATCAATCCCTTTTCTGATCAAATCTTCACCCACTAAAAATATGGTCATAAATAATGGTGCTGGTCTCTTTAAGATTTGCACACTGGGAGGGAGTACGAGTGGGAAGGATGGAGGATGATAAGAGAAGGAGGAGAGTAAGAAAGTTTTCTTTTTTATTATACTTTAAGTCCTGGGGTACATGTGCAGAATGTGCAGGTTTGTTACATAGGTATACACTTGCCGTGGTGTTTTGCTGCACCCATAAACTCATCATCTACATTAGGTATTTCTCCTAACGCTCTCCCTCCCCTAGCCCTCCACCCCCCGACAGGCCCCAGTGTGTGATGTTCCCTTCCCTGTGTCCAAGTGATCTCATTGTTCAATTCCCACCTATGAGTGAGAATATGCGGGGTTTGGTTTTCTGTCCTCGTGATAGTTTGCTGAGAATAATGATTTCCAGCTTCATCTATGTCCCTGCAAAGGACATGAACTCATCATTTTTTATGGCTGCATAGTATTCCATGGCATATATGTGCCACATTTTCTTTATCCAGTCTATCACTGATGGGCATCTTGGTAGGTTCCAAGTCTTTGCTATTGTAAATAGTGCTGCAATAAACATACATGCACATGTGTCTTTATAGTAGAATGATTTATAATACCATTATATACCATTTAAATACCATTTGACCCAGCAATCCTATAACTGGGTATATACCCAAAGGAAGTTATTATATAAGTGGAGCCTCTGTGATGCCAAGCACTGGAGGGCAACTTTCAGAGGTGACTTTATTCAGTGGCTTAATGAATGGTATTTTCTTCCATTTCTTCCATTTTCTCTTATTATGTAATAGCTAGAAGCCTACCAATGAATTGAGAGAGGTAGCAATAACTCTAAAAGCCACTTTTGGCTCTCTTTAGATGGTACAAAAATGATGTCAAGGCATTTACAAAAATGTTTTTTTTGGCCTAATCTCAATTTTAATGGGATTAGGACATAATAACAAACTAGTTCTGAGAAAGCACCTTCACCTGAAGCTAAAATATTGCAATTCTAGAATGTAGCTTTTGGAAGAATGAATATTTAGATGTCATTTTCATCCTCCAAGGTACATGCAATCGGTGTAAGTACTGCCTAGAATGCCTCTCCTCTGCCTCCCCAATTATGTCCACTGAATTTTGCGGAACTCTGGAGAGAACATTTGGAGTTGGAGGGCTCTGGCAAAGGTCTGAAGTGCAAGCAATGGATACTGAAAAAGGGATGCATCTGTTAGGCATGTAGGCGGCTAGCATGGCATCTTGGTATGATAGTTAGGACCCTGGTTAACTTGCAGGCTTTCCTAAGTCTGCCTGGAGTTGGATTCTGACAAAGGATGCATTAGTAGTAAGAGTAGCTAACACTGACTAGGCACTTACTATGAGTGTCAGACATATCTGTATGTTATGTGACTACATCCTTAACCCAAGATGAGTGAGTTAATTAACTTACCTAGACCACGCAGCCACTAATTAGCCAAATCCAACCCAGCAATGATGTCTTATAGATACCCAAGATCAAGCTGTTGACCAGTTTCCCCAGGACTCAGTGAGAACAGAGAGGTGCTCATCTGGGAAGGCTGGAGAGAGAAAGAGGAGGTGCACCAAGTGGCCATAACACCCAAATATATGAACCAGGTGAGGCGATGAGAAAGTTATCTACTCACTGGGCGATACTGGCATGCTTACTACAGGAAGGAGGCTGTTGGGAAGGCAGAGCCATTTGGAAGCTGACTATTCAAGAGACCTCAGAGACCATGCTGAGGCATTTAGACAGAAACCAGTGAGGAGAAAAGTTGAGAGCTGAGCTGGGAGTGGAAATGGCTGACCACAAGGAGGCGCAGAAGACACAAAATTTGTAACTTACAGGTCTCCTGGACCTCAGCCTCCCTTCTCCCACAGGCACCCTCTAGTAGGACGGTCTCCTCTCTCCCTCCTCTCCCACCACATCCATGTCCAAAGCCTCCTGCCAGAAACTACCTTATCTTCTTAATATGCAGTCTAAGCTTGACTCTTTCCCCTAAAAACTTCCTAGACTTTCACATCATCTTTCTTTGATCTACTTAATACCTAGTGTGTCTGTTCACTGCAAGACAGTCCCTGCTGGGACCAGACCAGGGCCCTCCCTACTCCCTATACATTAAGACGTCTCTCCATGGAGAAAGATCAGAGCCCTCTCTGTTGCTGTGCACACCCAAGATATCTGCCTTTAACTCAGCAAGACAAAGGCCCACACCAACTCCTCCATAAATCCACCACAGTTACCACCTTGAAAGTTCTGCCACCACAGGGACTCACACTGAAGTTGAATTTTGTAGGTCAGTGATTTCTGATTTTATTTTTATAACCATCAATTTCCACATGAAAAAATGTAGCAGTTTTCTTTTTCCTTTCATTATCTGCTTTTTTCTCTCAGGTGCTTATTGCCTTGGCTTCTGTTATAATGAACCCTTCCTTCCCCCACCTGCTTTCCCAAATCCTCCCTCCGTTGTCAAAATCTCCTACTTTTTAAGCTTTCATGGAAACTTTGCCCCTGATATACCACAGCCCTCCAAGCCCAGGCTGGGCTGTGCTCTCCCAGAGATGCTGAGAGAACTGCAGCAATTACTCATCCAAACTCCACTGGGATTCCCACAGACTCTCATCCTCCTTCCTTCAGTACCCTAGGCCAATCCTTCCACTGTACCCTTCCTCACTTCTTCCTCTGCAATCTTGCTCCATTAACCCAGCTTCCTTGATAGCTTTAACATCCCCTTTCCATATTCCCACCCTCAGCCTACAGACATTGCTCATTTTTCTCAAAAACCACCTTTGAGCCTCCTCTTGAAGTTACCAACATTTTTATTCTCAAACTTGGTGCTCGCTGCTTAGCTTCCACTTGTCTTTATTCTACTGTATCTCAGTACAATCTAGCTTTCAGTCCCTAATAACTCCATAAAACCATCCTTGCTACGGTCATCAATAATATCCTAATGGTAAAATCCAATCAATTCTCATAGTCCCCAGTGCTCACTCTGCTTTATTTTATCTATTGGCCACTCTTCTTTTTTGCAAACTCTGGCTTTGTTGGCACCATATAATCATGGTATTATATACTTTGTTATTTCTCTGTGATCTCTTCTTTTATGATCTTAGGCCTTAGGGACTCAAGGAATTTTTAAACATCTGTTATGTAGCAGTGCATTGTGCAGTCATAAACGGTGCTGGTGCTAGCTCCTCCTGCTGTTCTCCATTTCCTGTGAGGCTTGTAGGCATACTCTTTTCCTGTCTTCCCTACCAGCCTGGTAGTATGGGCCTTCACTTGTGAAATGAAGGAAAGTTAAAGGGAGATGAGAAAGGACAAGAGAGAGATAGATGTAAATAACTCTTTTTGTCAGCCTTCAATTGTCTCTCAAGGTGGGGAGAAATATATACGTTGGTAAAATACTCAAAATATTGTCAGTTCTTCAGATGCTATGAACCTTTGAGTAACAAAGTCTACCAAATGACTTAGGACAGCATGAAAATATTCCCTGAAAATAATTTTGAGAAGGGGTAGTGGTAACAGAAGATCTGAGGCCAGCCCGTTTTTCCCCAAGCCTGCTCCATGACCCCCTTCCAGTCCTCCTTTTCCAGCCAGAGGATCTCCTGAGCCAAGGTTCCATTCTCTGGATTCCCCAATCATTTCACATGATCTTGTATTTCACATGGCCCATCTCATAATGCCTCTGTCTCTTCTGCCTCCTTTGAGTTTCCATACACAAAAAGTCTATCAGAAACAACTCTCACCACTGACAATGATTTTTAGTGACTGCCTGGGAAAGAACACTCCCATTTGGTGTAATTTTTTTAAAAAAGAAATTAGTGGATGGGAAGTGTTAGTAATTTCAAAAAGTTTCCTTCTTCTAGTAGATTTGAGCAATTTGTCCAATCACTGTGTATTAAGGAATTTAATGTGTGAACAAGCATTTCCTGGAAATATTTCAACCAATGGTATCATCTCTGTAGCTTAAGTGATAAAGGACAAAGAGGAAATATATGGGATAAGCTTTTCTGTAATGTATTTGTACTTTGAGGGCAGATATCTATTTGATCTTTCATAAATCATGACTATCTCAAGCCTGTTTATGTTCAGATCCTGTTCTCGTTCCTGTTCCTTCTAAGCTTGTCTCTACTGGCTACAATTTTTCCTCTCCCTCGAGTTCATGTCCCTTTTATTCCAGTAGGGCTGGAGATACTGGCAGGACAGGGGAAAAACCGGGGTCTGAGAGTGCAGGCATTTGTCAGTGACTTTCCCTCTACTACCCCTCTGGGTTTCCTTGTCTGCAGTCTCTCTACTGCCTTCTGCAGAGTGGAAAGTTTTAATATCTCTTAGCTTTTTACAAATTAACACAGAAATTCTGCTGACAAGCCTTACCCTTTCCAAGGTTTAAATCCCAGGGCTCTTGAGCTGTGACAATTTAAATGAGCAAGATTTTCAAAAACTGATGAGTGAGGTTTTAAATGTCTTGTAGAAGCATGTTGCCAAATCCTCTTTAAAGAATTCTGTAGGACAAAGTAGTCGGTGAGCAGTTGCCTGCAGGTGCTTGCATGTGCGTGTGTAGTAGTGGTGGGGAAGCTGTCTGTGAAGAGTAATTACAAACCATAAGAGCTGGAAGAAACTTTAGGAACTAATCCACCAACAAGCACATTTTAAGGATGAATAAAACAGAGCTGAGGAAGGTCAAGTCACTTGCTCAAGGTCACAGTGTCATCTGTAACTTAGGTCTCCTGACTCCAGTCTAGCAACCTTTCTTATTTCATAAGGCAGTGTAGTGTAGGTTATGTAAGAATGATAAGGCAATGAGCAAAAAGACTGACTTAGCTCACTGGGGAAGCAACTCTCAGGAGCCAGCACTGTGTCTATTTAGCATATCTATTTGGTCTACCTGCTGTCTTTTGCTGTTCTAACTGATAGCTTTCTAGTAGCTCCATCTCCATTCCGCCCCCGTCCGACCCATCAAAGGTTAAATCAACTATTAATCTAAGAGGTCAAGATTATTTAAAGATACATTTAACTTTTATTCCAAGAAACAGAATAAGCAACAGAATAGAAGAAAGAGCAAGGAGATTTCAAGCCACGAACTGTAATTGCAGGAGCAGTTAAAATCCACTTAGTCACATCACTTCTAGACAAGACAAGAAAACACACTTTTCCCTATTCCTCCCAATAAGTACAACTAAATACGCTGGACATTACATATAAAACAGACACAAGAAGTTTCTGAAATGAGGAGAAAAGAAGGTAGGACAGCTAGGAAACTCAGGAGGTGAGGAACAATATGTAGTAAGTTCCCTGGGTTTTCTTTTTGCCTCATGTATCCCAGACTTGGATCAGGACAAGCAGGTAACCTGGAAATGTCAATGGGCACAAAATATGGTAAATGTAATACACTTTTCTTTTCCTTTTGGCTTTTCTATATTATGTTTGATGGTCGAAGCAAAAATATAACCCTGTTTGATGTGGCTCTCAGTGAATGTACAGGAAATAATTAAAACATAATTAATAATTATATACAGGAGAGGGTAAAGGAACATAAGGGATAGTAAGTTTTCTATACTTCACTCAAACTGGTAAAATGATGATACCGGTAGACTGTGATAACTTACGTTATATTATGTAATACCTAGAACAACCACTAAAAAAATTTCTAGAAGATACATTCAGACATGCTCTAGACAGATGATAATGGAATCCTAAAAATGTTACTTTCACTCACAGGAAGGCAGAAAAAGGAAAACAGAGAAATTAAAAACAGAGAACAACAGAAAAGAAAAACTAAAATGGCAGATTTAAGTCCTAAGATTATTAATAATTGCATTAAATATAAATGATCTAAATATATAAATTAAAAGAGTAATTGGTCAAGTGGATAAAAATACATGCCTCAACTATAAGCTGTCTATAAGAAACTTCATATATAATAATTTAGGTAGGTTGAAAGTAAAGGGGTTTAAGAAAGTATACTACGCAAAGGTTAATCAAATGAAAGCAAGAGGAGCTTTCAGAAAAAGTTGACTTCAGACCAAAGAAAAGTACCAGGAACAGGGAAGAACATTACATGATAACAAAATGGCCGATCCACTAAGATATGCAGTCCTACATGTGCGTGGACCACAAAAACAGGGCTGAAAAATACGTGAAGCAAAAACCGATGGAAGTGAAGGAAGAAATCACAAATTCACAATCATAGTTGGATATTTGAATCCCCTATCTCTCAAGAATTGATACAGCAACCAGAGAGAAACCTGTATAAACAGTATCAGCAAGATATAGAAGAACTCAACCACACCATAAAACAACAGGATCTAATAGGCATTTATAGAACAGCATATCCACAAGAGCAGAACACATTCTAAAGAGCCCACGGAACAGATACCAAGAGAGGCCACATCCTGGGCCACAAAAATAACCTCAACAAATTTGAAATAACTGAAATTATGCAAATTATGTTTTCTAACAAAAATGGAATTAAACTACACATAAAAAGAAAGAGAAAATGAAATGTTCAAATAACACACTGCTAAATAATCAAAGAGGAGGTCTCAAGGCAAGTAAAAAAGAAATCTATGCTAAAGCAGTGCTGAAAGAGAAGTGTATAGCACTTAACATTTACAGTAGAAAAGAGGAAAAGTTTCAAATCAGTAACCTAAGCTCCTTCCTCAAGAACTTAGACAAAGAAGAACATAATAAACATAAAACAAGGGGAAGGAAAGAAATGAAAAGAGAAGAGCAGAAAAACAATAGAGAAATCCAATAAGACACAAACTTTTTAAAAAGATTAATAAAATTGGCAAACTTCTAGCAAGACTAACAAAAAAGAAAGAGAGAAGACAAATTACCAGTATAAAGAATGAAACAGCAGATATCACTGCGGACCCTGTAGACATCAAAAGGATAACATGAGAGTACTATGAACAACTCTACACACATCAGTTTGACAACTTAGGTGAAATGGACCAAAATTCCTTGCAAAACACAAACTATCACAACCTCCCTTATATAAAATAGACAATTTGAATAGCCTTATAACTATAAAGGAAATTGAATTTATAAGTTAAAAACTGCTGAAAAAAAAACCTCTCCAGTACCAGATGGTTTTACTGGCAAATTCTACCAAATGTTTAAGGAAGAATTAATGCCAATTCTACACAATCACTTCCAGAAAATAGAAGAGGAGGGAACACTTCTCCAGTAATTTAAGAAGCTAATATTACCTTGATACTAAAACCAGACAATGACAGTACAAGAAAAGAAAGCGGAAGACCAGAATCCCTCATGAATATAGATGCAAAAACTTTCAGGAAATTATCAGCAAATAGAATTCGGCAATATATATAAAGCAAACTTCAAAAGGTCACATACTGTATAATTCCATTTCTAAAACATTTTCAAAATGACAAAATTATAGAGATGGATAATGAATTAGTGGTTGCCAGGGGTTAGGGATGTGGTAATGATGATGGGGGTGAGACTATGATGCGGTGGCATGAAGGAGATTTTTGTGATGATGGAATAGTTCTGTATCTTGACTGAAGTTCTCATAAATCTACATTTGTAGTAAAATGGCATAAAGCTATACCCACATTATACCAATATGTTTCCTGGTTTTTAAATTGCATTATAGTCATGTAAGATGTAACCGTTAGTGGAAATCTGGGAACAGGTACATGATACTCTGCAGTATCTTTGCAACTTCCTATTGATCTATATTATTTTTAAGTATACAGTTTAAAAACAACTTAGTCCATATTTCAGCTAACAGATGTGATGTCAGGATTTGGTCTATCAGTGGCCAGATCCCCATGCCACTCCATTGCTGTTTCAATGTCCTAGGGTATGTCAAGTCCCACAAAACATTTGCTCAAGTCTTAATATTTGCAGCTGTTTCTACCAGTTAATTAATTAGAACTTTGTACCAAGGTACCAGTGAAGCAATTATTTGGCTCTTTGCTACTAAACTCGATTTTTTTCCTGTCCCTCTTTGGCCTCTGCTTTCCAGGTGGAGACCTGGAAAGCCGAAACAGGAAAGACAAAGGAGAAGAAGGTTGCCTTGGTAGTATCAGGCCTGATGTGCTGAGGATGGCTTTAGTCTCTCTCCCTGAGATGTTCATGATTTTCAGTCAGAGTTCACATGCCTGGGTTTGGAGTCTCAGTAGTGGGCTTGGAAGATGAAGAAAAGCCAACATTGCTGGCTGGAGAGTAGACACTGGGAGCACAGTGTGCCAAAGCTGGAAACTGAAGATGGGGCTGACACAGACAGGAGACTAGACCATCAGGTGCAAAGCAGAGGCCCTTTATTTCTGGAATCAGGCTTCTGATCAGGGCCCTAATTGCTCTATGAATGGAACACCGAAAGTGGCTGGCTCCTACAGGCAATCTCATTTATTCCTAATGACCACCCTGTGAAACAGTTACACGTATGCAGCGTTATACAACTTAACAGTGCTTGTATGGGCATGATCCCGTTTGAGTCTTCCAACCCATGTGCAATAAGTAACCAGAGCAGAGTTAACAACTTAGTTAAGCGACTAAGGGCAGAGCTAATCACATAAGGAAACCGTTCACGAGGTTTTGGGACAGTGTAGACAAAGACGTCTTCCACTTCAACCACAGCATTCACTCTGACCATGTCTGCATATTCTTGGACAGAAGAGAAAACTAATTCACAGTGGGTTCAAAAAGGCTGACCTTGGAAATCTTTATTCCACTAAAAGCTGATTCACTCCCAGGGTTACATTTGAACAAGTCACTGGGCCATTCTATTATATGTGTACTTCCACTAAAATAGCTTCTTAGAAGCCACGCTAATTATACACCAGGATATATCTCTGATAGCCTAATTCAGCCTTGGGCTTTTTTTTTTTCCTCTTATACCTCAAAGGTTCTCTCTGTACTGGAAGTCCTGTTGTCAATCACCTTCCAACCTTAAGAGCTAAGCACTGCATTCCCAAGCAGGGGAAGGTGGGTCACACACATGATCAGCTTTATTGGCTGCTAAAATTTGATGGTGGAGCAGCCGATTGATGCCTAAATACCCCTAGATGGCTTGGTCCTCTTTAACCAGCAGGTTGACTCCTGAAACAATCTCATTACAAGTTAGTGACCAGTATTAAGGTTCTTCATCTCCCTCACCTCAGTAAAAACTGAAGGCCCAGCTGTGGTGATAATTCCTTCCTTTCTGAGCACAGGAAATGAAAACTGACACCTGCACCAGAACCTGGAGGTCCACACTTCAATGTGGGGGCCCACAGAGTGCCTGGATATGGAAACCATTAAGCAGCCTCAGCCAGTCTGCTTGAGAATGCAAAGGCATTCTCAAGTTTCAATAATAAAACTGCAAGTCCCAAGAGTAGGCTTAAAAACCAACGTCCTAGGGGTTCTCCAAGAAATATCCAGTATTTTGCTTAGAAATATCATAGTTGCTAATCATCAACTGTTTTACAGTATTTTCAGCATATCTGCACACATTTGATCTTACAGTTCTGGGCAAATTTCTGGGCAAAATTCTGGGTAAATTCAGCACTATAAGGGCCAGTATTTGTACATGAACCACACTTTTGCATTTATGAAGTGCATCCACACATACTACACTCTGATCCTCTCAACCAATCCTGTGAGGCAGTCAGAATGGGAAGGTAAGAATAAGACCGATGCACATTGCAGAATGTAGGCATCATTGTCTTAGAGCAAGTTCAGCTCTTTTCATTTCCTTTTACCCCCAAGATACACTATACTCATTTCTCAAGGAGATGTGCCATATTGCTAAGCCAAGAACTGTCCATATTGGTCCCAGATTCAAGGGGCTTTGTTTATATATTGTTTTCATCTAATTAGAGAATCATGAAAACCACTTATAAATACATTTATTCCAATTATTATTTCTTTTTAATAAATATCACCAAATAACTGAGTTCATCAGCAAGACTTTGTAAATGATTAAATTGTGCCCAATAATTTATGCCTCAAAAATACCTAGTTTCTTTCTTGTAGTTTTAGATTCAGTAGAAACCAGAGGGAGGGCCAGAGGAAAGAGGACTAAATACAAAGCCTGGAGCCGGGTGGGCAGAAATAAATGTAAGCAAAATAGCTCCAGGCAATTTCTTAGTGCTCCTGGCACTTCTAAATCTTGGGGAGTTCAAGGACACAGCGCTTCTCTCACACCCAACGTTTACTTCTCAGCAGTCTTCAGAATCGTCATAAAAGTCAGGGGGTAGAGGATGGGGGAGGCTGGTAAAAAAAAGAAAGTTCTACAATTCCTTTGTTAACTTTTGAGTAGGAGAAAAAACTCTATTTTAGCCATAATGCTAAAAGCAGAAATTCCAAGTTCATATTTAATTGTATATCCAAGAAATCATCATTCGTAAGAAGTGTGCCAACTATGTATTAGATACCGTCTTATAGTCATTTCAAAGTCTAACTTAAAATATTTCTTTTGGAATAGATAATTCATGATTAAACAGTCAAAATTTTGAATGATTTTTCATGATTGAAAAATGGAAACTGTACTGTGAAAAGTCTTCTGGACGTTCAGTTTCTCACCCTGGATGATGCTAGTAGTCAGTTTCTTTTGTATAGGTACAAAATCTCAGGAAAGATGTAAACAAATACAAAAACATATTCTTATCCACCTTCTTCCTTTTTACAAATGAAAGTCTGCTTTTAACTACTGCTCTAACCTTTTCCTCTTGATTTATCTTCAAGATTTTAAAGTACTTAAAGATGCCTCATTCTTTCATGATGGTATACTATGTCATTGTGTGGAGGTACCATTATTTAACCGGTCCTCTACAGAAGGCGTTGGTTTAAATCTTTTGCTGTTATAAACAATGCTATGATGAATTATCTCTTACATGCATCATTTTGGAATGTATACATCTTTAAGGTAAATTCTCAGACGTGGAGTTACTTACAATTTTGATATACATTGCCACGTTGTCCTCCTCACCAAGTGTGTGTTGATGTGAAACTTTCAATTTTTGCTGGTTCTCTGCACCCAAGAATGTTGCGGTTTGGTACATCTCATTACACACGTAAGAATCTTCATGTCCTCAAGAGTAGTCCATAATAAGCTGAGCAGACTGATGGAACAGAAAGAATTAATACAGGTTATGGCTTCTGTCTTTGGAACAGAGTCCTGGATGAACTGCAGGTGATATTTCAACTAGAAATTGTCAATTCTTCTCTGCCTCAATCCAACAGCCTAGTAATGCTTCAGCAGAGACATATGCACAAGTCATAAGCATTGTCTAAAAACTGGTATTACATTTGCTTTGGTTCTGTTTTCTAAGTCAATTCATAACTGGCTATAGATTCCAGCTCCCTCCCCTAAATAGGTAAATGTGCCCCGCTGTTCTTCTGTTTGTAGAAGAACATCATGGACTTGTTTAACACATATACTCAAATAGCATATAGTCACTCCAACATCAGAAGCAGTTGTAAAGACTCCATTCATTTACCAGTCTTTCGAATGCTCCCGCATTTGGGATGATGAACTTCAACATGCGTGTCTTGAGGCCAAAAATCATAAGCAGATTTTCCTGACTTCCAGTTCATCTGTTTTCTTCTGAAACAAGGATGTTGTGGCAGCAGCTAGCAATAACTGTGCCAGCTTGTTCTTTCAGAGGAACAGTGTTCTCTCTGCATTGAAAAGATCAGGAGCTTTGTAACACAGGCAGGTTCACATTCTCAGGTGTAAGAATAGTTTCATGGCAAATTCACCGAAAAGTGCAGATTTCAGGGGTGCCATCATCTCAGTTAGGGGGCCCTTTCCTGCCTGCCTGCAGGGATGCCTTTGTTCCCACTCAGTTGGGACAGCTTGTGTATCTTCCATATCATTCCTAAGTCATTTTTCTAAGAAGTCCACTTGCAGAGATGAGGGTATAGATGAGCTTTGAGAAGTTTGCACCTTCTCATGTACTATGGACATAATCCTGCAGCATTTTAAGAATGTGAGCAAAAGCTATTGTCTCCACGGTGGTTCCAAGGCTGGAGTTAAACAGCTTAACTGATGCCCTAATGTACTGATTCATCAAGTTGAGTCTGTCAAGCAGTTGTTACTCAACTGCTAAACAATGGAGCTAGGTACATAATCTTTAATTAACTTGGTTTTAGGCTCACTGGGCAGATCACTTTCACTTGGGACAGTATCACAGGTAGTAACAAATCTAACCCTCCAGTGACAGCATAGTTTTGTTCATTTAATCATTTAATTTTAATTTATTTAAACCTAGCCTCTCAATCCCTTTCCTCAGAAACCTGGCTTCCCTGTCTAGAAGCAAATAGTGAATTCTTCCAGAAACATTGTATGCATATACAAGAAAGCATACTCTTAACCCAAGTCATATGCAGCAGTGTTTTAATATTCTTTTATCAACTTCCCCAAATTTCTGTCATGAGTACACTCCTTTGGAGCAAACAGGCAATAGGCAACAAGAATACAGCGTGCCCTTCAAAAGCTACATGTTAAATCAATACCTTTGACTGAGAGACAGTCCTGGGGTTTTGGCAGTGCTATATTATCAGGAACACATTTACAAAACATGTCCTAGGTGGGTGTCTCCTGGGGAGATGTAAAACATTTTTATTATAAAAACTCTTAATTCTACACAAAAGTAGAAAGAATAATGTGAAATCCCATGTGCCAGTCATCTGGTTTCATCAGTTATTAATCTGTATCCAATCTTCCTTCTTCTATTTCTTATTGGATTATCTTAAAGCAGATCCCACATGATAATTCATCCTGGGGGAGACTTTCACAAAAATGAGTAAGAATACTCATTTCAGAGGGTAGTTTACTAATATTTTCCCCAAAGCTGGAACCTTACTTATGGCCAATCCTACAACAACTATCTTACCTTCTCAATATGGTCACTATCATAACCTTATGCTGTTCAGTGGCTTTCACTATTGAAATATCTTTTTCCCTAAATGGATAGAAAACAGCCAGCAGGAGCCTGCAACGCTGTTAGAAGTGAGGAATGTGTTACAGAGGACCAAGAACGAATCCTCACAAAAGGTTCATAGATGTCCTTTTCCCCATACAGGCTTTTGGAAAGGGTCCCTTCTTCCCCATTTCCTCAACATAAACTGGCTGGCAACATCAGGCCTCTTAATCGGTCAGGCTTCCTCCCTTTTCCAACTAATAGAGACATCTAGAAGATCTTTCATATTTCAGACTTTTAAAAAGGGTCTGCTGAAAACAGAGGCTGGCTCATGAGAATCCCTGGGAATCTTTTCTACTGGGGGATATTGGGTGTGGAAGAGGTAGGGAATAGTGAATAGAGACAAGATGGAGATTAGAGATTTAAACACACACACACACACACACACACACACACACACACACACACACACACACACACACATACACACAGCAGCCTGAGCTGCTTCGACCCTTATAAACAGATTACAGACAGGTTAGGAAAAGGTGATGCTCTTAAATCTATTGTTGGAGTACAAACACATGTTTGTTTAAATATCAACATGGGCAGAATGGGTCAGGGGTGGCCTTCCAGACAGGACAATGTCACTAGAAACCAAAATGCACTTACACAATGCTTTGACATGTGGAGATTTAAACAAAAGAGGTTTGTGCTGGCTTAGTGTGATTTTACAAATAAGGTACTTATCTGGTTGAGTCACTCCCTCTTATTACTTTTGGAAAGATATACTCCAGGATAGAAATTGGTTCTACCTGGGACCCAAAGTTTTCAGGAGACATATTAACTTAGAGTAACTAAGTCTTAGAGATCCACCTAAAGCACAAGATGTCATGTTAGGGAAAAGCAAGAGAGTATCTTAGACTCTAGGGCATAACTACAAGAAAGGAGTTACTTACCAGAAAATAAAGGCCTTGAAGGCACTGCCTTGCATGGAAGAAAGTATTTTTCTAAAGGGAAATCTTGAATCCAGAAATGGCCTGGGACCTAGAAACAGGAACCAGTCTAAGGACCTGGGCCCAGCAAGGTGAGTGTCCATGCGGAAGTAAATGGGAGTGTCTGATTCATGCAGGGTTGGAGAAGGGAAGACTGGAAAAACATGCTTTCCTTTCCTTATAAACAGTGTATTCACTAATAACTCTAGACTGGTGGAAAAATAAACATAACTTTGTAGCTCTTAAATCCATGGAAATTTCTTACAGATATAGAGAGGGTACCATTGAATCAAACCCTTGCTAATCTGCTACTCCTTGGAAAATACCAGGCTGTTCATTAGCACTCATTGGAGCCACAAGAAACAACTTCATCTAAGAAGGGAAGTGATTAAAGGTAGGTTAAAACAGAAATTAGAGCCTAGGGTGGGCTCATTGGCTCATGCCTGTAATCCCAGCACTTTGGGAGGCTGAGGCAGGTGGATCACCTGAGGTCAGGAGTTTGAGACCAGCTTGGCCAACATAGTGAAACCCCATCTCTACTAAAAATACAAAAATTAGCCGGGTGTGGTGGCAGATGCCTGTAATCCCAGCTACTTGGGAGGCTGAGGCAGGAGAATTGCTTGAACCAGAGAGGCGGAGGTTGCAGTGAGCGAAGATTGCGCTACTGAACTCCAGCCTGGGTGACAAAGCAAGACTCCATCTCAAAAAAAAAAAAAAAAAGAAATTAAAGCCTGCTTCTGATTCAGAGAGCCATGAGCTGTCTCCGACAGGTCTATTAACTGGTAGTACCAAGCACTCCCTAACCCTGGACTCAAGTGAGAAGTCAGGCAAATACTTATTCTTGAAGAGATACTAATTATGGCACTGAATTATGATCATGTTGGCACAGCACGAACTATTCTAGCTAGAGGTATTCCATGACCTTGGCTTCAACATTACATGAGCCAACTCTTCATGCTTGCAGTGTTTAAGAATTAAGTGTGGGTGTTTGTATAAATTATCTGTTCTTCATCGTGTCTTAAGTGGCTTGCTCTTTTTCATTTTGAATTTTCCTAGCAGGGAATTCCCCAGCATCACAGCAGGTATCAGCAACACAGCATCACTCCAGTACACCTGGAGATTGTACTTGGCTTTTTGTGGAAGAAAATGCATCCTTCAACAATCTCACAACCAGTTCCATTCTCAGGCAGCTTGATGTTTTTAGAATGTGGATTTGTCTGAGGCTCCAGGATTACTGGTTGTTGCCTATCATGTTCATATTTGAAATAATAATAGGCAGAGTTCCTCCAACCCCATCTTACTAGTATCAAGGTTTCTGACATCTTCAGTTACTAGAGATCAGCTTCATAAAGCTGTCCTTTGTTGGCAAATACTTTAAACTCCTGCAAATCTTTACCCAGAATAACCCTTAACTGCTTCACAGTCATATGTGTGAAGGCAGGTGACACTGAAAATCAAACCCGTCAGGTTCAAGGGAGGAGGGATAATGAGAATTCCTTTTACATATGTTTGCTACCTGAGCTGAAGCAGTTGCTGTAGCAGGCTTAATCTTTTTAGTTGAAAAGATGCACTCTGCCTCAGCCTCATGAATACATAATGAACCCTCATCAACCTCGCTAATGAGACAGGGGAAAGTGACCAACGCTGCCATATTCAGTTAACCAGGCAGGTAATGTTGTTCCAAATCAGTTTTATCACCAATACATGGAGGTGATGACAGACACTAGGTCATTTCTCTTCTCTTTAATCATTGTAGGCAGAACCTATTTACATTGTAAACACACATAAATGCAGAACTTTCATGAAATCAACATGGTTTTTTAGTTGAATGCACTGACATTTTCTGAAGGCTGGCTTCTTGGGAAAGTTTTTCTGATAAATCTACATCTGTTTCTCTAATGACTAATTCTGAGGTCACTCCAGTGGCCTTTGGTATCTGATATGGATTCCAGAGACAATAATTGATTTTGGGGACTTAGTGATAAACTTTGGTGTTCCTCCATGAGGCTTCACCATAATCATACCCCAAGGGTTCAAACAAGATATAATATTTTGCCAGCTGGCACAGACAGTGTGATTTTGAGAATTTTCAATTTCTAGTCACTCAACCAGAATTAAACGAATTAAACTCTGTTATGAAGCTTACGTTGGAAACAATAAAATATTTCAGTATGGCAGTACATCTTTCTCTTTGCTGCCTTGTCAATTGGCTTTAAAAAGTTTAAAGCCTTTGAAGAACTACTTTATAGATCAACCTCAGTTTCCTACAGTAGTAGTATCGATTTTTTAAGTCAAGCTCTCTAAATTTTGATTATTTTAAAAATAAGGTGGGAAATTTTAATCAGAGTATTCAGTAAAGTGCCAAAGTACTTCAGCTTTTAGCAAAACAACGATAGCAACAATTCAAAATAAAGCGTGCAAACAAGAAAACATTAAAATGTATCCCTACACAAGCAAGAAAAGAACAAAACCTATCAGAATGGCTATAATAAAAAACAGTGACAACAGCAGATGCTGGTAAGGATGTGGAGAAATGGAATCATTCATACATTGCTGGTAGGAATTAGAACTCAAATGGTGTACAAAATTTAATTTTTTAACACTTTTTATGTTGAAATAATAAAAGATTCACAGGAAGCTTCAAAAAACATGTTGATGTGTTGTGCACTCTTTCACCCATCTTCCCTCAATGGTAACATCTTATCTAACAATAGTACAGTATGAAATCCAGGAAATTGACATCAGTACAAGCCACAGAGCTTATGTGGATTTCTACAGCTTTACATGTGCCCATTTGTGTGTGTGTACAGCTCATGCAATTTTACCTGGTGTGTAGCTTCGTGTAGCTTCATGTAGCCACCACCATAATCAAGATACAGAACTATTCCAGCACCATGAGGCTCCCTTGTGTTACTCCTTTATAGACATACCTGATCCTTCGCCCCCATTCCCAACCTCTGGCAACATTATAATTTTGTTATTTCAAGAATATTCTAGAATGTTGTGTAACCATTATACAGTGTATAACCTTTTGAAATAGGCTTTTTTCCCCTCAATATAATTTCCTTGAAATTGATTCACGCTGTTGTGTATATCAATAGTTTGTTCCTTTTTATTACTGAGCAGTAGCGCTGAATGTGCTACAGTGTGTTTAACTTTTTACCCCTTGAAGGGCATCTGGGTTACTTCTAGTGTTTGGCAAATATAAATAAAACTGCTATGAACATTCATGAACAGATTTTCGTGTGAACATCATTTTCATTCCTCTGGGATAAATTCCCAAGAGTTTGGGATTTCTCAGCCGTATGGTACCAACATGTTTAGATTTAAAAGAAATTGCCAAACGAATTTTCAAAGTGGTTCTACCATTTTACATTCCCACCAGCAATATATAAATATATAGTTTCTCTTCATTCTTGCCAGCATTTGGTATTGTCACTATTTTTTATTTTAGCCATTCTCATAGGTGTATAGTGATATCTGCTTGCGGTTTTAATGTACAGAGATGTAATGGCCAATGATGTTGAGTATCTTTTCATGTGCTTATTAACCATCTGTATATCCTCTTCAGTGAAATGTCTGTTCATGGATGCAGCCCATTTTCTTTTTTTTTTGAGACGGAGTCTTGCTCTGTCGCCCAGACTTGAGTGCAGTGGTGTGATCTCAGCTCACTGCAAGCTCCGCCTCCGGGGTTCATGCCATTCTCCTGCCTCAGCCTCCTGAGTAGCTGGGACTACAGGCACCCGTCACCATGCCTGGCTAATTTTTTGTATTTTTATTAGAGACGGGGTTTCACCGCGTTAGCCAGGATGGTCTCGATCTCCTGACCTCAGGTGATCTGCCCACCTCGGCCTCCCGAAGTGCTGGGATTACAGGCGTGAGCCACTGCGCCCGGCCGGAAGCAGCCCATTTTCTAATTGGGCTTTTTGTCTTGTGCTGTTGAATGCTGAGTTATTTATATATTCTAGATACAAAAACTTTGTTGGATATGTGGTCTGCAAACAATTTCTTCCAGTCTGTAGCTGGTGTTTACATGACTTTAAGAGGGTCTTTGGAAGAGCAAAAGTTTTTAATTTTGTTGAGCTCCAATTTATCAGTTTTTCCTTTTTATGGATTGTGCTTTAGGTCAGGTGTCCCCAATCCCAGAGCCATGGTCCTGTACTGGTAGGAACCCTGCCACTCATCAGGAGGTAAGCATTAGGGCCTGGGCTCCACCTCTGTCAGATCAGTAGGGTCCTTAGATTCTCGTAAGAGCAAAAATCCTAATGTGAACCACACATGCAAGGGATGTAGGTTGCACCCTCCTTGTGATAATCTAATGCCCACCACCCTCCCGCCCTGTGTCTGGGGAATAATTGTCTTCCACAAAACTGGTCCCTGGTGCCAAAAAAGGTTGGGGACTACTGCTTTAGGTGTCAGATACGTAACTCTTCACCTACCCATATGTCCTAAATATTTTTTAATTTTTTTCTAAAAGTATTTTGATTTTATGTTTTACATGTAAGCCCATGATACATATGGAGTCAATTTTTATATAAGGTGTGAAGTTTAGGTTGAAGTACTTATTATTATTGGTTTTTGCCTATGGATGTCAGTTGTTCTAACATCATTTGCTGAAAAGACCGTCTTTCCTCCATTGAACTGCTTTTGCACCTTTGTCAAAAATCAGTTGGGCATATTTGTGTGAGTCTCTTTCTGGGTTCCCTATTCTATTTCATTGGTCTGTGTCTAGCTCTCTGCCAATACTGCACTGTCTTGACTACTGTGGCTAAAGTGTCAGCCTTAACATCATGTAGAGTGATTCCTCTCACTCTGTTCTTTTCAAATTGTTTTAGGTATTCTAGGTCCTTCAACTTTCCATATAGATTTAAAAATAAGCATGTGGATGGGAGAAAAACCTTCCTGGGAATTTGATGGAAATTGCCTTAACCTATAGGTCACTTTGGAGATAACTGACATTTTTACTATGTTAAGTCTTCCAATCCACTCACACGGCATGCCTTTCCATTTACTTAGGGCTACTTTGACTTCTGTCTTCAGCATTTTGCAATTTTCAATGTATAGAATGTTTTGTTAGATTGGTATCCAAATATTTCTTTTAGTTTGCAGCAATTATGAATGGTATTGTGTTTTTAGTTTTTATGTCCACATGCTTGTTTATAAATAAACAGGTGATTGATGTTTGTGTGTTCACCTTGTACCTTGGTGAACTCCCTTATTCTAGGAATTTTTTTTTTTTTTAGATTTCTTGGATTGCCTATGTAGACAACCATGTCATCTACAAATAGGGATGGTTTTATTTATTCCATTCTAATGTACATGTCTTTTGTTTCTTTGTCAAGATTTAATTTTTAAGTTCTATAAGTGTGCTTGGGAACGTGTTGACTTTAAAGAATCGTTTGATGAAAGTCCTATTTTTAACTGGACATATTTGTATTCTATATTTTATAGGATTGAAATTGAGAAAGTGTACAGTTTTAAAGTGTTTAAATTCAATGAAACATTAAAAGGCATTAGACAATTTATTTAACCAATTTTGTCTCTGAAAAATATTTGTTAAAGAAAGGTACTCAAAAGAGATAAAAATAAAGTACGCTTGAAAATGGCTCAGTATTTATATATTTTAATTTCAAAAGTAAAATTTAGAATATCATACATTTAGCAGATATGCTCTGGCCTTACTATTATGACCACCAGAAGAGTTAATTGACCTATTCATTCCAAGTTTATTAATCATAATATGCAACTCTGGATTGCATAATATATTGAAATAAATGAATTATTCAGAAAAATACTCATGACAGATAATGGCTAGGCTGATTAACAGATGTGAATATATACCAAAGATAATTATTCTCCTTGCTATTTTTAAATGTTTAAATGTCAATATAAAGCTTTTATTCTGCTTTAATATAGATAGATTTTATTTTTTAGAAAAGATCTCATTTTTAAAAGCTTAAAGAAGTCCATCTTGGCCGGGTGCGGTGGCTCCCGCCTCTAATCCCAGCACTTTGGGAGCCCAAGGCAGGCGGATCACTAGGTCAAGAGATGGAGACCATCCTGGCTAACATGATGAAATCCCGTCTCTACTAAAAATACAAAAATTAGCTGGGCATGGTGGCACGTGCCTGTAGTCCCAGCTACTTGGGAGGCTGAGGCAGGAGAATGGCGTGAACCCGGGAGGTGGAGCTTGCAGTGAGCCGAGATCGCACCACTGCACTCCAGCCTGGGCGACAGAGTGAGACTCTGTCTCAAAAAAAAAAAAGTTCATCTTTTAGGTACATCAATATAATAAAAATCAATGTTGGTTAATATATTTTAACAATATTATAGAATTTTAACTGTTTAAACATCTCCTTTTCCTCTAAAATAGTGCCCTGGCTTGGACATGAAATTTCATGATCCTCCCCGGTATAACTTAACTTTGAAATCACAGGTATGTTTAGCATTGTGACATTCTGAAATGGAACTGTCGATAGAGGTATAAGAATAAGGAAGTATCTGGTTAGAGACCCCTAGAACACTAAGAGAGTGCAGATCCAGAATCATCATAATTAGGAGAAATTAGGGACACACACATGAGGGAGCAGGCCTGGGATAGTGCTCTTTCGGAACTAAACAAACCTCTGGACCTACATCAGAGAGAGGTATCCTATGGCAGTCCTGGGATTCTGCTTGTTATAGAATAGCATGCTTGTAGAGAATTGAAATACAAGATTGTAAATCCAGGGCAACTAAGAAACAAGTTTATTGAACTGGGTGAAGATGCTGGGAGTTCTAAAATTTGCTTGTGGGCTTTTCTCTTTAGTCACAGCAGTGGCCAGTGCTAACTGGGCATGTACAGTGTCCCAAATGTAACACCAACGATGCTGCACCCATTCCCAGGATGCCCCACAATTATCAGACAGTGCGTGCAAAGGCACGGGCCACAGCATCTACCAGGAGTGTCCTTGAAGGAGTTTATAGAATTCTTTGTTTCTGTGTTCAGCCAATGCAAAAGAAGGGAAGAGCTCACTAGTGCTGAAGGCACTAACTTAGAAGAAAGCAGAGACAGGGAAAGTGTGAAAAAGAAATCTATTCTGTTAAAATTTTAGTTGGCAGATTTGAGAGGTGTATTAGTTTTCTAAGGCTACAGAAACAAAGTACCATAAACTGGGTGGCTTAAAACAGCGTAAATTTACTTTTTCACAGTTCTGGAGGCCAAAAGTCCAAAATCAAAGTGTTGGCAATGATATGCTGTCTCTGAAGCCTCTAGGGGAGGAAGGGTCTTTTCTTGCCTCTTCCAGCTTTTGGTAGCCCCAGGTATTCCTCGGTTTGTGGCCAATCTCTGCCTCTATCTTCACACGGCTGTCTTCCCTCTGTCTCTCTCTCTCTCTTCCTTTCATAAGGACACCAGTCATATTGGATTAAAGGCCTGACCTACTCCAGTATGATCTCATCTTAACATTCATCTTAATGATATCTGTACACTCTATTTTCAAATAAAGTCACATTTACAAGTACCAGGGGTCAGGTTCCATACATCTTTTTGGAGATACAATCCAGCCTGTAACAGGAGGTTTAACAATTCCTATCAAGAATCTTGAAGAGGCTGGGCACAGTGGCTCACACCTGTAATCCCAGCACTTTGGGAGGCCAAGGTGGGTGGATCACCCGAGGTCGGGAGTTCGAGACCAGCCTGGCCAACATGGTGAAACCCCATCTCTACTAAAAATACAAAAATAAGCTGGGTGTCATGGTGCCTGCCTGTAATCCCAGCTACTCAGGTGGCTGAGGCAGGAGAATCGCTTGAAGCTGGGAGGTGGAGATAGCAGTGAGCTGAGATCCTGCCACTGCACTCTGGCCTAGGTGTGACAGAGTGAGACTGTCTCAAAAAAAAAAAAAACAAAAAAACAAAAAAACAAAAAAATAGAATCTTGAAGAAACTCCCTTTTCAGTGAAAGAAAAATGTGTAACACTCAGATTGTGGGTACCTTCAGAAATCTTCAAGAAATGTTATGCAAACATAAGATAAAGAGAAATTTGAAATGTCAGAAAAAGTTCCATGAGTTTGTGCTGTCCAGCAACATTGCAATAAATGATATCTTCAAGGTTTTCCTGGGAGAACCTACCACAAGACAAATTTTCTCATTTCCAGAAGAGATATCTGAGTGATATGTGTAGTCTAATTGAATGGAATACAGATGACCAAAGCTCAGTTAAGATAAAGTGACACTGTGTAGTCACATGTGCCATTTGAAATACTTAATACTATTACTGACCCCAAAGAAAATATAAATGCAAGCCAAGTCACATCTCTGCAGAATCACAAGCATACCGGCCAAGATCTCTTTTCTTTTAGAACATTTCCCCAGGAAACATAAAGTAGTTCATATAAATATGCTGACATCTTTCAACAGCTGGAAGGACTCATTCTGGGTGTTAACACAGCAGGGAACTGGAAGAATCAGAACTGGAAGAAGAAGAAGTGATTGGCATGCTGACACGCTGCTGTAAGAATTGCAGTGGGGAACAATTACATTGCTCAAAGAACACTTCACAATTGGAGGGAAGAGAATTATGTCAGTGCTGAAGGATTTCACAGCTGTACTCCAAAACAAACCTGGAAATGTACATTATAGGTACTGGAAGCAAAAGAGTCTATTATTTTGTCTTCTTTTAGGTAAGTGGTAAAGTGCTGGGAGGTGGCAGAAATGATAATTCTAAAGGGGCAATTCAGCCTCCTTGTCAGACTTGGGTCTTGCTGGTTGTCATTTCCATATGTGTCACTACTTCTTTGGAAAAGCAGGGCTAGGCTTCGTATAGAATATAAGCATGAACCCAGTCTGAAAATTTCTTTTTCATTCTACCCAGAAATGATTCTCTTACTATATTGATTTAGGGCTCAGAAAGTTCCTAACATCAATTTGTAGAGATACTTTTGGTATATAACTGAAGGAACAGTTAAAAAAAATCTGATTTAGAAACACTGGATGGGCAAAACAAATTTAAGACTTTGATTTAAGAAAGCCCCTAGGGTTATTCCAAATTTAAGTAAGGGTGATACACAGAACACAGTAACCTAGTTTACTGCTTTACCTTCCTCCCTGCATGTAGACGGGATTATAAGGTGCATGTGCATCTTGTTTGGGTTATTAAGCCTTTGCTCCTTACCTCCTGACCTCTTCCTATATATCCTGCTGTGTCACACTGCGTTGGGACCTTACCAGGTCCAGCCCTCCTTTGCCAGATCCTTCTCAAATTCTGTCACTAGGGGGCACTAGAGGGAGACTGGAAGGAGGCTCATGCCGTCAGGACGGGCTTATTCTTTTTTTTTTTTTTTTTTTTTTTTTTTTGTACTTTAAGTTCTAGGGCACATGTGCACAACGTGCAGGTTTGATACATAGGTATACATGGGCCATGTTGGTTTGCTGCACCCATCAGCTCATCATTTACGTTAGGTATTTCTCCTAATGCTATCTCTCCCCCAGCTCCTCACCCCACAACAGGCTCCGGTATGTGATGTTCCCCTCCCTGTGTCCAAGTGTTCTCATTGTTCAATTCCCACCTATGAGTGAGAATATGCGGTGTTTGGCTTTCTGTCCTTGTAATAGTTTGCTGAGAATGATGGTTTCCAGCTTCATCCATGTCCCTGCAAAGGACATGAACTCATCCTTTTTTGTGGCTGCATAGTATTCCACGGTGTGTATGTGCCACATTTTCTTTATCCAGTCTATCATTGATGGACGTTTGGGTTGGTTCCAAGTCTTTGCTATTGTGAATAGTGCCGCAATAAACATACGTGTGCATGTGTCTTTATAGTAGCATGATTTATAGTCCTTTGGGTATATACCCAGTAATGGGATTGCTGGGTCAAAAGGTAATTCTAGTTCTAGATCCTTGAGGAATTGCCACACTGTCTTCCACAATGGTTGAGCTAGTTTACACTCCCACCAACAGTGTAAAAGCATTCCTGTTTCTCCACATCCTCTCCAACATCTGTTGTTTCCTGACTTTTTAGTGATTGCCATTCTAACTGGCATGGGATGATACTTCATCGTGGTTTTGATTTGCATTTCTCTGATGACCAGTGATAATGAGCATTTTTTCATGTGTCTGTTGGCTGCATAGATGTCTTCTTTTGAGAAGTGTCTGTTCATATCCTTTGCCCACTTTTTGATGGGGTTGTTTGTTTCTTTCTTGTAACTTTGTTTAAGTTCTTTGTAGATTCTGGATATTAGCCCTTTGTCAGAGGGTAGATTGCAAAAATTTTTCCCATTCTGTAGGTTGAGGAGGGGCTTATTCTTTTCTGTTTTGAGTTTGGTTCCTATAATAAACAGTTGCTTCTCACCCAAGCAACTGTTTGCCCCAAGTGGTGGCAGTTGGTTCCAGTTCTTTTCATACTTCCAGAACTAGACTCACTATGCTCTCTTAGAGCCACCTGCCCAGCCAGTCAGTGCCTGTTACTTTGATGCCTGAGCCTGGCATGCAGGGACCCTCGTCCAAGTCACCCAGACACCATCAACAGCCTCAATGGCATCTGACCCTCTTCAGAGCTGCTGAGACATCAGCACCTTTCCCTGAGCTTCTAAAAACCCCATCCTTGCCCCCTTTATTCTCCTGGCCTGGAGGGTGTCGCTGCAGTGGTCGCCTTTGCCTTTTCAGCTCTCCAGTATCTGTTATCTAATTCCTTTTGTGAAATTTCTTCTGTTAACAAACTGATGCTGAGTCTCTTTTCCTGACCTCATCCTGACTGAAAGGCACCTATATCTTCATACATGCTCTCTGCTTACTGTTTATGTAGCCATGGTGTTCGATGTGTCTGTAGGTCATTTTCTGCCACGTAGAGCAATAAGAATTAGATGGATGCATATGTTTTTGCACAGAGCTTAAATACATCATCATGCAATCTGCTTTGCCTAATCCTCGATCCCTCCCCTTAAATAATGCTCTGGCGTGTTTAAATGCTGCCTGACCTGAGGAATCTTTATGGTGGGTACTCAGTCATTAGCTGAGTCATTATATTATTACATTTCCTGCATGGAGAGTGCAGCAGCAACTTCAGATAACAGCTTTGAAGAATGCTTAGACCATCTTCACTTACTTCTGTCTCTGTCCTAAAACTCAGTGAATTATTGTCTTGGGATAGTTGAAGCTAAATATTTGAGACACAAAAGATTCACTATTAGGTACTAGAGAAAAGCTGCCATAATAAAAGAAAAGGACCACTTTATTAAATACCAACTAGGGCAGATCATTCCTGGGATTAGCATAGTATCATAGGAGATTTGCTCTTCACGCTAGTATCAGACTACTCTGTGATTTAATCCACATAGTTGCAATGTAGGGAGCTGTCAGCCAAGAGTATCTTGGGAACCTTTTATAATGGCTATAAGATGCAGATTTAGGAGTAGTACTCCTTCACATGCATGAATATGAAATATCCAGTGGTCTATTTGAGCAGAAAGTTTTTACTCATAGAAAGAACTTGTGCCATCTCTGAGAGCTTTAATGAAAACAAACCTTATAAACTTGGACAATAAATCATAAACAAACTTTGATCAGGTCTACACGACCACCATTAACAGATTCTTAGAGATTGCAAGCCTTCCAAATCAACACGTAAACAACCCAGAAAAAATCAGTGGGAATCCAGATTAAGCAGATCTTACACGGAAAGCAGACATTGCACTAAACAATTTTTATGCTTAAAAAAGAGAAGGGGTAAATGTAGTCATCAATTGTGAGAATTTTGTAGTTGTTTGAAGCATTATCCTTGGTGTCTCTGGAGTTCCAGAAGAGCTCAAGTGCACAGAAAGATTTCTCCACAGCAACTTGAAATCACAGAGCATTTTACACCAAACTTAGAGATACAGATGTATCAGAATGTAGATGTACCAGAATTTGCAGTAAATGAAAGAAGCATATCTATATAATGTAACTAACCTCTATTTCCTTGTCTTTGACTTCTGAGCTGGTCATTTCTGCCCAGCAGCAATAGATGCATCTGTGACCTTTCTGCCCATTTTCCATGAGAACCAATGCACTCCTCTTGTAAATACTTCCAAGATGAGAGTTGGAGCATGGGTTTGAATAGTAAGCACTAAGCAGTAGGACTCCTGCACTCCCATCACCTCTCTTGATGATGAACTCTCCCGCTCACCAAAGCTTTTCTGGTTCACATCTTGTACCACTGTACATAACTGAAATGTCCCTCGCCTTTCCATTCCCTCTTCACCTCCCATCTCCAGGAGAACAGAAAATTGCTCCACTCAATCCTATAAATCTAAAACATACTTCACAGCTCTTGTTGCAAAGTGTACCACGTGTAATTTATTACCACCACTTGCATGCCTTGAACACTTCTCCCACCTTCCAGAAAGGTTAGAACCTGTCCTGTGGTCTCTTCATCCTGCCAGGTGGGCATCCATAGTCACTTCAATATCCTTGTTAGTGACCTTTCTAGAATCCTGGTTTCCTGTTGCCATGCCTCTTCAACTACTTTCTGCTACCATGGGCAAAACCATAAGCTGGGCCTTGACAGATACCTTCCACACGTCCGAGATCTCAAAACTTAGGCTTCTCTTTTGACCCTAACTCCTGCTCCTTTTATTAATCTCAACTCCAAACTGAACTGCTGCTGAGCTCTTATATACTCTCACTGCAGTGCTGGGCCTCGGCTTCCTCCAAAGTCTCCTTCCAGCTTCATGATGTCCTTACTCCCCTTGCACACCTGACACCACCTCCGTCAGCCATTTCCCTTTGATAGCACAGAGATCCTCTTATCCTTTAAAGGGTCTGGCTCCTGTCCTAGTCTGTTAGGACTGCTATCACAAATTTCAGACTGGATGGCTTATAAAGAGAAATTTATTTAAATATATTATCGCCAAATTTATTTTTAAAAACAAATTTATCGGCTGGGCATGGTGGCTCACACCTGTAATCCCAGCACTTTGGGAGGCTGAGGCGATTGGATCACAAGGTCAGGAGTTCAACACAAGCCTGGCCAACACAGTGAAACCCCATCTCTACTAAAAACACAAAAATTAGCTGGGCGTGGTGGCGCGTGCATGTAATCCCAACTACTTGGGAGGCTGAGGCAGGAGAATCGCTTGAACCTGGGAGGCGGAGGTTGCAGTGAGCCGAGATAACACCACGGCACTCCAGCCTGGGTGACAGAGCCAGACTCCATCTTGAAGCAACAACAACAACAACAACAGCAGCAACAACAACAACAAAAACAAATTTATTTTTCACAGTCCTGGAGGCTGAGAAGCCCAACATCAAGGCTCCGGCAGATTCAATGTCCGCTGAGGGCCCCGTTCTTGGTCCATAGATGGCCTTCTTGCTGCACCCTCACATGGCAGAAGGGGCAAGGCAGCTCTCTGGTGCTTCTTTTATAAGGGCACAAACCCCATTCATGAAAGCTCCACCCTCAAGACCTTGTCGCCTCCCAAAGGCCCTGCCTCCTAATACATCACATTGGGGGACAGGATTTCAACATATGACTTTGGGGGGCACACACACTCAGAGCTCAGCAGCCCCTGATTTGCCAAACCTGAACCCTGGTCATGGGGCACCTTGACCTTCTGGATACTTTCTCAGCCTGGGACCACAATACCCAACATTTTCTGAGAATGGCCCATACAACTTCATTTAGCCGGAAGACACGAATCTGAATGCTGTCCTCTGACCTTTTTAAGCCCTCTTCAAGAGGCTCTAGTCTTTATGCTAAGCTGCAAATGTGCTCTAAGCACCTCCTGCACTGACTACCCTACTCCTTTCCCTTTTTTTCCCCACTCCTGCCTCCACCTTTCTCTGCCCTCCATCTTCAACCCTACTCTGCAGACAGAGGTAATGCCCAATCATCTTAGACCTCTCCAAGTTAATGACTTTAAATTCCCAGCTCGTCAGTTTGGTGGGTCTCTGTACTCTCCTTCACCCTCCTGTCCTGTCGCACAAGAAGAGGAGCTCCTCTTTTGGGCCAGCTTTTTTCCAAGGCTCCTACTTCAGAACACACATCCACATTTTCCTTCCACCTTGGAGCTATTAACAGAGCAGAACCATTCTGCCATCCTCCGCTCATTGAGTTTACCGACATCACACGTGTTAGACAGTTCCATCCCTATGTGGCTACATTTTCTGTGGATCCCTCATACACCCATATTTTACAACTGGTCCTCCACCAGGAAAACTCCTGACCAGGGAATGAAATGATTCTGTCTGCCCCATGCCAGCCACCTTTCTGGCAATGCATAGTTGAGTAAGCAGGCTGCCCTGGTGAAGGGTCTCTTCACTCGCCCTTCAGTGGCAGGTCATTAGGGAGCTCACATTGTCCCCTGGGGCTGATGCAATCTCAGGGACATCAACCCCCGCCCCCGGGGCTGATGTCATCTCCAGGGGCATGCCAAGTGTCAAATCTTGGCAGGAAACCTAGCTTCTAGTGCCAGTCTCAGAAAGCACTAGAATGTGGGTACCATGTTGTCTCGGTTTTTGGTGTTTTGCCTGCCTGGCCCCCTCCCACGTATCACAGGAGCCACCCTGGGGCCTAAGATCCCTGGCAGGGGTCTTGACCTTTGGTCCAGCCTCTGAAAGTCATGATATAGAGTAGGGATTAGCAAACATTTTAGGCTTTGAGGACCAGAGGCAATTGTGTAGGAACTTATATAACAAGAGAAAATGACAACCTCTCCCTGCTTTGTTTGCCTGGTGTGGGCCATCCCAGGGGGTAGGCATACTTTGTGCCCAGTTGCCATGCCAAGAATGTCAGCTAGAGACATTCTTGGAGGAAGAGCACAGGTCCTGGGAGGAGGAATGGCTCTGGAGGGTGGGATCTGAGTGCTACTGGGGCAGAGAGTGAAATTGACCACAGTGGCTGCTTGGCCCCACCTGCAAGACAACATGCCTTGAATTTATTTCTGAGAGTGTATTGACTCCCACCCACTCCTCTTCCTCAAGTCATATAGGCCACATCAGTGTTTGGGACCCTTGGCAGGGCCTTGTGCCTTTGTGACAACTCCAGAGCTCACCATGTCGCCTGATTCTTTGAGGACAATATTGGTTGGCTACCACTCCCCACATCACCTGTCATCAGGGGGTCTTGATTTCTGAGGTCAGCCACTGTAGTCATTGGAACATAGTCACTGCATTAACTTGGCTCTTGCCACAGATATTACCCGGCTGCTTAGCCCCCTTCAAATAACTTTAAATCTCCCCCAAATTAATGGCAACTCCATTGACTCAGACCCTAGGCTTGGGGCCTGGGGCTTTGGTGCCTGTCTCTACACCCATTAGAGAGGAATGTAAGCCTTACCTTGTTTCTTCCCAGAGTGTGTTGACTGTCCAGTCTCCCACATCCCTGGGCTTACCCCAAAACCACAGACCCTTGGCAGGGGGCTGGGCCATCAGGGAAACCCAAGTAGTCATGAGAAAGTAGTCCTCACATTGCCTTGGTTCTTCTTAGAGTTCATTGGCTCCCTGGCCCCTGCATCCTTAACATCACTAGAATCCACCAAGGCCTGGAACTCTTGGCAAGGTGCTGAGTGCCATCCCCAGATGCTATAAGAGCTGCACTATGGGTTGGACATGATGGTTCATGCCTGTATTTCCAGCACTTTGGGAGGCTGAGGCAGGTGGATTACTTGAGGCCAGGAGTTCAAGACCAGCCTGAGCAACATGGTAAAACCCCATCTCTACAAAAAATACAAAAATTATCCACATGTGGTGGGGTGCACCTGTAGTCTCAGCTGCTTGGGGAGACCAAGGTGGGAGGATTGCTTGAGCCCCAGGCTTTGAGGCTGCAGTGAGCTGAGATTGCACCACTGCACTACAGCCTGGGGGACAGAGCGAGGCCCTGTCTTAAAAAAGAAAAAAGAAAAAAGAAAAAAAAAGCTGCACCATGGTATAAGTGGCTAGTGAGCGCTTCAAATGTTGAAATGTGCCTAGTTCAAGTTGAGATGCACCAAGCTACACACCAGACTTTGAAACTTTAGTCCTAAAAAAGAAATGTGAAATATCTCATTAATATGTTTATATTGATTACATGTTGAAAGGATATTATTTTGGCTATATTGGGTTATTCAAATTAATTTCACCTATTTCTTTTTACTTTTTAATGTGGCTACTGAGGCACATGTGTAAAATGACCCACGTGCCTCCGTTGGGCAGGGCTGCATTAGAGGGTCATCGTGGTTTGCCTTGGTGTTTTCCCACACCACTGTGGCCACAGGAGGGACTCACCCTTGGCAGTGACAAAGCATCTGGTGCCAGCCCCACAGCGATGAGGGTGGCCTCTGTGCTGCCTGGGTTCTTAGAATACATGGGCTGAATGGATCGCACGTTGCAAGATTTAGCAAATAAAGATACAGAATGCTCAGTGACATTTAAATTTCAGATAAACAACAAATAATATTTTGTAAGTATGTTTCATGCCATTATTTGTGGTTTATCTAAAGTTCAAATTAGGCTGGGCATTCTGTATTTTATCTGTCAATTCTGTGAGTTGGGCTCCACATTTTCCCCATGTTCTCCTTATTGCTGGGGCCACACCAATGACTCCTTGGAAAGGGGCCTGAACCATGGGTTCCAGCCACAAAAGACCTTGCAGGGAAGCCACTGCATTGCCTTGGAAATTCTCAGAGTATCGTGGCTGCCTGGGCCCCTTCGCCCTAGATCCCTGGGGCCACACCAATACCCCAGAAACAGAGCATTGTTTTCACACTGCCTTGGTTTACCTAAGGTGTATTGGCTGGTCTTACTGGACCCTGCTTCACTGGGTCAGCACTAAAGCCTCAAACCTTGGCAGTAGTAGTTGGCACATTGACTTGATTCTTCTTAGAGGGCATGGCTGCCTGGCCCCCAATTTGCCCACATAACCCACATCCCCAGAGTTACATCAATGCCTCAGCCCCTTGGCAAGGAGCCTGGACCACCAGTACCAGCTGCCGAAGCCATTGAGGCTTGCCTTGGCATGGCCTTTGTGGTTTTCAGTGTGCATTGCCGGCTGGCCTTCACATTCACCTCCTCATGGCCTGCTCCTCCTTCTGGTGCCCTGGATGCCCAACCTTCTCTAAACTCCCACTGTTAAGTTCATGCAGTGCTTTGACCCTTGACAGTTGGCCTGGGCCTCTGCAAGTCTCAAAAGTTAGTAGGAAGTACACACCCCATGTTCTTGATGTCTTTTTTTTTTTTAATTTTTTTTTAGTGTTTATTGATCATTCTTGGGTGTTTCTTGGAGAGGGGGATTTGGCAGGGTCATAGGACAATAGTGGAGGGAATGTCAGCAGATAAACATGTGAACAAAGGTCTCTGGTTTTCCTAGGCAGAGGACCCTGCGGCCCTCCGCAGTGTTTGTGTCCCTGGGTCCTTGAGATTAGGGAGTGGTGATGACTCTTAAGGAGCATGCTGCCTTCAAGCATCTGTTTAACAAAGCACATCTTGCACCGCCCTTAATCCATTTAACCCTGAGTTGACACAGCACATGTTTCAGAGAGCACGGGGTTGGGGGTAAGGTTCTAGATTAACAGCATCCCAAGGCAGAAGAATTTTTCTTAGTACAGAATAAAATGGAGTCTCCTATGTCTACTTCTTTCTACACAGACACAGTAACAATCTGATCTCTCTTTTTTTCCCCACATTTCCCCCTTTTCTATTCGACAAAACCGCCATCGTCATCATGGCCCGTTCTCAATGAGCTGTTGGGTACACCTCCCAGACGGGGTGGCGGCCGGGCAGAGGGGCTCATCACCTCCCAGACATGGCAGCCGGGCAGAGGGGCCCCCCACCCCCAGATGGGGCGGCGGCCAGGCGGAGGCACCCCCCACCTCCCAGACGGGGGATGTCTTTCAAGTATATTATCTTGCCAGTTCCATTGGTCCCCTGTCACTGGGCCACACCAGCACCTCTGCTGCCAGCCCCAGAAAGGACTAGAGGATGATCTTAGTGCCTTAGTTGATTTAGCATGTGCAGGCTTGGCTGTCCAGTGCCCACTTGCCAATGGGCCTTCAGAGAGGAGACACTGTTATCTCCTGAAAAGCACATTGGCTCCTGGCCACCTGTTTCCTACAATGTTGCATCCACAGGGTTGCCTCTTAGACGGGGTGCCTTGGCTATTCCTGGAGCATATCAGCTGCCCAGTGCCCAGCCTGTGTCCTAACATCTCAAGGCCCACCAGGGGCCTAGACCACCAGTCGGCCACAACAGCCTTGGTTCATCTCACAGGGGATCAGCTGCCTAGGCCCTACAATGCTGAAACACTCAGTTGCCTTAGACCCCTTACAGGTGTCCTGAACCCCTAGTATCAGTCCCCAAAGCAAGCATGGGGTGGCCACCCACTGTGACGTTCCTTTCCACCCCTCAGGGTGACACCAGTGCTTTGGAATCTCGGCAGGCAGCTTGTGCCTCTGATTCCTGCCTCAGAAGCCATGCGAAGGTGGTCTCTGGGTCATCTGGTACACTTTCCAGACAGTGGGATACACGGCAGTTAAACCAGTTGATACCAGGATGCCAAGGCCTAACTAGACTGAGGGCCAGACCACCTTCCAGTACAAGGAGCTGGGGGATCTCCTGGCTGCTCCTTCTCTCGTGGACTGTCTCAGTGACTCTCCCAGAGGCTGTACTCTGGTGGTTGAGACCTGGGGTTTCCTGGCCCCTGCAAGCGGGAGACTCGAGGTTTCTGGCACTTGAGGGGTAAGATTAGGGGTCTCTGGCTCCTGAAGGGAGGACGGTGAGGAAGATTTCTAACAAGAGGAAGGGTTTCCTCTTATCCCTCCAATTCTGTGCACTGGCCCTGTCCCAAATGTCTTACCTTACTTGAGGCTTCAGATTATAATGGGATTTTGGCATCAGGCCAGTCAAGTTTCCAGCCTTGTCACTGACAATGGATAACAATGACATGGTCTTTCTGGCCTTGGTTTTTTTTAGAGGTGTAATAGGGTGGTGATTGCCAAGCCTGAAGGCTGGTCAGTCTTCCAAGCTCTTGCATGGCCTGTGTCTTTGTTTTTATGTCAACCCTTGGGCATTGTTTCTGTTGCCTTGTGTTTTTCAGTGTCACTTCTAGTCTTTTCTTTGAATGTGTGATGTGGTGATGTTAAATTAGAGAGAGGAAGTTGGAGGGTGGGTACGTGATAGAGCTCCAGGTAGGAAACACTGCCCACCTTTCCACCATGCCCCTGCTGGGTCACAAGTCAGTTACCAGATCATGGCGCTTTCTGGAAGGCACAGGTCTCATCCTCTGGGCCCCAGCCTTTCCTTCATGGAGGTTGGGTTGAGGGCTATCTCAACCTGTGGAACTTTCTAGAAGGCTCAGCTTTCAGAACCCCTATTGTCTCCCTTCCCATTCAACCTATCATCTTGAAAGGTCACCGTATGGCCTCTTTAGGGACTGTGGAATTTTCTAAAAGCTCTCACTCCCTTGGCCTGAGCCTTCCCTTCATGGAGGTTGGGTCGTGGAGCTTTTTGGAAGGCCCAGGATCTCAAAAATCTTTATCACTTTTCAGCCTCCACTCAGAGAGTCTTGGTTTATCCAGATGTCTTAGAATCTTCTGAAAGTTCCTATTTCTCCCATCCAAAGAAGAGGACTATCCACCCAAAGAGGGCTACTGCATTTCTTTGTTAAACTTTATTAAGTCCATCATTTCCCAGCACCCATGCCTGGGGGGTGGGAAAAAACACTCAACCTCTAACTGGAGGAGGCCTGAGTGTGTGGTTCTGCAGGGGTGGCCAAGTGAGCCCCAGGGCATTTAGGGAGAGCCTGGGGGACTTTGCTCTTCCTGGCTGAGAGATAGACTTCTCTCCCTCACTTTTTCCCTTCACCCCATCCCCTTTTCTCAGAGGCAGTTGGGCAGGAGGCTGGACAGGCCCTGGGGCCTAGTCCCAGTAGTGATGGCTGGATCTCCTTGGGCTCTCCAGGCATGTGGCCCCCACTGTGCCCTCCTTCTCCCTGCAGGAATGGTGGGCTGGGAGCCACCTGTGGAGGGGGCTGCATGTGAGCTCTGGCTATCCTAGGGGGCTCCCATTTGTTTCTGGCTGAATCCTTCTTTCTTACCCCTCACTTCTTCCACCAGTGGAGGGCAGATTCCACAGGCACCCCCACAGCCCACTTCAGAGCCAGCAGGGACCCGTGGGCTCTGTGGGAAGCTCTGGCGCAGCCTGCCAAGCCTGAAGACTGGTCAGTCTTCCAAGATCTTTCATGGTCTGCTTCTAGGGCATTGTTTTTGCTGCTTTGTGTTTCTCAGTATCACTTCTCGTGTCTCCATCGAATGTGTGATGTGGTGGTGTTAAATAAGAGAGATGAGGTGGGAGGGTGGGTACTTGCCAGAGCTCCAGGTAGGAAATTAGATCACCCGTCCTGAGATCCACTCCACCTTGTAAGTTCTGAGTCCTGTGCAAATCTGGAAAAGCTACTTAAACGTTTAGCCTCAGTTTTCTTCTCTGTAAACGAGAGGGGGTGTCCATTTGAACTTTCGAGGATGAGAATGACAATTTGAGTTCTCTAGAGATGTTAGAATATAATTTTACATACTGTTCAGTACCCACTTTTTGACTTCTGACAGCCCAAATGATGCAATTGTGTGTTAAGAGGGAGAGGAAGACCACCCATGAATTCAAGATATCTTTTCAAACTCCTTCTATAATAGTTTTGGAATGGAAATTAGAGTAGTACCTTTCCCCGATCTTCTTATACCTGGCACACAGACCTACCTAACTAGATGTTTTGTCTTCTATCACAACCCCGAGTCTCCTTGTCCTGAATCTCAGCTGTGACCTAAAGATATTTTCCATGTAGCATCAACACCAGAGCCAACACTTTAATGTGGACAGAGTCCCTTAGCCTTGGCAGCAAACTTTAGAAGAACTTGGAAGTTTTGTTTTGGCCCAAGGAGACTGGCCCGTCAACCAGACCCCCCTCAAAGCACTTGAGAACAGCATTTTGTATGTTATTGCCAGGGTTTGGGTTGGTGAGCTCAGATGACCAGGTTAGGATCATCTTCCAGTCAGGATCAGTGGGTCTGCGGCGAAGGGAAGCTGGACGTTAGGGGAAGTGTGTAAAGAGGGCCTGGCCTTCTGTCTGCCAGCCCCTGTATACCACACCCACAGCCCTTCACTCTGCCTGAGGGGGCTAACAGCAGTCTTCAACCTTTTTTGAGCACAGCCTCGTCTGTCACTAGGTGACTTGGTACTTGTGGTTTAGTTGGAGAACAATCCTATGTGTATTTTCACTTTAATAAGAGGAGAACTCTTATTTCTACAAGGAATGGACCCCTGTACCAGAAGACCTGGTACTGTGGGAGACTTGGGCCCATGGATGTTCAGCTGTAAGGCCGCTGTGGCAGTCCTGAGAAACAGGTAGTTGGGTGAGGGATGATGAAGGCACCAAGATGACAGTGTGTGCTGGTGCTGAATGCAACTGTATTGGCTTCTCATGACCAGCCTGAGTGCTACAGCAGGGAGGGCTGGAAATTTATGGGTTCTTATGAGATCCTCCATTGGTAAAAACTAAAACAAAGTGTTCATCCAGGGCCACAGGGGATATCAGCTGTCCCCTGTCCCTCTCTGCTTTCTTATCTTCTCCAAGTCATGAAAAGCAGGACCAGCTTGGCAGGAAGACAATGGGCGTCACAGAGACTTCAGCTGGGCCCAGGTAAAGCCACAGAGGCTTGGGTCACTCTGTGGTCTCTGGAGCTCTGGGTTTCCCAAGAGGGTCAGAGTGATGGCCTGGCCCTCCCCACTACAGGTCCCACAGGCCTGGCACTCAAGCCATTGAACACCAGGCTGGCTGGAGGATGTATATGAGAATTTCTCCTAAAGTAGCTCTCTTCTCCGGGAGGATTCTGAAATTAAATGTGTTCATCATTTGTAATGAGATTAATACCACTTGGCACAGATAGAGAACAGGGGATGCCAACACCAGATAAGGAAGGCTGATGAGAGAACACTTCTAGCTCTTGAGATTCTATGGGCTTAATCCTGTTATTATTGTTAATACATGTAATTTAAAATATCAATGATGCATAATAATGAGGCTTTATTTCATCTTTTCTAAATATCTGGGTCACGCATATACAGTGTTTCATAGTTTACAAAGCAGAGTGGCAACCCTGACAAAAATCCTCTGAGCCATTTTACAGCTGAGAAAAATGGCTGTCAACTCCAAGATCCCAACTCCTGCCCCTAGGCCAACCTGTAGTGGTGCAGTCTGTGTCTGCAGGGGTCACCTGAGGCCTGGCCAGGACCTTTTCTGGGCTTTTCTCTGACAAGCTAACTGTGTGATCCTGAGCAAGGGGTCACTTCCCATTCCCGCCTTAATCTCTGCTCCTTCTCCCACTATCCCATAAACATGAGGTGACAACTACCTTCCTGTGGACAGCACCTTGGGCTCTGTGAGTCACTTGGTCATTCCCTCCCCATCTCCTCCTGGAGTGTAGGTTCCCAGAGCCATAGGGAATCTTGACTGTGTGTGAATAAACCACCATATATTTAAAAAACAGGAATCTGGGAATCATGTTGTTTTTGTCTTTTGAGGTAAATTGTAATAGCCTTAAGGACATAGATGATGTTTGTATATTTAAGATATTATTTTTCAACAATTTGGGGCTTGGTCTAGGCACCTAACAGGCCCTGTGTAAATGAGTGCTAAACTCTTTTTTCCTGAGGGTGCAGCCTTCTAAGCCTCCTTCCTCACATGTCAGGCCTTAACATGACACCCAGAAAACTTTCTGCGTTTCTAATCGCTTCTGCTCTCTGTAGGTAATTGCACAGAAAATCCATGTTGTGAAGCCCTCAAAGAGAATTACAAGGAATTATGAAATCTGCTTTTCACCTTATTAGGTTTTCTTTCTGATGGAGAAGTAGGCACACTTTAAGGATGGGGGTTGGGAGGTGCAACCAACCTCCACTGTGCAACTGAACCACACGCTTTCCACGTTTCACTCGAAAATCAACATGGGAGCCTACGTGAGCTGGGGCCTCAACAGATGCTCAGCCCCAGGGTTGATGTGGCTCTTAGAGCTCCGTCTAACCTAGCCTCTGATGAGGACGCTCAGGTCCAGAAATGGGACATGTTTACCTCAATGCCATAAAACTGGTGCAAGCTGACCTGAGATGTCTATTGCCCAGGGCTCTTTACGGGGCCTGATAGCTGAGAAACTCTACCTGGAATAATGACCTGGAATAATGGTCAGCGGCAACTGGAAGATTTGCACAGGGCAGGACATCCACTGAACTGCTTTGCAACAGCAGGAGTAGAAACTCAGGTTATTGTAAATATGCAGAACATTTTATGAGCCCCACAAATGGGAAAGGTCTAACAGTGGGATCAGTGTGTGAAGCCAGGCCTGTCCTGAGATACTGTGGCTGAGATACTGGTCATCTTATCCCATTTGGCAGTTATAGGTGGTCAGGAATGAGGGAAGGAAGCAATGAGTCACAACATCCAGCCCTACCCATTCTGGGCCCATCCCTACCCAAAGGGCACTCCAGTCTGTTGGTCTGTTGTGAGGAGGATACTTGTGAACAAGGGGGTAAAAATTGTCAGGGATGTCAGAGAAGTAACATTCCTGAGGGCCTCCAGGGAAGGGAGCATAGGGTGAATAAAAGTACATAACAAAATGGTAATATTAACAATAGCTGCTGCCCCCTTGAAGTGCTTGCTCTGTGGCAATCACTGTCCGTACACAACCTTATTGTCATGAAAGCCTTGAGAGGATGATATTATAGTCTTCATTTTAAAGATGAAGATACTGAAGTTCAGAGAAGTTATCACTTACCCAAATCCTCTCAACAAGTAAATGGCAAAACCAAGATTCCAACGCAGACCTCTATGACTCCAAAGTCAGAGATTTTCCACTGTGGGGGAATGGAATGAAACAAAGTGTAGATTCTGACATCAGACAGGGCCCCATTCCACCATTTGCCAGCATATGGCCTTGGACAAGTGACTCAACTTCTCTGTACTTCAGCTTTGTCATCTGTAATATGAGGAGTAGAAGAGAAGGAAATGAGATGATGCTTAGAAAGCACCTGTCACAGTTCCTGGTTAAGGAAAGTGAGTGATAGATTGATGGTGCTGTTATTCTTATTTCAAAACCTTCATTGTGGTAATGGGTCCCCCTACCTTTGGTCAGCTTTGTTGATTTGAAAATCTAATATCCTCACTTTGTGACGAGGGTAGACTTATCTTTTTCCAGTGTTCTTTCCCCGTCTTTTCCATCTCAGTAAATGACATCCTTGCTGTGGACTAAGTTATGTTCCCTCGAAATGTAAATGTTGAAATCCTAACCCCTAATGTGACGCTTGTGGAGACAGGATCTTTAGGAGGTAAGTAAGATGAAATGAGGTCATAAAGATGAGATCCTAATCCTATTGGACTGGTGTTCTTATAAAAAGAGGAAGAGAGGCCGGGCACGGTGGCTCACACCTGTAATCCCAGCACTTTGGGAGGCCGAGGCAGAAGGATCACAAGGTCAGGCAGTCAAGACCATCCTGGCTAACACAGTGAAACCCCGTCTCTACTAAAAATACAAAAAATTAGCTGGGTGTGGTGGCGTGTGCCTGTAGTTCCAGCTACTCGGGAGGCTGAGGCAGGAGAATCGCTTGAACCCGGGAGGCAGAGGTTGCAGTGAGCTGAGATTACACCACTGCACTGCAGCCTGGCAACAGAGTGAAACTCCATCTTAAAAAAAGAAAAAAAAAAGGTAGGGGGAAGAGAGACCAGAGTTCTTTCTCTTTCTATCATTTGAGGATGTAGTGGGAAGGCAGCCACCTGCCAGGCAGAAAGAGAGCCCCCATTAGAAATCCATCCTGCCAAGTCTTTCTTTCAGTTCTGGAGACTTCACAGGTCTTCGAGCTGGTTAGTACAACCACCGTGTGATGAGTTGGGTAAGCCAGAGATCTGGCTGCTGCTCTGATACTTCTAGTTCCCTCATGGTCCCCCATCATCCCATGCCATAGTATATTAGATCATTTCTGTCTCCAAGACATTTCTCTATCTTCTCACTTCTCTTGGTCCTTCAACATTTTTCCTATAGATTTTTTCAAATATCTGTAAGAGTAGAGAAAAAATACTTTATATCAAAGTATTTATCACCAGCTTCAACAATTATCAACATGTGGTGAATCTTGGGTAATCTATTACCTTATCCACTTCTCCACTCCAGGTTATTTTGAAACAAACCCAACACATTGTATAATTTTGCCCATAAATATGTCAGTATATTTCTGTAAAAGATATATACTCAATTTGAAAACATATATACAACTTTAGAAAAACATAACCACCTTACCATTATCGCTTCTAATATTTTAAGTAATTTCTTAAAATAAAGAAATATAAGGTCAGTGTTGATATTTTCATGATTGGCTTGAGAAAAACATATTTTTGTAAAATGTGAATCAGGATTCAAATAAGATTCATATATGGTGATTGGCTGATGTGTCTTAAATCTTTGTTATTTGTTCCTCTATGTCTTTTAATGTCCATCCAATTTCTTAATGAATAATTTGGATCATTTGCCCTGAAGAGCTTTACAGAGTCTGAATTTTGCTGATTTCCTCCCTGTGGGATAGTTTAGCAAGTTCCTGTGTCCTTTGTATTTTCTGTAAATAGGTGTGTGTGTACCTGAGCGTAGAGAAAGAAAGAGAATATTCCATGTGACTACATTTTGTTTGTTCTCTCCTTTGCAGGGATGTGAGGAGTTAGGTATATCTTTTGGTATCTAGAAAGGTTTATATTTTTCTTCTAACTGCTATCCTTAGGTAATGCCCCACTCCCAGTACCAAAATCTGTATTAGTCAGGGTTCTCTACAGGGACAGGACTAATAGGATAGATGTATATATGAAGGGGAGTTTATTAAGGAATATTGACTCACACGATCACAAGGTGAAGTCCTACAATAGGCCATCTGCAAACTGAAGAGCAGGGAAGCCAGTCCGAGTCCCCAAACCTCAAAAGTAGGGAACTGAGAGTGCAGCCTTCAGTCTGTGACCAAAGGCCTGAGAGCCCCTGGCAAACCACTGGTGTAGGTCCAAGAGTCCAAAAGCTGATGAACTTTGAGTCCAGTGTTCGCGAGCAGGAAGTATCCAGCACGGGAGAAAGATGGAGGCCAGAAGACTTAGCAAGTTGGTGCTTTCTATTCCTGCTTTTATGCTGGCAGCTGGTTAGATGGTGCCCATCCAGACTGAGAGTGAGTCAGCCTCTCCCAGTCCACTGACTCAAATGTTAATAATCTCCTTTGGCAACACCCTCACAGACACACCGAGGGACACTTCACATCCTTCAATCCAGTCAAGAAGTTGACACTCAGTATTAACCATCACAGTTACCCTTAGGTTTTGCTTATAAAAATACTTTAATTCCCAACTCCTGATGCTTCTATGGGTCTGTTGATGTATTGGTGAAATTATCTTCATCACCATGCATTTCCATTCTAGTCTCAGTTACTGCTTTTTCTCCTCTGAACAATTGCAATGGTCTCTGAACAGGCCTCCTTGCATCTACTTGGTTTCCTCCAGTCTAGGCTTCACCTGGCAGCCGGACAGATCTTTTCAAACAACGATATTCTTTTTTTTCTTTTGTTATTATTCTTTGTAACAGAGTCTCGCTCTATCGCCCATGCTGGAGTGCAGTGGCATAATCATAGTTCACTGCAGCCTCGACCTCCCAGGCTCAAGGGATCCTCCTGTCTCAGCCTTCGGAGTAGCTAGGACTACTGATGCATACCACTACACTCGGCTAATTTTTAAAAAGTTTTTGTAGAGAAGGGGTCTCCCTATGTTGACAAGGCTGGTCTTGAACCCCTGGGCTCAAGTGGTCTTCCTGCATTGATCTCCCAAAGTGCTGGGATTATAGGCGTGAGCCACTGCACCCAGCCTAAACAATCATATTTTGACACTGTCCTGGGCTTCTCACTGAACTTAGAGTGCAATGCAGATGCCCTGAGAAGGCTTCCACAGCCCTGTGTGGCTCTGCCCTACCCGCTCTGCCAGCAGCTCTCTGAGAGGCTCTCCTCTTCTGTGTCATGATTCACCACTCTGCCTTCTCCCTGTTTCCCACCCCAGGCCCTCTGTGCAGCCTGGTCCTTCTGCCTGGAGCATTTCCACCCAGTATTTGCTTGGCTGGCTCCTTCTGTCTCTGCAGCAATCACCCTGAATAGCTCTTCCTCAGGGCGGCCTACTCTGGCCTCTTCCCCTGTGATATGTCCCTCGCCACTCCTCTCCCGCAGCAACCTCTTTTCCTTCATGGCCTCTGCCATGACTCAGACTGCTAACTTCCATTTGTGTGTATGCTTATTTCGTATTTGCCTTTCAAGGACAGTACATTTGTCCTTGAGTAATCTTACAACTATATTCTTAGCATCTAACATAGGGGTTGAAACACAGGAAATGTTCACTAAAAATTTGATAATCCATTGATCTAAACGACGTGACAAGAGATGGGAGCAGCAGCTGGAATACAAACAGAGCCATGGGAAGGCATGGATTCCAGCCCTTTGGGGAAATTTCTCTTCCCCTGGTCCCTCCTGATGGTGGTAGGGAGGGCTGGCCAGGAACAAGTGTAGGGAGGGCCAGGTGCATGGTGAGGCATGAGGGCTTGGGGGATATACTGGTGTCCACTCTAAGAGGAGGGTATGAGTGCACATAGTTTATTGGGAGGTGAAGGAAACCCCAGGAGGAGAGCGGGTAAGTGGGACAATACCTGGAAGCCTCAATAAGGGAGCCTCATCAAGTCAGCCATCCCTTTGGGCGTGGGGGCTTAGTCCCACAGGGGAGCTCTGGGAGCCAGCATGTCAGAGCTGGGGTAGGGAACAGGGCATTTATCCCCAGACACCTCTGGCCTGCAAACAGATGGCAAAGTGGGCTCAAGTGGACAGAAAAAGTACTCAGGAGAGGATACACGGATGGGGTCAAGTCAGAAGATCTGGGCAGAGCACTGACAGCACCTGCACACCTGGAAACATTTGCTACCTCATGAACCTGGCACTGGGTGATGCAAAATTACCCAGATACCGTCCCTTCCCCTGACTGCAGACAGACATCCTGACAGAGATCAGACAGGTGGCCATGGAAAGAGTTAATCCCATTGCAGGCAGCAGAGGCCTTGCATCCTGCAGATGAGCCTTCTGCGTGTGCAGATGACAGGTCAGGGAAGTCCGCATCTCATGCCCACCTAATCCAGGCTCTTTGGGGTGGGTTAGGGCACCTGCTACATGAAAGAGCGGGATGACAAGAGTGACACAGCACTTTTCCCCTCTCAGACCACTTTCACATCTATGACCTGTTCCTGCCTTACAACCGTTCCAGCAGTGGGTGGGAAGAAATTATCCCCCTCCTTTTATAGAGGAGGGAACTGAGGCAGAAGGGAGAAGTGACTCTGCTGTGGTCTGTCCAGAGCTGGGGAGGGGCAGGCCTGACCCCTTGCCCTAGCTTCTTTCTTGGAGGTGAGCATTTGTGTGGGTGAAGCTCTTTTGCCAAAAGTTATGGGTACAGGGAGGAGAGTTCAGATCCCAGTGAGAATTCTGTGGCACTTTTTCCAAACTGGCCAGGCAGGCGACATTCTTAGGAGCAGCCACAAGATGGCAGAGAGGCCGCACACTGCACATTGGGTTTCCTTGGGGGCCAGGGGAAGCAGCCCAAGATGAGGGTCTGCTGAACATCCCTGAAGACCCTTGAGGATTCCTAGAGGGCTGGCTGGGAGTAAAGGAGGAAATGCACGGGGAAGCGAGAAAGTGGAAATTCTGCCAACTACTTACTGTGTGACCTTGGGCAAGTCACTTGCCCTCTCTGGGCCTCAGGCTCCTCCTTTGTAATCTAGGGTATTTGGACTTACAGCAGAATATTAGTCTTTTCCAGTTCTGGCACTGAAGGAGGTATGACCATGGAGGCACCTTGGTATCTGAGCTCCCCCTCTGGCTGTGAGGCTGGAGGCTGGGAGACAATCAGAGGTGGTTGGAGCATGATCGAGAAAACAGTAGCCTGACTGATGATTTCAGAGCAGGGTGAGGAAGGGACAGGAGGGAGAACTTTGGGAAGACACAGAGCAGAATGTGGGGAGTAAGGAATTAGGCACCCGAGGCAGGGGCTGTATCTGTTCATCCCTCTGTGCATAATTCTCAGCTTCAAGGTTCAGAAAACCACCTTTACTTTGGGTGTCCACCCACTGCACACACATCTTAGCTCATTGGCCTGTTTTCTTTCTTTTATAGCTGCTATCCCTTTCTGAATTTATTTGCTGATTTATGTGCTTATTTCTGTCTCCTCCCCTGGAATGTAAGCTCCATAAAGGCAGGGACTTTGCCTTCTTGTTTATTCTGGATTCTTAGCAACTAGAACAGTTCCTGGGAAAAGCAGTTGCTCAATAGGCAGCTGTTGAATGAATGAATGAATGAATGGACACCTGAATGGTGAAGTAGACAAAGCCCTGAACTGGGAGTCAGAGTGCTGGGGCCTAACCCTAGAAATGTGCTGTGTGATCTTGGGGAAACCTCTTCTCCTTTCTGGGTTTCAGTTTCCTGATTCTTAAAATAAGTTGTTTGAGTTCCCTGATCAAGTGTCTTAAATATTTAGAAGCAGAAGTTCCTTCTCCTCTAATTCTCAAGTCCTAGGGTTCAGTTAATCCAGTCAATCACCCATCATTGTTTACTTTCCCCTCCAAGACCAGCAGCCAGCTGATGAAGAAAGCTCTTGGCAGGGAAGTCTTTCCTCATTCAGTGAACATTCCTGGGTGCCTACTTTGTGTGAGGCTCTGCTCTAGATGCTGGAAGTCCAGAGGAGACCAAGTCAGATGTGCATACTGACCTCTTATATTCTGGTGGGCAAAGGTAAAAAATTGTGGGTCTTCTCCCTTCATTCTTAAAGGTAGAAAAGGCCAAGCTTTAAAGAAGGCAAACACTCTAGGCTCAGAGTTATTCAAAAGGAAGACCCTCTAATATTAGGAAGATGGGGCTTGTGGGACTAGGGCCTCCAGAGATGCCTGTGGACCTGTCTCTAGGGAACATAATGGGTGGGTGAATCTGAGTTTCAGCCCTCACAACCTCTGTTGTGGCTGTCCCAGACCTGGTCACTGGGAAATACAGTCAGGTCTGTGCTTGGTGTGCCCCACCCATCTCATTAGAACATCCCAGCCCTGTGTCCCTTTTCTTCAGTGCTTTGCCTTTGTTGAGGGATTAATCTCAATAGACGAACAGGGTAGAGCCAAGTCATGATGGGCTGAGTATGATTTACCCTCCAAAAAGAGAAGCTGAATTTAATTACCAAGTAAACTCGAAAGAGGTGACTCTAATGGTAAAATTTCAGGCCCATTGACAGGTTTGGGGAGAAAGATAAGCTGTACCTCCTTTAGTCAGTTGCCTGTAATGACCCCAACTTCCCCTCCCCTTGGGCTTGAGCACATAGGTCTCAAAGCTTCTCTAGAAACTCATACTCCAAGTGCAGGCAGAGGCTGCCACATGGGCCTCATCCAGGAGCTTCTTAGGGATGCCCAGCCCCCTCCCCCCACTGCCCCCGCCCAACCAGACCTCCTAAACCTAAACCAGACTTGAAGTTGACTTTAAGGGAACTTGTGTGCACACTTGGATTTGAGAGCACTGGGCTGAAATGCCCCTTGTTCCCCAGAATGATGCCTGTTCCTGTGAACAGTTTGCTTTCCATGGCAACCCCTGCATGACCACTGCCTCTCTCTGCATTCCCTTTGCAGGGCCACACTAGTTTCTCATTAGGAGGCAGAAGAAGGAGAGGCATCAGGATGCCTGGCTAAATAAGAAGGCTGAGACTTGTTATCGTAATGAGCCAAAGAAGCTCCCTGAAGGAGCGGCCCTGTGTGCAGGGTGGGCTGGATAATGGGGTCCTCCTCAGAGGTGGGAATTCTCTCTTCATCAGTCTAGCATTTGTTTCAAAGGAAATTAGGCCATGAAATAGCATTTGCACTGTTCTACTATATATATATATATATATATGTATGTATATAGACAGAGATCTCTCTCTCTCTGTCAGTCACTCACTCTCTCACTCGCTCTATTATGGGTGCTGGATCCCTTCCCTTGGCTCTCTCAGATCCACGCTCCCCCCTCTCCACCCACTCTCTGCCCTTGGAGGCTTGCCTGTGTGGACTGCATCAACCTACTTCCTGCCCTCTGGCTTCCTGATGGCCCAGCCAATGGGAGAAAAGGAGAGTGAGGCCAGCATTCGTGCCCTCCCTGCCAAGCTGCTACATCTCCCTACTGAGGTGACTCTTCTCCCCAGGCAGCGCTCCCACAAGACCTTTAGGCCTTCGAGGTCCTGGCAACTGCTCCCTCCCTCCCCTCACCCCTTCCTGTCGGGGGTGTTAACTGCACCCACTGAGGCTAGCCCCAGGTGTTGCACCCTACCTTGCTGGTTTCCTTAAACCCTGCCCCACACCTTGTAAACTCCTTCTTCAAACTCTCCTCACTTTCCTCCCCCAGTGAGCCATCTATTCCCTGATGGGTTTAATATGCCTGGGAAAAAGACCGGAAGGACATAAACCAAGCTAGAACTGCAGCCACGTTTCCCTTTCTGTTATGACCTGTGTGTCTCTGAGCTTCCAGCGACGCCCGCCGCTTCCTTTCCTTCAGGCCTCATGAATGCTGTAGGCTTTTGGAAAGGGTGGAAGCCAACTGCATTGCATCCCTAAGCATTTGTCTCCTTCCATGTTCCAAGTACAGAAGGGTCCACAGCCCAGCTGGCCCCAGGGGCAGTGGGGTGGGCAGGGCAGGAAGGGTCACTGGGAGGGACTTCAGTCAGCACCATGATGATTCTCCCACTCTGGGATCAGTCTATCCAGAGGCCCCGTCATGGCACCAGACACTGAAATGATGACCTTCTGTGATTCACTCCTCCGGGAAGGGAGACCTTCCAGAGGGTCTTGGTGTAGGCAGCCATCAAGGGCTCTCTTCTGTCCCAACTCCCCTTTTGCTCCCTCCCAGTCTCCCTCCTGCCACCCTCTCTTCACTTAGGCCATTGCCACTTCCTGCTTGCTGCTCCTCAGACACACCAAGCACACGCCCTTCCATTCCTTAGTCTTGTTATTCCCTCTCTGTAGACTGCTATTCTTCCAGACATCCTCAGGGCTTCTCCTCATTGCCTCAGTCTCTGGGCAGATACTACCTTAATCAGAGAGGCCTTCCTTGGCCATCCAAGACACCATTGCCCACTCCCATCACTTTCTGCTAGGCACAGACAAGGCACTCAGCAAAGTTTTGTTAGTGAATGAATGAATGAATGAATGAATGCTCTTTCGGTCACCTTAGGAAGTCAGGACTACATGGGGTGGGAAGTGGCTCCAAACACCTGCCAGCACTCAGTGAGGGGGCTGGTCCCCTCCAGAATTAGTCCGGCATGGCAGTTCCACTTTGCACGTCTGCTAAAAATTATCATGTCCCCACCCAGGCACAAATGTCTAATGCCTATTGATGGAAAAGCCCCGTCTCTGTGAGGGGCCCCTAGAGTCACTCCTAGGAATAGGGCTCTTCCTTTATTTCTGTAGGCACAGGCGTTTTCTAGACCTTGGGAATGCCAACCCCCTTTGCTCAAGTGTGTGGAGTTGCCTGTAGGGATCATGCCCTCAACCGGAAGGCTATGTCCTGAGATAGATTTCTCCAAGAAGAGTTGCAGACCAGGCCACTAATACCTTAGGGAGTTACAGTCATGGGTTCTAATCCTGGCATGGCTATTAACCAGCTGTGTGGGTTTGGGCAAATCACTTTCTCTCTCTAGTTATTAGTGTTTGCATTTCTCAGGGAACTTCAGGCCCTAAAAAATTAGGAATCCAGGGCTCCAGAGTCTGGCTATAGTACCTAGACTTGAATAGCTTAGGAAATAAGCTGGACTTGGAGATGTTCTGTAGTTTGGGGTCTGTCATCATTCCTAATGATTTAGTCCTTCCCAGTCAAAATCTCTCTGCATTATTCCCCAGGACATCCCCCTTCTTTCATTTCCTGCCCTTGCCCCCTTCCAGATCTCCTCTGGGTCTTTGTACATGCTAATCCACCGTCCCCAAATGCTCATCCTTTCTTGCCCTGCAGAGTCTATAGCAGACACATCTGAGGCTCACCTGCCATCCCATCAGCCCTTATTCTTTAAGCACATATACATGGACCCAATGCTTCTTTGTAGCACCTGCACCTCTTTGCCTGCAGGCTCTTCCTGGCTGTTGGAGCCTGCATGGCCACTGTTGGGAATGAATGGCTCTTGTTGGGGACTGATGGGAGTCGTGAATAAGTACCCTAAATATCTGCACTTCAGGGGAGAATTCTAAGGCCCTCGTTGGCCTATTGTTCTAACTCCCACGTTTCCCTAGTAGGATTGAGCCTCATTTACATTTGTTGATAACACACCTTTCATTCAGTGTCTTCCCTCCCTGTCTCATGATTTCATTCCCTACTAATATTTTTGGAAGGTCAGTTCCCAAATAAACCATGTGCACTCCAATCCATCTATTCCTGAAGACTCAGATCCATGGTCACCTTTTGTTGGAAACCTTCCCTGCCTCCCTCAAGTTGGTTGCTCGTGCCTCAGTCTTCTTGTAGCTTTTCTCTCTGTATCCACCCTCTTGGTGGGATTGAAAGGATCCCTTCTGGAGTCAGTCGGTCCCACAGGGTGAAGTCTCCCTGATGTCAGAAACCCATGTCATTTTCCTTTGTGCTTATGTGTCCAATAGGGAAACCGAGCTGCTGCTCTCCTCGTCTAGTCTTCCTGCCTTTCTCAACTGTCCAGCAAGCATCCTGCTACCTTAGCAAAGAGTTCAATCAGTTCCAGATTTCTCTCCCTCTGCTTTAACCCCAGATTAGCCCGGATTCTGTTTATAAACAGCTGCACTTCCTTATAAACACCCTCCAAGTGGACCAGTTGCCCATCAATACTTGGCACAGGAAAACACCCCTGCAGGCCCTTCCACCCACAGTGATGTTTCCTGTCCTAAATCATCTCCATGCAGCTGCCAAGGGCCAGGGAAAGTGCTCCTTTCACTGTCCTGCCCACCTCCTAGGTGCATCTCCTCAGACTCACCTGCCTCCCAGCCCCTAGCTTTTGGCCTTCCTTTCCCGGGAGAGGGCAGGGGAGTATCTTCAGATAGAGAGGTCAGTACAATCCTGACCTTCTGTCTCATTCACATTGAAGATTTTTTGCTTTCCTCTGCTTCAAATTCTCTGAAGGGAAGAGGGAGGGAGGAAGGAGGGGACAATCTGGTTGGATTACATATTGATCTCTTGAGCAAATACATCCCGCCTGGACAGCCTGCTGTCTCAAAAACTGCTCTCCTCTCATTCTGAGAGCCTGGTTATCGACCTGTGATTCATCCAGGTCCCTGTGGGCTCTACCCAAATGGATGGAGCCACTGCCTAGCTCCTGCCCAGGAATTCTGTCTTTCAGGAAGCCAAAGCTTTGCCAGCCTCCTCTGCCTGCCTCATAGAGCCCTAGACTCTAGGTTCAACCTTGCTCCGAAGTCGCCACCCCTCTTCCATTCACCAGGAGAACAGGAACCTGCTGCCTGCTTTGATTCTAAGCGCGAAGGGTGTTCTGCTGTTCCCTATACATCCTGCCATCGCCTAAATGGCTCTTAAATATCCTACACTCCACTGATTTCCAGTACCAAGAGCAAAACCTTTCAAGCTATAGTAGGCATGTTTGTTAACTGAATTGTTAAAGCATTAGTGATCTGCTTTGGGTTGTTGGAGTATTCATTACCTCATAAAATGCAAGTACATTATCTAGGTGCCCTTGATGTATTCCTGTGGTTTCCTTTACCAGGGTAGCAGCTTGCCACCCTGCAGACAGCAGGAATGGCGGGGAGTGAAGCGCAGAACAGGTAGGTGTGGGGAGGGAGGGGGTAGGTGGGAGAAGTGGAAGTAAAGATGAGGCCTCAGGAATGGGAGTGTTTGTGCTGACAGTGGTGGTGGAAGCTGGTAGGGGGTGGGCACCCAGGGCAACCCTCTTCTACTTCACTGCTTTCCCCTGGGGTGGGGGGCTCTGTGCTCCTCCACCAACATTTTCACACCAGCATTGCTGGCATCATCTTTCCCCCTACACAGTACACAAAAATCCTGGTTATCCTCAGACGCCCCAACCCAAAGTCTCCATCCACCAAGTTCCCAGCTCCAGTTCTGCCAGGCCACTTTCCTCTGCCCATTCCTGCCAGGGATAGCAGGTGTCTGGGATGCAGGATCCAGTCCTCACTCTGCCCTTGGCAACATCTCTCTCCCCCATGGCGCTCATGCCATGGTCAGCAGTCTTGGCAGGCTCTTTGAATGGGAAGCTGGGCCCTCCAGCCCGGCCCTGTTTCCAGCCCCCTTTCAGTTATTATCCCTGCCTCAGGCTCGCTCTTAGACCAGAGTTCCCTCCCTCTTCCTCTCTCCCAGACCCCAGATTCTTGGGAAGCCAGGTTTTGTTCTCTTCACAGTGTCCTCAGCTCACCTGTCAGCCCAAGGTGGGAATCTTTTCTGGAGCTCTGGAAGGCCAGCTCCTCCCTGGCATCAGCAGCAGCAGCAGCAGCTCTGTGAAAGGAAGCCCCCTGCAGAGTTAAAAGCCTGCTCAGCCTCGCCCCCCTGTGATGCAGCTAGGGCCGAGCTGTTTTCCTCTTGTAGACAGGTCTGTCTCATGCGTTTAACACCTTTGGAGCCTTTGCCATAGGCTGGGCAGTTACAAGCAAGTATCTCCTTGTGGAATCCTCATAATAACCTGAGAGTAGTGCTCTCATCCCCATTGTGCAATGATCCATCTGGCCCCTGGGCTGCCCTAGTGAGGCACAGAGAGGTTCAGTGACTTGCCCAAGGTCATAGAGCTGGAAATTGGCAGAGCTGGGACTGGAAGCCAGGCCAGGCACCTGGCTCCTGAGTTTCAGCTCTAAGCCTAGGCCATCCTACGCTGACCTCCAAAGCCTATCTGCTCAAATGACTCCAGGCTATTCCACCCCTAATTTGTTAGCACCTGGCTTAGTTTCCCTGGATTAACTCATGCTTTTATCTGTCCTGTCATTTACCATGCATTCACTCAACAAACAACCATCTCCTATGCAGCAGACACTGCTCCCAGTGCTGAGGGCATAGAGAAGTGTTCGTGCCAAGGGAATTGTATTTAAGCTGCAGAGACAATAATAAAACAAGCGTATTATACTTATATGTGTTCTAGATAGTATACTTACTGTATTTAATAAAAAATAAAATGTGGCAGGATGTGATAAGTGTAATAAAAAGATATGGTAGTAGGAGGAGGTAATGAGTCCAGGGAAGGCCTGTCTGAGGCAGTGATATTTGGGCAGAGACCTGAGTGAAGCCAGGCAGGGAGGCTCTGGGTCCAGGAGGGAGCACTGCAGGGAGCAGGGCCTCTCAGTGCCAAGGCCCCAAGAGGGCAAGAGTGGAGTGTGAGGGACCCCCATAGTTGTGGCTAGAAGGGGAGGGAGAACTGGTAGGAGGGCCATTTCCTCAAGGGGACAGGAGAAGGCCGGGGGGCCTGGAGGGAGTTGAGTGGTGGAGAGGCCTCTCTGGGAGCAAGAGAAGAGCTGAGACCTGGAAGAATGAAAAGCCAGCCTTCAGCTTGCTTCTGAGAGATGGGCTGCATTAGAGAAGGGTGCAGTTTTGAAGACTGCCTTTCTCTGTGTCCATACCTACAGATGGGTGGGGAGGGCTGTGGAGGCAGCCTAGCAGTGCTGGGGAAGAGCAAAGAGCGCAGTCCCAGGAGGCCAGCCGGGGACGGGAAGGAGGGGAGGGAGAGAAGCTGGAGCCATAGATATCAGAGATGGAAAAGACTTGCCAGGTCATCGAGTGGGTCCCCTGGGGCCCGTGGAGGAGACACAGCTACAGGAGAAACCCCGCCTGCTCGTTTCATGCTCCGGCTGAGAGCTCGAGCTGGAGATGGGAGCTAGTTGAAATTAGATGGGAATTTATTTAAGGCTTTTAAACATTGCTGCACTCAGAGGGCCTTAAGAGAACCACAGATAGTTCCCTCACAGCCTGCCCTGAAGCCACAGCAGTGACACATCTGGCCCCTGGGCTGCCTCAGTGAGCTTTGGAGGATGGGGGGAAAGAGGCTGCCTCCACCCCCCTCTTGCTCTGTAGCCCTCTCAGCCCGGAATGCCGCTGGCTGGAGTGTCCTGGAGCTGGCAGTGGGCCACGCCTAACCATGTCCCCTGCCTGGTACGTACAGATGTGGAGGACAGCTACCCTGTATCATCTCAGCCATCCTGTTTTCCAGGGGAGGACTGAGTGCTAATGGTGGAGGGTCAGAGGAGGGCAAGGGCTGCTCTCTGGATTCCCCAGCTGAGTCTATCCCAGTGGGCTGGGGCCTTAACAGCCTCTTTCTGGCTTGGGGCCATGATGCAGATGCCTTTACAATGTTCACTTTTTCTAGATATTGTTGACTCACAAATTTCCCTAAGCTTCACCCAGGGTGTTCAGAAACCACTTTGCAAAACATATGAGAAGGCAATGAGAAAATAGTACAAAGACAATCGTGTGCACAGCTATGAGCATAGACTCTGGAGCCCAGGCTGTCTGGGTTCAAATCCCAGGTCCACCCCTTAGAAGTTGTGTGACCTTGAGTCAGTTACTTAACCTCTCTATGCTTCAGCTTCTGAATCTATAAGGTGTGGTTACCAATAATACCCATCCGATAAGGCAGTTGTGAAGATAAAATGTATGAAGGTAATCAAGTGCTCAGATAGGTGCCCGGCATATAGGGAAGGAGTGAAAAATGTTAGCGATGATTTTCATCTGTGTTTCTAATAATCAGTTCCTCGAGGTGGTCCTGATGGAAGCTGGAGAACCACTGTTATACTGACTGTCAATGATGACGATAAAGTTCCTGTCGTCAGCCTACTGAAGGAAGGGTCTTGGAAAGCATTCAGGTGAATATACCATCTATTTGCTATTTACTCATTCATTGGTTCATTCATTCATTCAGCAGACATCTGTTGGGGTACCTTTGAGCCATGGGAATGCAGGCTACTGCATGGCCATTGTTTCTGTGTGCTCACACTCACACAAAAATGTGGACACTCTTGTCCACACACATTTACTTTCACTCATGTCCCGATCTCGAGGAAGCAGCTCTCAGTTCAGAATCAGTCCAGAAGGAGATTCAGCCACGTAAATACCTAGTTCCAGTACGATGCAGCATGCTAATGGAGGTACACAAGCCATTATGGGAAGGAGAGAACAACAAATCCTGTTTGTGGCAACCATAGGGCTGGTGGGATCAGGGAAATCTCCACCAAGGAGGTGATTTTTGAAACAGGAAGAGAAGGTCAGGATCATGGGTACTTATTGGCAGGAGAACCACAGTGGTTAATTAAGAGTGTGGACTCTGGAGCTAGACTGCCTGGGTGTGCATAAGGACCTGCCACTTCCTGGCTGTCTGTTATGTACCCTCTTTGTGCCTCTGTTTTCTCATCTGCAAGATGAGGATAACAAAATACCTCCCTTGTAAGGTTATTTCAAGGATTATATGAGTTTATATATAAAAGGCATTTAGAAGATTGCTTGGTACATAGTAAAGGCTGTATACTGTACATGTAAACTACTGTTATGACTTTACCAGACTATATAACATTTGACTATAAGTCAAATATTGTTATGACTTTACCAGACTATATAACATTTGACTATAAGTAGCAGAACACTCAGTTAATAGTGATTAAAATAAAAGAGGCATTTCTTTGTGCTGTGCAACAAGAAATCTGGGGGTCAGAGGCTGTGGTAGGCAGCCTCTATGATGACTCTCAGTGATCCCCAGCCCCTCTTATTGATGCCAGCCTGTCATTTCTGGGATTAGGCTGTGCCTTCTAACCTGGATACTCCATGGCTATCTCCTAGGTCATCAGCTGCTATGCTATGAACATGCTCAGGCAACTCACAGAGAGGCCCTTGTCATGGGAAACTGAGGCTGCCAGAAAGAAACCACCCAAGTGAGTTTGGCAGCAGATTCTTCAGTCTCAGTCAAGCGTTGAGATGACTGCAGCCTTGACAGACAGCACAACTGCAGCCTCGAGAGAAAGCCTGAGCCAGAGGCACCCAGCTAAGCTGTGCCCAGATTTCTTAACTACAGAACTGGTGATTAATAAATGTTTGCTGTTTTAAACCACTAAGGTTTGGAGTGCTTTATTATGCAGCAATAGGTAATGGATGCAGAGGCCATCAAGGGCTTGTATGGTGGCTCCATGCTGCCTCAATAGGGGCACCACTGGAACCCAGGCCCCTGCTGTCTTTCCATCCCTCTACCTTAGCTTGAGGCTTTCTTTCTCATTGTTCATTCATTCATTCAATCCAGGGCTGCTGCATTTCCAAATGTTACACCTCTTTCTAAACAGGACGAATGTCTAAAGCCAGACAGATGGCATGCTCATGGAGTCTGTCCCTTTTGCACAAGCTTTCCCAGAAGAGCCATCCAACAGCTTCCAGTTTTATCTCATTGGCCAGAAGATTTCTGTGGCCACCCTCATCCCACACTGAATGGAAGGGTGGACCAGATGATTCTAGCATTCCAAATGCTAGATGCCAAAATTCTATCCAGGAACCCAGCAAGGGCAGTTCAGTTAGCATTAAGAGAATGTAGCTTCCTTGAAGGTAGTAACTGTCTAATTTAGCTGTGATTCCCAAAGCCTAGCCTAGCACCTCACAAATAATGTTTATTAAATGAATGAACCAGGTTATAAGCTCTTCAAAGGCAGGGATCATGTTTTCCTTGTGTTTATATCCCTTGTACTTGGCAGGAATGTTAGAGAAAGAGACGATTGCATTATGCTGCACACTGAAGGCAGGGACTATAGCTTACTATCTGCATACCCCCCGTGCCCAACACAGTGCCTGGCACACATGGAGGGGCACAACTGGGTATGTGGAATGGCTTAACTCTTGAGTTGATCAAGAACTCTGGCCTCTTGCCTCCTAATTCATGACAAATGCTTGATCTTGTGGTGCTGTTCGTTAGAAATAGAAAACAGGTACATTACCCTCTTGTTAAGGAACCAGAGTGTTTTCCTCTTTAATGTGCCTGCTCATCCCTAGCTAGAATTGTCACTGCCTGCAAGTTGGAAAATGATTAAAGGCAAGCCTACTACTGTCTCTCTCTGGCTGTACCCTGGGAAACTTCGCCGTGAGCCGGAGTGGGAGAAGGCCGGGTCCTCTAGGACGCCTTGCCCTGGGGAAACTTTGCTGCACTCTTCACGGACTCCAGAGCCAAGGACAGGAAGGCAGGGAATGAAGGCCATTTTTTGAAAGGTAGGTTCTTTCTGGGAGGCAATCAGAGGGTGGTTCTGACCATGATGCCTCTGTTGGGGCATACCTGGGTGTACTCAGAGTGGTCCTAAGAGCAAAGTTTCAGATGCCATTTGCTCCCTGAAACCCCACCTAGTTTTCCTATCTGTGACTGCTCAGCATTCCCTGCTCCATCTGCTTTCTAATCTGACCTTCCAAAATAACTTTCTGAACAGAATAGACAACTTCATACTGAAAAGGAGTTTTGTCATCAAGAAACGTTGGTCAGACCCTAGGAATGTTCTGGGAGTTTGTCATTAGAAAACTACTCATGGAACCACCATCCAATCTTTTCCTAGAGATCTGCAGAGAAGGGAGAACTCTCTTATCTTTTTGTGGTGCCAGGGAAAGCACGAGGTGAACCCTAGAAGGCCTTTCCCTCATCACCTTCCATCCCCAAGAGCCTGATGTTTTTATTTCTTTGCAGAATATTCACTTTATGTGCACTATGAACCTGGTGTGTTCCATGTATGTCACACCATGAACCCCGTGGAACTGTAGAGATGTTTCCCTATCTATCCCAAATGGACAGGAAACACCTTAAGAGTAGGGCCATTTGGGGTTTATTCTATAGCTTCAATGCTTCATAAGCCTTCAGCGATTAAGCAAAGGAATGATGGATCCCTTAGAAACCATTCACATCCATCTCTTCGATTTTTATTTTTCCCCTTGCTTTGTGAATGAGTAAATAGGGTCCCAGGTGTCAAATGAAGACTCAATGTCCTCAGCAGCCAACTGGGAGAAAAAGCAGGATTTTTATATTCATACTGAGTCAGACCCATCATCAAGTTACTGTGAAAAGTGAAAACACACTTGGAGACACACCTGAACATGGATGTACTTCCTGAAATTAAAAGGAAAATGAACAAGACATGCATTTTGGAGAACATGCATTTTGGAGAACTCATATCATTATCCCATTTATTGAAAAAGAAACTGGGGCTCAAGTAGTTGGTATGATTTACCCAAGATCACATTGAGTGCATAGAAGACCTGGGATCAAACCTAGATCATCTGCCTCCAAACTCAGAGCACGCAACTTGCTCTCCTGCCTTTTAGGCAATCTCTAGCAGGATATTCTGTGTGGGGCATTGCGGTAGAACTGTGAGAGTTTCAGAGAACTGTGACACATGAGCCCTACAGTCTAGTAGTACTGATATGAAGGAGGGAAGCCAAATGTCTGTATTATGTTAGTTTCCTACTGGTGCAGTCACCACAAACTTGGTGACTTCAAAGAGCACAGTTTATTACCTGACAGCTCTAGAAGGTAGATGTCTGAAATTCAGGTGTCTGCTGGTTTTGTTCCTTCTGGAGTCTCTGAAAGAAACTGGCTTTCTTTGGCTTTTCAAGTTTCTAGAGGAAGATTATGCTGTGGCTCCTGGACTCTTCTTCACAACTCTGACCTCTGCTTCCATCATCACGTCTCCTTCTCCAATGGATCCTCCTGCCTCATTCTTATAAAGATGCTTGTGATCACATTGGGCCACTCAGACAATCCAGGATCATCTCCCCATCTCAAGACCCTTAATTTAATCACATCTGCAAAGTCTCTTTGCAGGTCCTAAGGATCAGGATGTGGGCATCTTTGGGGGGCATTATTTAGCTGACCACACAAATCTATTGGTGTCAAACCTCAGCACCGAGTAGGCAGTTCAAGGCCGTATCTTATTTTGTCCTTACATCCACCATGTGAGATAGTTATGATGACGATGAGCTCATTTTAAAGATGAGAAACTGATGGGTAAGTGACATGCTTAGGGTCCTATGTAGTTAGTGGCAGAATCAGGTTTCTCAGATGCCAGGGCCTGTACTTTTAGGAATCAGAATAGATGAGTTGGTCTTGAGAAGGGATAGCTGTCAGTAGGGAGGATAATCCTGTCCTGTAAGGCGGGGCTGGATGGTGTGAGACCTGGATGACAAGCCAAGCCACTGGGACATTTAGGACAACCCATTCTGGACACAGAAAATGAAGTGACTATAAGTGGTTTGGTTTTGGGGAGATAACTCAGCTGAGGGCCACTGTGAGTGAGGGACACGGCTTGGAGACCAGGTGGCAGATGCTGGTTTTCTGCTTGTCTCTGCCCTGCTCTACCTGGCCCCACAGGCTGAGACTTCCCAAGGATGAAAACCTGAAGGGCAGAACTCATGCTGAGTCACAGCATCCTGAGACATGCCTGCTTGACACTACTTTGCAAGATTAAACGCCCCAGCAGTAGGCTTCTATCAGCTTCCTGCTTGGTTACCAGCAGTGACATCTTAGATGAATTGGCTCTGTGACCTGGGAGCCGGCTGGGTGTGAGGAAGATAGGAGGGAGTGGCTCTCTTAAGCTGCAAAAGGAAAATTCTTAGCATCTGTTGCATTTTACAGGCCACTGCAGACTCCTTCCCCTCTGGGATGAAAGGAGACCGACCAGGCTGGGACAATCTGCAGGACTGAATCATCATCACCACTTGGTGCCCCTGGTGGTGTGCACCGAATCCCTCTTTGTTGAGAAATCCCAAATCAGACTCTCAGATCCACACCCAAGGACCCTCCTGGAACCGCCTAGACCTGTTTCTGTATTAGCAAAAGGGCCTCCTCATAACAGTACCTCCCTCACTGCTGTTGTGGAGGGTAAATGGGATAGGGCACAAAAGGCCTGGAAGGTGGAAGTGTTGGGTAATCAGTGTCCTTGCTCTTGGGGAGTTCTTCCAAACTTACCCTTGACCCTCTTTGGTAATATCAGTTTCTTCTTGCCTCCATCCTCTCTCCCTTTCTCCTTTCCTTGCTTTCTTCCTTCAGTCTTTCTTTTTTCAGGAAAATTGAAAACATCCAGTTAGTAAATTTTACCCCAAGATTACTCAGGAACTTGAAGCTTCGTACCCAGCCTTGTCTTTTACATATTTTAGGTTGAGTATCCCTAATCTGAAAATCTGAAATGCTCCAAAATTCTAAATTTTTGGAGCATTGACATGATGCTCAAAGAAAATACTCAGTAGAGCATTTTTAATTTCAGATTGTCAGATTACAGACACTCACTGGTAAGTATAATGCAAATATTCCAACATCTGAAAAAATCTGAAATGTGAAACGCTGCTATCCCAAGCATTTTGGAAAAGGAATACTCAACCTGTAGGAGATGTAACCTCTTTCATCTGACCCTAGATACATATTGGACTCATCCATGCTCTTTCATGCCCTCCAAAGGCATGATGTCCCTAAGTGGACACAGAACATCAAGGGACCCAAGGGCACGCATTTCTTTCAGCCTCAGTCTCTTTTAGCTAGGTATCATCTGGCACAGTTCTTGGTTTGGAATAGGGGCTTGATCAATCCTGGTGAAGGGAGGAAGAAAGGGAGAGAAGAGAGGGAGCGAGGGAGGAAAAACAAGCACAGCATGTTGTTGGGTGTGTGTGGCACCCTGTCAAATCTTGCTCTGTAGACCATTTTTGTGCCCTGGGACATATGACAGCTACCGCCATACAGTTCATTTATTTAACAAGCATATATTGAGCACCTGGTACTGTGCTGGGCACTGTGGTGAAACAAAGATAAATAATAAATGTGGCATGCCCTCAGGGTGCCTTCAGTCTAGCAGGGGAGTGAGGATCTGAACACATCATTTTAACTCAGAGAAAGGAAAGAAAGTCGCACTTCCAAGTGAGATGTGTGGATCTGAGCCCCAGGGCTCTAGGCCAGCAACTTGGCACTTTTTCATTATTGATTGGCTTTGCAGGTGTGGTAGTAAAGTAGGAAAAGTGGGTAGGAGGGCCATGTCTGCATTTACTGTCCCACCTGTGATCCACCCTCTTGGTAAAGGACTGGATTGCATCGTTCAACATTATTCAGGAAGTATTGATTATGTGCCTTCAGAGAAGCAGGCAAGGCTCTGCCTGGGATAATAAGCGCCCTCAAAAGCCCCTTGGATTTTTCCCAGGCCATCTGCTTCCTGCCTTTGTGCCTGTGCTCTGTTTCTGTGCCATTAATGCTCATGAGCACACACCCAGAGGTGTACACACACACACACACATGCATGCACACATGCACGTGCACACTATGTCATTACTATTATTTAGGATCTTAAACATTGCAGCCTGAACACAATCTCTTCATGGCTGCCTCTCTTTCCTGCATGGCTGGCCGCCTCCTCCACTCTCTCCCTCTGAGAATCTCACACCTCCACACCTCCCCTCCTCGACTTCCTGTCCTACCAGGCCTCCGCACTGCAGAGAGCCTGTGTGTCTCTTTTTGTTTCTATTTCCTTTTATCTCCATTTTTTTTCTCTCTGCATTTTTATATCTGCTATTGCCTTCCTTTCTGATTCTCCCTGAGTGGTATGTGTGTGTGTGCGTGTGTGTGTGTGTGTGTGTGTGTGTGTGTAAAGAAAGAGAAAGGGAGAGGGAGAGACCATTCTCTTTTGGAGTTTTCTTCCTTGATTTGATTATAGTTTCCTGCTGTAGAATCACAAATGCAACAGAGCCAATTTTAACAGCCACGGAAAAGAGTGATGCATGATTCTTGGCAGGATAGGACCAGGGTATCTGAATGAGGCAACAAAACCCAGCCTGAGTGCCTGAGGGCCTCCCCACAACACGGCCTGCCCCTGCCTACCACATTGGCTGGCTTTTAGGACCACATCTTAGCTTCACAGAGAGAAGGGATACACCAATTTTGGGCCATGGCGATGTCTCTTGGCCCAGGGCCAGGGCTGGAATTTCCCTGTCCTTGAGGGTGTCACAAATCTACGTAGAAGTTGAAGGTTGCTAAGAACCTGGCGGTGTGCTCTGGGCCCTGTAAGGGTAAGTTGGAGGTGCAGAGAGGGAAGACAGGCTGATCTGCATTCACATGGATTACCTCCTTAAGTTAATCCTCCCTGTGCCTCTGAGAAGTCTGGGTCAATTATTATAGGACTAGAAATGAGACCAAAGAAGTTAAATGACACCTCTGAGACCACACAGTTGGTGGGTCATCTGGTAGACCAGATCCAGCTCTGCCTTACTGCTTGTTTCCCAGTCAAAGCGCATGTAGTTTTTTGGGAAGGGAGATGCTAAGACTGGGTACGTATGAACTGACTTTGTATATTGGGGCTGCTGAGATGAAATCTCCTAATGAATTCCAAGTCCTTGCTTGAGGCAAGGGCTTGAGGAGGTCCCAAGATGCTCAGGCTTTGGGTTGTCTATTGAGGGATATGGGTTGTGGAAACCAGATCCTGAAGTCTGTCCCCTCTTAAAGAAACCCTCTGCAGTAAGCTTAAGACTTTTCAATCACAATGTGCATGATGATTCTCTGCTTCTTCTACTTCATTTAAAGGTATCTGCATTTTTAAGTTATGCAAAGGTATATTGAATGCCATCATGCCTCTCTTTTATGCACTGACAGCTTTCTACTGTAAACTTTTTGTGAGAAAGCCCACTTAACCTGGGTGCAGGTAGCATACTTGGGAGCAGCCTACAATGAATAAACAGTGGGGATTGGTAGATAAATATCACAACTTTCTCACCTTGCTGGAAGACAACTCTGAGGCATGAATTACACAGTCTCCAAAAGGTTCTTCTGACATTGACCCCACAGTGGTAACCTGCTCTTTAACCTACCTTCTATGGGTTTCTTCCCTTCCTTGTTTCACTTTCCCACTCTGCTATGAGTTCTCTCTAGGATCATCTCCATATAATCCTCAGATCCTTGAATCAAGCTCTAGTTCTGGGGAACTCAATCTAAGACAGTCACTTTGCAAGGTAAGGGAGTCAGAATTCAAACCCTGTTCTGTCTGACTCCAAAGCCCATGCACCTGTCTTCATCTTACGCTGCTACATAGCTAGTAAAGCTATCCCCACATCTATGCTTACCTTTTGTTATGGATAGACATGCTTTGTACCAAATCTGTTCTTTCTTCCATTATTCAGAAGGCACTTGGTGAAGTTGCAGCAAACTCAGGGGCCCTTATTTACCTTTTGCTGTGCGGGTCCTTTCAGGTATTAGTTTATAGCATGCTCATGAACTATCCGAGTTTAACCAAGTTTCCCATCTCACCAAGCCAGAGTCACTTTCCAGGGTGCAGAAGGAGGCTTTTCTCCTCTGCTAGCCTTGGTCAAGGGTAGATGGGCCAGAAGGATACATCTACTTACCTCCAGGCATGTTAAGCAACTTTTTAAAATTTGTATGAAATGGAAGTAAAATCATGCAGAGAAAAGTAGTGAGTAGTGTTTGCTTGCTCCTCCTGCAGAGGAGGCAAGTTCAAGGGAGAATAGGGAAAGGGGCTGGCTTTCTGCATAAGCTCTTTTTGTCAGCTTTTGTGCCTGGCGGACTTTTAGACCTTGCAGGGAATTTATACTATGTTCCACTTTTGTTATGTCTTTATTTTTCCTTTCAATCAGAATTTCCTATGTTATCAACCAGCTTCAATGGGTGGAATTTTTTTCCTATTGAAAACTGTAGAGGGAGGTGGGGCTCCTGAGGAATCATGGAAGGAGAATGTGGAGGTGGAGGGCACTGTTCTCTGACTGCTTTTACAGCTAGTGAGGCTGGGTAGAAGCTCCAGTCCTTAACCTCCCCATTCCTCCCAGTTCTCCTGACAAAACCCTGCAGAAGAATGCACTCTGGGACAGGAATAAGCCAACTGGACTTCCCTAGGAGATGAAGGAAGGAATAGGCAGTTGTTAGAATGTGAGTGAGGAAGAGTGGTCCAGAGACCAGCAAGGGGGACAGGTGAGATGTGAAGGAACCCACTCTCAAGGCAAGGGGTCCTATCTCCCTTAAGTGAAGGCCTCCACAGAGGTGTCATCAAAGTCCTCTTGGATGGGAAAAAATGAAAATAACTGGGGCAGGGAGAGAAGGGAAGATGATTAGCTTTTTTGTGCATGTGTGAGACTGAAGTCCAAGTTTCATACCCAGGAAAGCCATATCCAACTAACTTCCTACATGCTGCTAACAAGTGTTGCAGATTCCCTTAGCCTAAATCTATATCTATACAGATGCTCCTCGGCTTAGGATGGGTTTATGTCCCAATAAACCCACTGTAAAATAAAAAAATTCTAAGTCAAACTATAGTAGGTCGGGGACCGTCTGTGTCTCTCTCTACTTAGCTGGCTAGCTATACCGCATGTCAGAGTAAATCCTCTTCATGCCAGAGCAGAATTTTATTCATCTGGCCACTGATTGTTGTAAGCCATCAAAATATGTATCCATCAGTTGTCTCACTAATGTAACAACCATTCTCTCCTGGTATTGCTTGACAGTTGACTGATAGAGGCCATCCTCATTTGGGCCCCCAAGAGGTTTAAGAGGGAGAGAGGGATCAATTTTGTCATTCCCATTCACTCAATGCTCTTTGTTTGTTTGTTTGTTTTGAGACAGAGTCTTGCTCTGTTGCCCAGGCTGGAGTGCAGTGGCACGATCTCAGCTCACTGCAACCTCTACCTCCCGGGTTCAAGCAATTCTCCTGCCTCAGCCTCCCAAGTAGCTGGGATTATAGGTACCCACCACCACGCCTGGCTAATTTCTGTATTTTTAGTAGACTCAGGGTTTCACCGTGTTGGCCAGGCTGGTCTTGAACTCCTGACTTCAGGTGATCTGCCCTCCTCGGCCTCCCAAAGTGCTGGGATTACAGATGTGAGCCACTGCACCTGCCTACTTAGTGCTCTTGACCTCTCCTGGGGATATCGTTCTTTCTGCTCCAGCCCGATGCTTCACTGGGAGCAGTGAGTGGGGATGGGACTCCCACTTGGCTAACTACATCAGCCCAGACATCAATCTTGGACACTAGTGGGTGCCAGATGGCCATCAAATCTATTATTCCTTTTCTGCAGATGAGAGAATGGGTGTTGAGGATGGGCGGTGGCTTGCCAGGGTTCCCATCACTCTCATTGGTAGAAATAATCTAGATTCTTGGCTCATGTTCTTTCTATTCTTTCTCTTCATTTATTAAGCCTATTACATGTTGTACTAAGCACTGAGGATGTTACAAGCTAGACAAATGCCCTCTCTTCCCCATGCTTATGATAAAGAGGAGAAGATGGGCAATTAAAGAAGAAGTAACAATATGATGTGATGGGTCCTATGATTAGGGAAGCACAGGATACTCTGGAGTATAGAATGAGGGCTTCTTACCTAGTCTGAGTGTCCACGATTAATGAAGGCTTCCTGGAAGAAATGACATTTAAGCTAAGCTGGAACCTGAATGACGAGCAGGAATTATCTGAAGAATTGGCGATGGGATGATGGGGTTGAGAGAACAATATTCTAGGCAGCACGAACAGCATGGCAACATCTTGGCAATGAGAGAGAACATGATGCAGTTAAGGAATTTTTAACAAGTACAATATGGTTGAAAGATACAGGGCATGCTGGCTGGACATGTGGGGCTAGAAAGACGTAACACAGGAAACTCACCTTCCCATACAGATCCTAAATCTTTTAAGAGCAAAGGCTGTGTCTTTTGTCCCTCTTGTGAATTGAACAGCTCAGGGCTGAACATTAATGTTTAATGTTTGAATGAATTTATGAAGGTAAAAACCATATGCATCTATACAAACTCCTAAAAATGTCCAAGCCTCTCATTATTTGAGTTATGTATTAGCAAAAATACAGTTTCTTAAAAGCACATCGTGTTTGAGGTAGACTCACGTTTTCATCAATATTGGCTCCCTTGAGGTTGGGAAAAGCATCTTCCTGCCTCTCTGAGAATCTTGCCTTTCATCTGGCATTTCTGCCAGGTTCTGGGTGGCTGAATGAAGTCAACCCCCAGCTTTCCCTGTCAGTCTTTACCTGGCTGTTCCTCAAGGTCCCATAAATGGTCACCCCAGTGTGGCTGAGGGTCCTCCAACTCAAGGCTAAAAGCTCAATGAACATTTGGAAATTTGACTTGGGGAAGTCATTGCAGAGAGACGTCAAGCCCAAAGGCGAGGACAGAAAAGGAGCGGATACCAGGAGAAGAATTCACATTAATTATTTATAATTCTTACAGCCATGGATCCATCCATTGCTGGAATACTTGAAAACACACATACACACGCACAAACATGCAAATCCTAATGAATACAGGGTGGGCGTTATTGTCTTAGGTCTCACTTATGGCATGATGCTTTCTCATTCCCCCTTGATATTTTATTCCACATTTTCTGTCATCTCCCCTAATGCAATGATCACGCTGAACTAATCCAAACATCGACTTAATTAATCAACATTTGGCAGTCTATGACTACACGCTGCAGTCCAAATTACTTGTGACAACTTTCTTAATACAAAACCAAAACATCTACTGGGATGCAGTGGCTCTGTCAGCTGGCTGGAGAGCATGACTCTTCAATGTATCTAATATGTTTTAATAAAGTTGAAATAAACCTTTAGTCCCAAGGTATGACAGAGAGAATTTTGCTGCCAGAAAATGTCATTATTTTATTTTTAACTCAATAAATTAAAAATAAAGTACCTTTATGGTATAGATGCACCCTTACTAAGAGCTACCCCTCCAAGAAGACCTTCAGGTCAGGTGCTCAAGCCAACAGAGCCCTTGGTGGCTGGTGCTCTAGCCAGCTAAGAAATTAAATGTAGCCAGGTGGTTCCTTCTAGAAGCTGTGGTTCTCTTTTAGAAACTGACTCCACAATAGGAAGAAGAATCAGAATAATACTTTTTTCTATTTGTTTACTCTTTTATGATTCACAGAATACTCTCATGCACTTGATCTCATTTGATCTTACTGTACCTCTGGGATGTAGGTGAGGGAGAGATTCATTCCTTTGTTCAGCACCAATATTTCTTAAGAGCCTTCTCCATGGTAGGAACTGAGCTACACACCAGAGATTCAGGGGTGAGCAAGATGGACATGGTCCCTGCCAGGATAGATATCTTAATTTATCCCTCCAGGTTTTTTCTCCATCCTCCTCCACCCTGCCCTGTGCCCCGAAGGGTGAACGGTATGAACTGCATCACCTGAGCTTCCTGCCTTCTTGTATCTAGTTGGGTTTAGCCATAGAGGCTGAGACATTTATCCCCCTCGTTTCTTCCCTGCTGCTCTGTAGGCTGGCAGGGTCTGCGTTCCTCTTCCCAAGGCCACAGCTGCTATTTCTCCTAGAATACCCACAGATCTCCCTAGTTTCTAGGAACCACTCTCTCTTCTTTCCCCTTCAAGCCTTGGAGAAGTAATGGCTTCACACTCTTGCTACCCCTGGGGTGCCTCAAACTCTCAAATCAATTACCCCATTAAAATACACCATGTGTTTCCTTCCAGTCTGACTGGTATACCTAGCTTTACATAACATGTAGCCTGATGGCCATCTACCAAATAATGACACAAATAATTAGTTGCAACTGTGATACAATGCTTTTCAAGAGTATGTAACAGGGCATCTGACTTACTCTGGGGGAATTAGGAGTAAGTATCAGCACAGGTGATATTTAAGCTGAGCACAGAGGGCTGAGGAGGAATTAGTCATGAGGATTTTAGGTTGGTGAGAGGTGGGGTGGTATTCCAGGCAGGCAGAATAATATGTTTGAAACCTGCAGTCTGGAAGAAACTGCTTCTCATGGGAAGAAGTCTAGGAGGCCATGAGTGTGAATGGAGTGTTTCTAAAAAGGCAAGATGTGATTATGGCTAAAAGTCCTGAGGATCAGCAGGGAGAGGAGGGGAGGGGCCAGGAGACTGGAATTCAGGGCTGGGACCAGGGTGAGGCAAGCAAGGGCTGAGGACACAAATGATAAGGAGGTGCTCATTCTCAGGGTCATGCAAATGTGGGGTCAGCCCTGAAAGTGAGGCCTCTTTAAATTTTGTGCCCTTTAAATTTTGTGCCTAGGGGTGGAGATGGGGACATGAACCAAGAAACATGGTCCGAGCAGAGGGGTGAATTTGAGTGGGGATTAACTAGACAGGAAAATACTCCCGAGGAAGTCATGGGCAGCATTACTTTGCTGACACTGACAAGTGACAGTACACATGGGGTACTGCCAACCAGGGAAGCTCACCCAAGCCTTTGGTGAGCCAGAGTTTTTACTGGTACTCCATCACATGCTGCCCATGTGGCTGACATTTGGAGGTGGAAATGATACCACGTGGCCTAGATCTCTGATCACAAATCACATTGTTAGACTGTTCAGGTAACCAGAGCCCCAGGCAAACAAAGACACTCCTATTAGGCATGGTGTTCCAAGTGTCTAGAGATACCTCCCAGTAGCTGAAGGCAAAGGCCAGGCCTCTCCTTGGGTGAAATTAATTCTTCACTACACATCAGCCCTTTGCAGAAAACCACTATGTGTCTGTTGACAGTTCTGCAGGCCTATGGAAAGCTTTACTTAGATGGTGAGCTCTAAGCCTGGCTGGCTTGCATCAGTTTCTCAGACGGTAGATAAAAAAATCTAGGGGTGTTTAATCTAATTAAAAAAACCTGCTACTTGGGAGGCTGAGGCAGGAGAATTGCTTGAACCCAGGAGGCAGAGGTTGCAGTGAGCCAAGATCATGCCACTGCACTTCAGCCTGGGTGATAGAGCAAGACTCTGTCTCAAAAAAAACAAAAACAAAAAACAAAAAACAAAAACCAAATTCATTGTTCTGTTTTATTAGAAAATTAACAAATGCACGTAGTAAATATTTTTAACGATACAGAAATGTATAATAAAGTCCTTATCATATAATCTAGAAGTATATGTAAAACAGAAAGTTCCCCATAATTCAAGAAATGTTTCTAAAAATGTAGTTTATATTTTTCCATCTTTACTAGGCATATTTTAACATATAAATATGTAATTACTTTTAACAAAAATGATATACAGTACATCGTGCTCTGCAACTTGCTTTTCCCCCTTAACAGTATATCACAGATACAGCATAGACATGTCACCGCATAGAAATAAACCTTATTTTTTTTCAGTGGTTGAATAGTATTCCAGTATGAGTGTACCACAGTTTATTTAGCCAATCACTTATTGACAGGCATGTAGGTTACCGCCTTTTTTTTTTTTTTTTACGGCAATCAATGTTGCAGTGAACATCTTTGAGCATTATGATTTGTTTCTGTGTTAATATTTCTGGAGCGTAAATTCTTAAAAGAGAAATTGCTAGATTAAAGGATATGTGTAGTTTACAATTTAATATATCTTGCTAAACTGTACTCTGAAAAGCTAAACTAATTTATCCTCACATTAACTATGTATGGGAGTGCTGGATGTCTGTCACCCTTGTCAAATGAGTTGTTATTAATCCTTTTCATACGTCCAAATGTTTAAAGGGAAACCAGTGTTACACTCTTCCTTTTCCTTGGGGGATGGCTGCTGCTTCCTTTTTGATGACACAGGCCAGCCCCCATGGAGGGGGACAGCTCTCCTTGCCGCAGCCCCAAACGGCGAGGATTGGGTGGTGAGAAATGTGGGTGGCCCAGGAAAGCTGGACTCTGGAGTAAAGCTGATTTAATATTTTGTGCATGTGGACACTGGATTTAAGATTGAACATTTGAAACTTACTTTCCTGGGCTTGCCTAATGCCCCTATGATTTTTTCCTGTTAGATGTATTAGTTTTCTATGCACATGTAACACATTATCACAAATTTAGTGGCTAAAACCAACATGAACTTATTATCTCAAAGCTTCTGTAAGTCAGAAGTCCAAGAACGGCATAGCTCCATTTTCAGTTTAGGGTTTCATTGGGCTGAAATCAAGATGTCAGTTGGGGCTGCAATCCCATCTGAGACTCAGGTCCTCTGCCAAGCCTTTTCATGTTGTTGGCATAATTCAGTTCCTGGTGTTCTTACAACTGAGAGTCCCATTTTCCTCTTGGCTGTTAGTTGTAGGCCACTCTCAGCTCCTGGAGGCTGACCCCAGGTCCTGGCCAGTGGGCCTCTCACGATATGGCAGCTTGCTCCTTCAAGGCCGGCAGGAGAATCTCTCTCTAGTTGGCAATGAGTGTCTTATACAATAATTGTGAAAGTGAGTATGTGACCACTTTTGCCATATAATGTAATCTAATCACTAGAGGGACCATCCCAGCATATTCCCAGGTCCTGTCAACACTCAAGGAGAGGGGGGTGAACACAGGGCTGGGAACGTGGGGGGACATCTTACATTTCTGCCTACCACCGTAGCTGACAATATGTATGAATTCTGTGTGTGGGGGGCTTCAGGGGAGGGGCTGGAGCTCAGCTCTTATCCCAGGTTCACTGTCCTTTGGCGGGGTAAATATAGTCCTCTTCTATTTTTGTCTTCTGTGTAGTTAAAATGGAAAGTTCTTGATAGGCCATGCAATAACATGAACTTGGGGTGTCTGTTGACCCTCTCTGCTTTTTCTGCTTCTTCCTCTTCACTTAAAGGGATAGGCCCAGGTGGCCATGATTATTCTACTTGGGTGGGTGTGAGACCTGAGACAGAATAATCAATTTGTCCTTCCTGAAAATTTGGAGCTAGTATTGAGGAAGTGCATTAGTTAGGTGGTTGGAGGTACTGAGGTTGGCAGCTTCCCAGGCTGGGATAGAGACTTTATGCCACATGCATAGAGATAAAGGAATTCAGCCAGGAGGGAGAAAAAAAAAAAAACAACAAAACTGAAGCCAATAGGTAAAGAGAAGTGATGATAGAACAACCAACTATTTTAGCTTGCTCAAGACGCAAGACTTTCAGCGCTAAAATCAGAACATCTCAGGCAACCCAGAATCAGCTGGTCACCCAAAGTAGAGAAGAGTGACCTGTGATGCCCAAGAGGAACTTCCTTGAATCTGAATTCTCCCCAGTGCCTATTCCTGGTCCTGGGAGGCTGCCTGGATTTCTTGCCCTGACTCTCATGTGGACCTCCCTGTAACTTCCTGATTCTATTTTGTCTAAAGTGGTCTGGAAGCTTAACTTCCAGGAAGATCGCACTTTGTCATTAGAGTGAGCCCAGCTAACTGAATACTCCCCAATGACATGAGAAGATGGGATGTGTCACTTCCAGTCCCAGGCAGCTAACACCCAGTGACTGTGCTTCACGCACTCCCCCCTCATCCTGTGGCTGTGAGTGAGGAACTCAGGAATGCACAACCCAGATCCCCAATCTCAGTGGAGGGAGAGCTGCTGAGGAGGACTGTGCCACCCTTCTGGGGCTTCACGTGAGAGAGAAATCAAGCTTTTTGCATTTGGCCACTGAGATTTCAAGGTTTATTTGTCCTCAAGCTGAGTCTCCTGCCTAATATAGTGGATTTCTTTTAATCTTAACCAAAAAAGCTTTTACTATGACAACTTGAGTCATGAGGAGTCTACTGAAAATATCCTCAGTTTTTGAACACCTGGGAAAGTTCTTATTTGATCACTTACAGAATGATCAGAAATGTTCAGTCCACATTCAAGGGCAGGATTCAGGATCCAGGGTGCAGAGCAGGACTTGAGAGATTGCAGTTGACTTTGCTGAGGTTTCTACCTCACCTGCAAGCTGGCTCTAGTCCACCAGCAAGATAACAGCGGTGTGGATCTAGGCAGGAAACTCTTGTGGCCAGAGCAGGTTTGTTAGCACAGTTGCACTTGGGTCAAATGAAGAGACCAGACTCAGGGATCTGAGGACAGGACCAGGCACAGGTGAACTCCTGAGAACTGCCCAACCTGGCAGCAGGAACCCTAGGAACTACCCACCCATAATGATCTGCTTAGGGAAGGCAAGCTTGGTTCCCAGGCCATAATGCTTACAGCAGACAAATTCCTAGAAAGTCACAAATTACTAAAACTGGCTAGAGATTAAATAGAAAATCTGAACAGATCTATACAAATAAAGAGACTAAATTAGTAATAAAAAACCTTCCAACAAACAAAAGTGCATGACCAGACAGCTTCATTGATGAATTCTAGCAAACATTTGAAGAATGAACACCAATCCTTTTCAAATTCTTCCAAAAACATAGAGGAGAAACAATTCCTAACTCATCCTGTGAGGCCAGTATCATCCTGATACAAAGCCACACAACGCCAGTGGTGTCTCACTGGTGGAGAATCACAAGGCTGTGGCCTGCTGGGGGCCCAGTTTCCAGCCCACCCAACACAATGAAGTGGAGACGCTGGGCTGGATCAGGGTCTGGGACAACCAGCTCTGTCCCCTCCTAAGTCACTGGCCAATCCCAGCCTTTACTGAAAAATGTCTCCTTTGACCTTCCCTCCTGCCTCTCTTAGTCACCCAGCCCATTACCTCACACACTCAGTGGGCAAGAATTCCTCCCTATGCTGAGCCAATATCCTTCCTGTTGCAGGTTCATCCTCCTATCCCCGCCCAGGCCTTCTCACACTTTCCAATGCATCGGATCACCTGGGGATCTGGTTAAAATGCAGACAGATTTAGTAGTTCCAGGCTAGGGTATGAGACTGCTTTTCTAACAAACCTTCCAGTAGTATCTATGCTTCTGCTCCTGGAGCAAGATTTTGAGTAGCAGGGGTCTAAAGTACCCATCCCAGGAGCACCTTTTGAGCCCAACTCACATGGCTATCTCAGGGAGTTCAGGGAATCATCCCCAGGTAGAAAACCTTGGAAAGCAGGACTGTTCCACCTGCATCGGGGGGACTCAGGAGCCCCTGGCTTCTTTTAGGGCAAAGAGGCCACTGCACACCTGCATACCCCCACTACAGCATACATACTGCAACATGCCCAACATCTCCACATACCCCCTCATACATGCTACAACATCCTTAACACCTCTACGTGCCCCTACACATGCATGCGTGTGCACGCATGCACACACATACACACACACAGAAACACAGAAGAATAAGTCCTGGTGGCTCACAAGACCATGGTTTGAGTCCAAGGCACCTTCTAAATCAAAATGCTTCTAAACAGAAGACAACCTTTTGGCTCAGGAAGGGCTGGAGCACTTGGTAGTTCAGACAGAAGTGGTGAAGGCCAACAGAGGCTGGTGGAGACACCACAGAGGAGACCCTGATGGGCCAGAGAGCTTGTCGTTAGATCTGGAAGGAAAGCAGAGTAGAGTCAGGGAGGTGGAAGTGGGGCCTCTGGCTTCTGGATGGTGCTGATGGCTGCCAGAGGCTGCTGTGGTAATAACGGCCAAGGTACAGGGCCTGCTACAATCTCCAAAGCATTCCCACACTTCATCCTCTCAGGAGGCACCATGATCCTGACTTTACAGATGAGGATATGACAGTCCTTGGTGCTAGGTGACTTGCTTCAGGAGACACCGATCCAACGGGAGCCACCCAGAAACCACATTTCTGTTGCCTGAGCCAGCTCAGAAGCTGGTCGGGGGACACTGAGAAGTCCTGTGCATTGAGGCCCCCCTCTGAACAAGGAAGAGAATATGAGGGTAAAAGGGGTGGGTTGTGGGGTCTTCTGCTGAAACTGTGGTCCCTGGGGAAACAAGGAGAAGCCCTCTATTTCTCAGTGGGGAAGACAACTTGGGTGACAGGGTGATGGAAAATATCAGCACAGCTGTAGCTCCAGCCCCACCTTTCCATTTGGAGAGGGCCGGGCAATGTGCAGAACAGACATATGAATGGGTTTTAAAAATACCACTGCCCTGAGCATGCACTTGGGGGAATTATGACATTCAGGGCAATTGGAGAGAATCCATCACTGTCCCAGGGAACATGCTCACTGCATGAGGGATGCTCTCAGCTCTCTCTGGGCCTAACACACACAAGCTCAGACATATACATACATACGTATACAAACACACACAAATACACACACACGTGGTCAGCCACAGACACACATATATAGACATACACACAGATAACAGACACGGACACTGACACATACACCCAGACACATACGACACACACACACTCGGATACCCACGGACACACATATACAGATATATACACAGACAAACATAGACACACACAGACACTGACACATACACACACATATACACATGTACACAATTACACATACACACAAATACACACACAGACACACACAAACACAGACATATACATACACATGCATACATATACACATACACATATATACACATATACAAGGAAACCCACAGACACACATATACAGACAGGCACACATGCACATGCAGACACAGACACATACATTCACATGCGTACATATACACATACACATATACACACAAACATACACATCCATATCCACACAGACACATACAGACACATGTACAGATATACACATGCACATAGACACACATTATATATACACATACACACATATATACACATCAGACATACACATATGCATACACAACACAACCTCCCCTCCATCCCTATTCCCTATATCCCTATTCTCCACTCCCCCCAACCTCAACACATAAAGACCCACAGAAGAATAGTGGCCCACAAGACCATGGATGCTGGGGGCAAACCAGTGTCTCACCTGAAAACGGAAAGAAATCTCCCGTTGTCAAATTTCCTTCCAGCCAAACCAGATCATGCAAGCGCTGGGCTTGGATCCAGAGCCCCCACTCTTACTAGCAGTGTGCGATCGGGTAAGGCCTTTGATCTCTCTGAGAGTAGGTTTCCCCATCTGGAATATAGGCAGGATCGTCCCTGCAGAGCTGATATAAGGCTTAGTTGAAGTAACACGGGAAAGGGCTCAGGAAACTGTAAGGTATGGCACTGTATTACAATGGAAAGCCAACAGCGACAAATGCAAGAGTGCACTGCAGACATTGTTCTTGGGAACACATGCCAGAATCCTGGGGGATATGCAGTGCTTGCATGGCCGTGCCTGTTGGTGGACCCTTCTTAGAAGAATGCTGTGTTCTTTGCATTCCAGTCTGGCCACTTGACATAGAGGAGTATAACCCCCACTCTGCTGTGCCTATTCTCTCTGCAGCTTTCCTTCCAGAGGCAAGTACCAGGCAGGTGTTGTCACACTGCTCTCAGGATTACACTAATTATATTTTTATCTCCTAGGCTGGGATGCCCGGCATCTTCAACCAGTGTGGCTCCCACTCTTCGGCTTTCCCGACTGGCTTTCCTCCTGAAGACACAGCCTGTTGTTAAATTGTTACCAGGGTCCCAGGGATTCTGTTCTGAGAAAGGGACAAAAGAGAGCTAATATAAATCCCCAGGAGTGCTCACAGGCTGCCTGCAATCTCATCTGCTTATTCACTCCACCAACATGGTATGTTGGCATGGAGCATCTGCTACATGCCAAGCTCTGCACTGGGCTGGGGGATGCTGAGATGGAAAGACCTAGTCCTAACTCTCCAGGAGCACCCAGGCTGGAGGAGGCAGAAGTGGAGTATGTGAGTGGTATAATAAACAGAGAAGAATCACAGTGGGCAGCAGCATCACTACAAGGGGCTTCACAGAGGAGGCAATGATGGAGTAGAGGCTGAAAGGGTGAGTAGGACTGTGTCAGCTATAAAAAGATTCTGGGAGCAAAGAGGGAACTTGGAGGAAGAAGGAACAGCATGTGCAAAGGCAAGCAGGTGTAAGGGAATGGCAGGAAGCTTGGTGTGGCTGGAGAACCAGGTCTGTAGGGGGTGCTGATGTTCTAATGCTTACATGGCCAATTGTCTTACATGTATCTGTCCTGTTCCTCAACTAGACTCCTTGAAGGCGGAGACTGTATATTTTTATTCAATTCTATGTGATTTGATAAACTTTTACTAAGATGATGTTGTATGCAGGGTACTGAGTTATTTCCTAAAGAGACTCTTGACCTAGTCTTTAACCTCCTGCCCTAAAGGGGATCCCAGCCTAGGAGACCAACACACTCACTCAGAACCACACAGCAAGGCAGGATGCACAGGAGCCCAAGTGGAGACACTGAGGGTTCGGGGAGTTTGAGGGTGGAGTGGAAAGAGATTGATGCCAACTAGAAGGGATCAGGAAAAGTTTATGGAGGAGGTGGTGTTGAGCTGGCTCTTAAATGTCAATGGGGAAGATGGTGGGAAGTTTATCTTTACAAGTGGAAGGCCAGCATATGTGAAGTCTCAAGATTTGAAAAATGCAGGTCAGTTCTGGAATAATGATGAGGCTCCTGTAGCAGTGATGTTGGGCATATGGGTTGTGAACATGAGTGTGTGTTCATGTAGGATGGGAAGGGAGTCAGGAAGCAGCTAGCAACAGCTACCCCTATATAATATTTATGTGGGCTGGCCTCTTACATATTACATATATTTGCACGGTTTACATATATTACCTTACATAGTTTTTATAGCACCAAGAGGTAGATTATATTATATTCTTCAAATAATTTGATTCACAGAGAGACAAAATAATTTTCTTAGGTCATGCAGCTAGAAAGCAGCAGAGCAAGAATTTGAACTTAGCCAGACTAGCTCCAGAGTCTGCTCTGAACACTACACTTCTTCTCAGATGGTGATGATATGTGGCAGGTACTGTTGAGTGCCTGCCCCCTGCCATTCCCTTCTTCTTGCTGGCAGAACCCTGAGTTTGTTTGAGTGTCCACCTCTCCCCAAGACTCTAGGGTAAATCTCAATTTAAGTCAATTCTGGTAACCCCATTTCCCTTGCCCGTCATTGGTGAAGAAAGTGACATGTGGCCGAATCTTGACCAATGAGAGGAAAGAATTCTTCTGGGAGGCTTTGGAGAAAATGTTCTTCACTAACAAAAAGGACAACCGGGAGGAAATGGCTCATCTTCTGTGGTGTGACTTTATGTCTTGAAGTGAGCCCTTGAACTGCAGCAGTTGTCTTATGATTAGGAGGGGAGCTCACCAACATGCTGATGATGTGAATCAAAAAGACACAGACAGCCTGGGATAACAGATTGAGCCACTAAGTGTACCAACTTTGGCAGTCCCCCTACTCTGGGCGCCCTGTGGTGCCAGATCATTAACCTTCCTGGTTGAAGCCAGCTAAGGTGAAGGTCTCTGTTACTTGCAGCCCAAAGCATCCTCTGATGCTTAAGGACATAGGCCACCAAGGGGTTTCCTCACAGAGTCTAGCATGGTGTCTTATACCCACATAGCAGCAGCTGGGGAGACAGGACCCTTCAGGATCCCCATAAATCACAGATCACAGGTAGACACTCCAATCCAGTCCTAGATAGGGCTCACCACCCTACAACAAAAGTCAGTGATTGAGGGTGATATGGTTTGGCCTTCTCCCCACCCAAATCTCATCTTGAATTCCCCCATGTGGTGGGAGGGACCCAGTGGGAGGTAATTGAATCATGGTGACAGGTCTTTCCTGATAGTGAATAAGTCTCATGAGATCTGATGGTTTTAAAAAGAGGAGTTCCCCTGCACAAGCTCTCTCTCTTTTCCTGTGCCACCATCCACATAAGATGTGACTTGCTCCACCTTGCCTTCCACCATGATTGTGAGGCTTCCCCAGCCACGTGGAACTGTAAGTCCAGTTAAACCTCTTTCTTTTGTAAATTGCCCAGTCTCAGGTATGTCTTTATCAGCAGTGTGAAAACAAACTAATACAGAGGGGCTGGGGGAAGAGAGCTGGTAGCCAGCAGTCTTGGGCTCTTGATGTAGCTCCACCCTCAACTTGCTGTTGACCTTGGGGGAGTCATGCCCTTCTCTGAGTCTTGGCTTCATTATCTGTCAAGTGAGTGGGTGCAACTAGATATTCTTTTAGGGCCCTTCCAGTTCTTTGATTTTCTGATGAATTATCATCTGTCTAAACCCATTAAGCTGCCTTTACTAAAAAAAATAAAATGGATGGTGATGGCTGAAGTTGGGGGTAATAAATGATAAATTTAGTCTAGTGACTGCCTTTGTGCTACCAAGACTGGCTGAGAAAAATGTTTTCTCTGCTGAAATGGAGAAGGAGTTAGAACTGTCCCATTTTCATAGGGAAGAGGGAGAGGGGTGATGAAGAGATAGTGGAATTTGAGGCAACTTCCCACAGTGCTTGCATGGTGAACAAGCTCTGGGGACCACAGAGAGAATACTGTTCCCTTCATAATAGGGTAAGGGCAGGAGTGGGACGGGCAGACATCCAACAGCCAGCTTTCTGATCCCTCCTGATAAAGCATCCTGGAGATGGAACAGCATCACCAACTAACTGCAGCTAGAAGTGCTAGATTGCTTTAGGCGGAACATCTGCCTCACATTTGTTTCCAAAGCCTCCACTAGGCTACATTTCAAGATATAAAATATTTCTTCAGAGTTTCTTTCTGATCTTTCTTTTGTTCCCTGCCCTTACCTACTTCTTGGACTCAGCTGGCTGAGTTTGCTTTTTGGATGCTGGGTGCACCCCTCACCCATTCCCACCGTGTCATTCTGCTCTGGATATTCCACCCAGCCCCATCCTTCCTCGACATGCTCTGAAATGGCCTTTTCCCATTTAAAATCCTAATCCACCCACATCTCTGTTTTCCAAAGTGGATCAATATCAGATACATGTCAGAAAGGCAATCTAACTTAACAAATTCACACTGAATTATGAATGACTGCCAGCTTTTTGCTAAAACCACCTTTTTCTTTCATTTATTTCTTTTCCCCTACTCCTTCACCCCCTTCCTTCTTTTCTTCCCTTTACAATAGAAAGTTTACTTAATTGAATTGACCTTTAATTGTCAAAAATGTTGAGTATCATTACAAAAGTGAAAAGACCACTTTCTGGCAGAGCAAAAGAAATTTCAGTGGAGGTAGGCATTGGAACATGTATTCTACTTTGTCTTTTATGTGGCTGTTTTTTTGTTAACCTCCTACACAGTGTATAAACCTGGCTTCCCAAGGCTACAGGTCCAACGTGCTTAACCTGAGAATGTTAAAAATATGCTAAAGTTGACATACACACTGGTCTGGAGGTGGAAGAAAATGGAATTGGGTGACTGTCATAGTCTCTGTATCATGAAGGAAAAAGGGACTAAAACATGGGAGACCCGACTTACCTAGGCTGTACTGAGATTTGGATCACAATCAGCCAGCCACTATCCTCAACGATTTGTGTGTATTAACTCATTAATCCTCTCAAAGAAATTAGTGTGGTAGACACAATTATCAGTCCCATTTTACAGGTGAGAAAACTGAACCACAGAGAGTTAAGAACCATCTCTAGGTCACAGAGTAGCACAGCCAGGTTTGGAAGCCAGTGTGACTCTAGGGTCTGTACTTATGACTCTCTGGCCCTTTGAAACCTATAATATGCATGGAATTTGTCCTTTACATCCTTAACTATGTGCTGGCTTATGGTGGTTTGGAGTCCTGCCTTTGTCTAAACCTTATCCTGTATTTTCCATCAAAGTGGCCTATCCCATGTTCTATTCCTCCTGTTTCATCAGATGGAAATGTAATTAACCAATATCAAGGTATAAAAATGAATATAATTAAAAGCTTCTGCACAGAAAAATAAACAATCAACAGAGTAAACAAGTAACCTACAGAATGGGAAAAAATATTTGCAAAGTGTGCATCCAACAAAGGGCTAATATCCAGAATCTACAAGGAACTCAAACAACTCAACAAGATAAAAACAAAGAACCCTATTAAAAAGTAGGCAAAGGACATGAACATTTTTCAAAAGATATATAAGTGACCAACAAACATATGACAAATGCTCAACATCACTAATCATCAGAGAAATGCAAATGAAAACCACAAGATACCATGATATACAAGTCAGAATGGCTATTACTAAAAAGATAAAAAACAACAGATGTTGGTGAGAATTCAGAGAAAAGGGAATGCTTATTTATACACTGTTGGTAGGAGCATGAATTAGTACAACCTTTATGGGAAACAGTATGGAGATTTCTCAAAGAACTAAAAATAGAACTACCATTCAATCTAGCATCTCACTACTGGGTATAAACCCAAAGTAAAAGAAATAATTATATCAAAAAGATACCTTCACTTGTATGTTTATTGCAATGGTATTCACAGTAGCAAAGATGTGGAATCAACCTAAGTATGAATTAACAGAGGTTTAGATGAAGAAAATGTGGTATATATATATAACATGGAGTATTACTCATCCATAAGAATGAATGAAATCATGTATTTTGCAGCAATATGGATGGTACTGGAAGCCATTATCCTAATGAAATAACTGAGAAACAGAAAGTCAAATACTGCATGTTCTCACTTATGAGTGAGAGCTAAACAATGGGCACACATGGACATACAGAGTAGAATGCTAGACATTGGAGACCCCAAAATATGGGAAGATGGGAGGGGGTGAGGGTTGAAAAATTACCTGTTGGGTACAATGTTCACAATTCAGGTGATGAGTACACTAAAAGCCCAGACTTCACCAATATACAATACACGCATGTAAGAAGTCTGCACTTGTAACCCCTAAATATATAAAAATTAAAAAATTAAAAAGTCACTGCCATACTTCAGTTAGTGAATAAACATTTTCTGCTTGCTTGCTTCATGTCTAGATGCAGTGCAGAGTAAAAACATCAACGACATAAGGTCCCTCCCTCAAGGCGGCCATAGTCAAGCTTGAAAGATGAATGTAAATACCTAGCATGCTGGATAGAAAGGGATGTGAATCACAGGATAGGTAAGACAAAAACAAATAAGGAAGAGCGAGAGATTACAGCAGCCTGGGGGTCTGCTCTGGAGGGGGATGATGTAGCTTTGAGCATGACTTTGAAAGCTGAGCAACCCCATGGACAAAGACAGCAGGAGCAAAGGCCTAGAGATGGAAAGGCATGAGAAGATTTGAAGGTTGGAAAATGCCCCTGTTAGGTCAGGGCAGTGGGACTAGGAAGCAGAGCAGCTGGCAGGGAGTAGGAGTTGGGTTTTGCCAAAACGAAAGTTTGGGTACAGACCGCAGACCGAGGGTTGGCTTTTGCCCTTTAAGTGTCATATTCAAAACTGTGCCATTATGTTTTGATGACAGCACTTTAGATCTTTACATCTTTGATTCTCAGACTGAATTGCCCAACTACCTGGGGCGGAAGGTACCCAGCAAAGTGCTGGAAAGACCAAAGGTCTTTGTACATCTTCTTGGAGCAATATTTTTATTTCATAGGTACTATTTTAAAACATTGCTTTCATATGAAAACAAATATGGGTAAATTATGGCATAGAATACAATTTGCTATCATTTCTCAGCTAAAACAGGAGAGCCTTTAGATGGATCATTTTGGGCTGCAATCTGAAGGAAGTGGTAGTCAAAATATTTAACCACCAATAGGAGCAGCAACCAATAACAACTGGAGCAGGGTCTTGGAGGACCCTTGCAACACCAGAGATTAACTCTTTAATAGCTGGACTGAGAGGAGTACTGGAGCCCCAAGGGAGGAGCTGGGAGAGCAGCCAAGGAAGGAACTGGGGAGCTCTGGACTGCATCCATTTACCAACTGGTAGGGAAGTATTTAAGTATTTTAACAACCAGCTGGATATCTGTCCTGGTTATCCTCCTACCAGCCTCAGGGAATCCACTGGCTTTCATCTTCATTAAGCCAATGTTGAGGGAAACTCAGAGAAACATTGCTTTGACCTAAGAGGTGACTCTATGTGAGTTAGGGATCTGGGGTTAGGGGAAACATTTTCTAGGCATAGCATGGCCCAAATCACAATGTCCAGGCAACCTTCTCCTTTACCCTTGCTGAAGGCCTGTCCTACCTGGTCTTTCCAATACTGATACAGCCAAGAAAGGTCCCATCTCTGAGCAGCGGCCCCCACAACACAGCTTTCAAAGAAGACAACAAAGCTTACTCCATAGGCTCACCCAATTTCACCTATAAATATTTTTTTCACAACAGCTTTGGAGGAAAAAAAACCCCATTCAGACCCTTAGCAATACATCAAGGATACTTGAATGCATTTGAAATATAATGAGTATGCAGCCATAAAAGACATGCCTCATAAGAATATTTTGAAGGAAGAAATAAAACTAATGATCCTGCCTTTGTACCTTTCCTCTCTGAGGCAGCAGTGAGTTTCCTGATGCTTTCCCCAAATAACAAACTCAGGTATAAATTATAATCGGTAACCAGGATCTTGCATAGGAAGTGCCGTTGTTAATGTGAAGCAGGTGGACCTCCCACCTTTGGCCTGGCTGTTTCAGGCAGTGTCCCTCTCTCCAGGCTTGGTGGGCAGGCTGAGATGCCAGCCGTTTGCAGTAGACACAACCCACTTCCCAAGATAAAGAAGCAGGGAGACCCTGCACATGGTCTTCTCACCTGACCTGCAGCCAGAATTGGCCACGTGACCCAATTCTGGCCCCTGAGATATAAGGGGCAGTTGCTGGGGCTCCTGGAAAAGACTTTGTTCTTTCCTAAAATGGGAAAGATGATGAGAAGGTGCCTTTGCCTCCCCGCTTCTTCACTGTGTTTGGACACTCACGTGATGTGGGAATTATGCCAGGAACTGCAGAAGCTGCTTTTTGAGCAGAGTAGAGACACGCTGACACACTGAAGGTGGCAGAATTGGTGGATGGAGAGGGCCTGGGCCCTTCTTAATGTGAAGGAGTTGCTGTTCAACCCCAGACACCACCTACCTCTGCAAGTTTTATCATCAGAGATGAAAACTTCTATCTTTCCCCACTTCCACTCATGTGCTCTTACTTATAGCAAAGGCATTCCGTACTAGTCAAGATAAGGCAGACTTCCCTGCTGTAAGACATTGGTTCACAAATCTCAGTGGTCAAGCACAAAATGTTTCTTTCTCATTCCCTTAAAGCCTGGAGAGCTGGACAGCCCTCCTCCATCTTGTGGCTATGTCAATGTGTCCTCCAAGGTCATTGAGGCAAAGGAAGAGAAAAGTGGGATTGCATAAGTTGTGTTTAAGGTCAAACCTGGAAGCAGCTGACTTTACTTCTGCTCACATCCCAAGTGCCAGACCCCATCTGACATCACGGTGGACTGAGAGATGAAATCTCCCAGTGGCCTATTAAAGCACTGTCTCTGCCATACTTCCTAACCAGCATGCTACCTTGCCTATCTTTCTTCCATCAGAAAGTCTTTCACTAATTCAACAGATATTTGTTAAACTTCCTTATGACAGGTGAGCTACAGGGAATATAAAAGGGAAGACTTGACTATCTTATATATCATCATATCCCTGGTCCTCAGAGCATCTGACACATAGGAGACACTAAATACATTACTAAATAAACACACATACACACACACACACACATATATATATATAAATATATAAATATGTATGTGTATATATATTAATCCATGAATTATGTCTACCTCAAGACAAGAACAAGCAACGGGGAAAGGACTCCCTATTCAATGAATGGTGCTGGGGCAACTGGCTAGCCATATGCAGAAGATTGAAACTGGACCCCATCCTTATATCATATACAAAACCTGACTCAAGATGGATTAAAGACTTAAATGTACAATCTAAAACTATAAAAACCCTGGAAGAAAACCCAGGCAATACCATCCTGGACATAGGAACAGGCAAAGATTTCATGACAAATACCCAAAATTAATTGCAGCAAAAGCAAAAATTGACAAATGGGATCTCATTAAACCAATGATGAGCTTCTGCACATCAAAGGAAACTATCAACAGAGTGAATGGACAACCTACAAAATGAGAGAAAATTTTTGCAAACTCTGCATCTGACAAAGGTCTGATATCCAACATCTATAAGGAACTTAAACATATTTACAAGAAAAAAAACAAATAACTTCATTAAAAAATGGGCAAAGGACATGAACAGATACTTTTCAAGGGAAGACATACATGCAGCCAAGAATCATATGAAAAAAAGCTCAACATCACTGATCATCAGAGAAATGCAAATCAAAACTACAATGAGATACCATCTCACATCATTCAGAATGGCTATTATCAAAAAGTAAAAAAAATAACAAATGCTGGTGAGGTTGGGGAGAAAAAGGAATGTTTATACACTGTTGTTGGGAGTGTAAATTAGTTCAGCCATGGTGGAAAACAATGTGGCAATTCCTCAAAAACCTGAAAACAGAAATACCATTCAACCCAGCAATCCATTAATGGGTATATACCTAAAGGAATATAAATTGTTCTATTATAAAGACACATGCACACATATGTTCATTGCAGCACTATTCACAATAGCAAAGACATGAAATCAACCTAAATGCCCATCAGTGGTAGACTGGACAAAGAAAATGTGGTACCTATACACCGTGGAATAATATGCAGCCATAAAAAAGAATGAGACCATGTCCTTTGCAGGGACTTGGACAGAGCTGGAGGCCATCAACCTTAGCAAACCAACACAGGAAGAGAAAACCAAATATTACATGTTCTCACTTATAAGTGGGAGCTGAACAATGAGAACACATGGATACATGGGAGAGAACAACACACACTGGGGTCTGTTGGAGAGTGCAGGGTGTGAGGAGGGAGAGAATCAGGAAAAATAACGAAATAACTAATAGGTACTAGGCTTAATACCTGAGTGATGAAATAATCTGTATAACAAACCCCCATGACACAAGTTTATCTATATAACAACCTGCACATGCACCCCTGAACTTAAAATAAAAGTTAAATTAAAAACAAAAGAATCTTTGCATCTAGCTGGGAGTCGATGACTACACGACTGGAGTACCATGTGGCAGAGGCAGCAGTACAATGCTGTGGGTAGGGCTCAGCTTGGCTCAAAGAAATCCAGAAAGGCTTCAGAGAGGAGACAACATGTGGCTAGGGTCTTGAAGGGTGAAGAATTTGCCAAGCAGAGATAGAAGGTGAGAAGGAAGAATGGGAACCCCGAAGTACATGTGTAAATGCATGACATTATACAAAGGCCTGGACTCTGTGTGTGGAGGGCAGGAAGAGGGTGTGGAGGGGCCAATCTTAGGAGTGGGGGCAGAGCATCTAAGGCAGAAGTTCTCCATCTCAGCTGCACATTAGAATCGCTTTAGTAGCTTTTAACAAAATACCAATGCTCGGGCTCCCCTCCAAACCAATACAATAAGATTCTCTGGACTGGGGCTGGGTATCGATACTTTAAAAAAGCTCCCATATGATTCTAATGGGCAACCAGGGCTGGGCATCACTGATCCAGAAGGAGGTCGGGGACAGGCTGTGAAGTCTTGTTTGTCCTGCTGAAATTGCAATGGAGCACTGTAGAAACGTGCCCCTCCTTCTCCCTCACTAGTTTCAGACTCCCTAAAAGGAAGCCCTTTAGGATCAGGTGCAGGGAGAAAAGTTGCCAAAATGTTTCTTTGTCATTACTTTTTCCTTCACTTATTGTTCCTTCTCTGCATGGGAAGTCCCCCTTCTCCCTTAGCTCTAGTACTCTAGGGTCTGGAGAACAGCTGTGCTGACAGCTGGCAGGAGATTTCCCAGCCTTGGGAGGCTCCTGAGACAGAGCAGGGCAGATGCCCACCTCCATTCCCAGTTAACTACCAGGTATAGGGAGGCCTATCGGCTCCTAGGCCTCACTAGGTGTACAAACAACCTCCTCTTTCACGCAGAACATCCTGCCTCACTCCCCAGATCCCCTCAGACGTACTGATGGTAGAGAGCATCTTTGCAAGACTCTGACCAATACTGCCTACTCTGGATTTGCTCGCTTAGCCACCAGATATTTACAGGTTCTCCCGTTTGTGGTGCCCTACTCATTAGACTCTGCCATCGCAGGACCACACTCCTTTTTTCCTTCTGCCACAGGGTCTTGGAGCTGTTTGCCTCCTCTCACCACTCTGAACATGTTCCCAGAATGCAGACTCATTTTACTACTAGCCTGCAGTGAATTTGCTGCAGGAACAGTTGTAGAGTGCATTCTAAAGCCAAAGAGAAGTTTTGTTTGCATTTACTGTCAAGTGTGGCAAACAGCAGCTGCTCAACATCCTGAGGCCTCTGAAATTCCGTCCTTGGCCCATCTCATTAGGACTGCAGGGCAGATGTGAGGCTTTAGTTCTGAGGCACTGGCACTGTTTCTGCCCTCTTGTGTTGCATTTTTCTCAGTTTGGATTTCCAGTTATTGAATGGTCTTTGTTCTTGAATTCATTTATTCACTCATTCATTCAGCAAATATACAGTTTACCTACTATGTGTCTGCCCATTGCTTTGAGCTGGGCATGCAGAGGTGAGTGCAGCCTCTACTCAAGGACTTACAGTCTAGAAGGAGCTATGATGGAGTGAACCAGCAGAGGAGAGAGTGTGGTGAGTTCAGTTCTACTGAATTAGCTGTGTGACCAGCATGGATTATCTTACCTCTTGAGTGAAGGTCAAACTCAATGGAAACTAGACCAGTGGTTTTTCAAACTGGATTCTTTGTAGCCTCTGCAGCCACTGCAGGGGACAAAAGACTGTAGTGTGAGTGGGCCCTGTTCCCTCACTCCCTGTTCAATGATGGCAGGGTCTCTTGTATCTATTTCATATACTGGAGTTCTGTGAAAGATCTTGTGATGGTTAATTTTATTGATCATCTTGGCTGTGCCATGGTACCCAGATATTCAGTCAAACATTATTCTGGATGTTTCTGTGAAGAGATTTTATGGATAAGATTAACATTTAAATTGGTGGACTTTGAGTAAAGCCAGTTGCCCTCCTAATGTGGGTGGGACTCATCCAATAAGTTGAAGGCCTTTATAGAACAAACACTGACCTTTTCCAAACAAGAAGGAATTCAGCCAGCAGATGGCCTTCAGACTGACTACAGACAACATTGCCTCTTCCCTGGGTCTCCAGCTTGACAGCCTACCCTGCAGATCTGAACTTGCCAGCCTCCATAACTGCATGAGCCAGTTCCTTGCAATAAATCTCTCTCTTTAGATATACACATCTTATTGGTTCTGCTTTTCTGGAGAACCCTGATTTAATCGGACAAAGATTCACCTACTAAACAGAAATTTGTAAACTACCAGGCTAGAAGATCCTGAGGTTCTTTCCAGTTCTACTAGTTTGTAATGCTAAGTGTTCTTGTCCTGCCTTTAGCCCACTGCCTTGCCTCAAACTCTGGCTTCTCTGTACTCCCTCTAGCCTTTTATTACACTCTAACCTTTGGATGCAGCCTCCTTCCTGGTTCCAGTTGTCTGCCTGGTTTGGGTCTTTGTTGCCTGGGTCCTGGCTTAATAACAGGTGCAATTTTAACTTGTCTACTGATTTACTGTTTTCAAAGTGTGTTGCAGACATTATCTCATGTAAGCTTCACAATACCCATTTTCTAGCCAAGGTTGTTGAGGTTAGAATGGCTTAAAAATGACTTGCGCAAGTCCATACAATTAGTAAATGGCAGACCCAAGAGTTGAATGCCTTTGAACTCAAACCTTGATGTTTCCCTCTGCCCCGTGTTGTCAGGTCATTTAATCTGTTGCATGGGAGACCCCTAGCCATTTAGTATCTGTCCAGTATAAGGGAGCTGGAGACTCCACCACCAGAAGGAGAGTAACTTGGTCCCTGATTTCCAGGACAAGCAGGTGAAAGGACCCTTGCAATCATGAAAGGTGACCTCAGATGAATGGCAGCAGCTGCTAATCAAGCAGACACCCTCAGAGTTGGCTGGGCTTCCAGGCTCTCGCTGGCAGAGTGTCCGTGATTCATGGCAATGTGGAGACTTTATGAGCCTGTGATAAAAGAGTAATCATCAGCTGTGAGGTTGACACAAGATTATGGAGCCACATGGTTGAACTGAGTTACTGCACTTTCCTGGGGCTGTTCACGTGACCGAAGGCAGTGTTGCCCTAGTGAGGTATCTCTGGATGTAGGGCTCAGGATGGAATCTCACCAAGATATCTTTCCTGGGATGGGGCCTGGGGAGCGGGTGGAGGATTTGAGGTTCTTCTGCCTCTGAGTCATATCTTCGGGGGCAGTGTTGTTGCTGTGTGTGGGGGCATGTATTAGTCTGCTCTTATGCTGCTATGAAGAAATACCTGAGACTGGGTGATTTATTAAAAAAAAAAGAGTTTTAATTGACTCATGGTTCTGCATGGCTGGGAAGTCCTCAGGAAACTTACAATCATTGCAGAAGGTACTTCTTCACAGGGTGGCAAGAGAGAGAATGAGTGCCAGCAGGGGAAATGCCAGATGCTTATAAAATCATCAGATCTTGTGAGACTCACCATCATGAGAACAACGTGATTCAATTATCTCCCACCAGGTCCCTCACATGAAACAGGGGTTGTATTTTTCCATTGGCCCAAGGACTAACTCTTTGAGGGCCAAAAGCTTGTTTTCTCCATTAGATGGGAGGCTGCCCTGAGGCAGAGACAGTGCCTTCCCCACTTGGGGAATTTTCAGGAGGAGGATCCCCTTTTTGATTACACCATGTCCCTTGGTCCTGCCCTGAACCAAACACTTTGTGAACTGCAGCCTGAGAGTGGAGCGAAGTGAGACAAGGGTCCTCACAGGCCTGGGGCCTGGAAGTCAAGCCATGGCAAATGGGTCCCTGTGTGCTTTCTCTCCTTGAGTTGATGCTGCCCACCAGTCTATGGACCTAATGTGGTAAGGGTATGGCTCAGGGGACTCCCAACCTCCCTGACCCCTCTTGACCTTGGGTGAGCCAGTTCTAAGGCCTACATCAGTGCCTAGTTTCTTTCTCCTGGTTTTATGTGGCCCTGTTTAGCATTTGATACATTTTATTTTTTCTTTGAGACGAGTCTTGCTCTGTCGCCCAGGCTGGAGTACAGTGCCACAATCTTGGCTCACTGCAACTCTGCCTCCCGAGTAGCTGGGATTACAGGCGCCCACCACCATGCCCAGCTAATTTTTGTATTTTTAGTAGAGATGGGGTTTCTCCATGTTGGTCAGACTGGTCTCGAACTCCTGACCTCAGGTGATCCACCTGTCTCGGTCTCCCAAAATGCTGGGATTACAGGCGTAAGCCACCTCGCCTGGCCATTCAATACATTTTTTGGGGAAGTCTTCCATCCCACCCAGTGACTGGGGATGCAAACTCTGGCCAACCCTGTTCATCTGCCCCATCTTCTCCCCAACCCTGGATGGGTCCTGCCTCCCTCTGTCCTGTTCACCCATAGGGTATTTGCCTCATGTGGGCAACTCCCAAATGCTGCCTGAAAATCACTTAATATTAGAATTGTTTTCCCTCACCTGCCCTATCCTTGTTAGCCACTGGTACCAAATCTGTCTGAATAAAGGGTGGCCATCTGACATGGTAGGGATTGAAAGAGAGAGAGAGAGAGAGAGCGAGCATTGATGTGGTGGCACTGAAAATGCACTTCCCAGATCTCTGCTTGTGGGGAGCACAATGGCCTCGCACCTCCAGCTGAGTGCTCTGAAGTCTCTCACTGCTGCTGTGCTCCCAGCCAGTGCCTGTGTATGGCACAGCTGCTAAGACAGACAGGCCCACTCCCGAGACTCAGGACCCCTCTGATGGGACATTTTGACTGGAGGATTCTGACAGCTTCAAGGAGCTATCTCATCACTGGTTCTGCAATGTAAACTGCTCCCATGCAAGTTTCCTTCTCTCTTTTCTTCACCCCGGGGTCAGACCAACATCTGGGTCTCACAGCTCTCCCAGCCACCCCTAGCTTCCACCATGCTTTTTCCCTCACAGGTGTTGCCCCTCCTAAATCTTGTGCACATTTAGTCTTATCCAGGAGTCTGCTTCTTGAGGACCCAGACTAACACTTCTGCTTTTGGAGCCAGGCAGACCCAGTTTCAAATTGTGACTTCTGAGAGCTGTAGTTTCTGCATATGTAAATCAGAGCAAATAATCTCTGCCCACCCTCACTGGGCAGATGGGAGGATTAAACATGTGGGTTGAAGTGGCTCACTGATACTTTTCACTCCTAAGCTTGTTTTGTACTCACTGCCTTGCCTGAGCTGATTTCACCTGCCCGTGATTTGGATTGGCCCTAGTGACCTGCCCAGACCCGGCTTCTCTCGCCACTTGAGTTGCTGCTGCCACCAGTCTCAGCCTACCCTCCTTAGGGCCGGAGCCTATAGAATCTCAGCCAAGCAGGTCAGGAAGACTGTGGGCTCCTCCAGGGCCTGAACTCTTTAAGCGTGTGGGGTCCCACTCAGGATGGCAGCTCATCAGCTTCCTGCTGCTTAAGCAGAAGCAGCACATTTGCCCACATTACTGTCCCACCCCATCCCACTAATGGGTGTTTAAGAGGAGCTTTTCCACTTGAAATCTTTTTTTTTAATCCTAAAAAGGGAAATTACTTGCTTAATTTAATTTGTTTAATATTCCTGCTAAAAAATGAGTTTCAATTAAGAGACCCAGAAAAATCGTAATATTCATTTAACAGTGGAATGGAATTTGAGTTCCACAAATGTATTTTTTTCTCTTTTCTGTTTTTTTTTCATAACACAAATCCAGCTAAGTAAATTACTGATCTTTATTGGATGCTTTAATTACATGTTGTTAATGGAAATATTACTGAAATTAAACTTCAATGTGTTAACCAAGGAAAATGCTTTATGTGTTACTAAAATAACCAAATTTCAAGACTTTGTCGATATGGTCAATTGAAAAAGCACCTGGGAAATTAGCCTCTTAATTGTAACACAGTAAAAGACTTTCTACATAGGGCTGTTCTCTTTGAGGCTTATGGTGGACAGACACTACTCTCATGAGACAGGGGCTTCATGTATATGGGTCAACTCTGCACATACATGTGTGCAGACCCTGCACAGAAACCCAGACTGTCAGGATGAATTAACTCTGCAAATGTCTCAACAAGCCCTTGACACATAAAGGCACAAACACAACTGAAACACACACACTATGCAAACTCAGCTGACGCCGTGGATACTCTATGAAAATTCAGAATCTCTCTATGCATTTATCCATGAAAACGTTCCTGCATTTCCTCTCCTTGAACACACATTGGCATGCCACATCAGAAGATCTGGCTTTGATGAAACAAGCTAGGCACTCTTAGGAGGTTCTTTGGTGTTCCAGAATGCCCACTTGTCAAGGGATTGGTGGTACTGGGGTCGTGGGGCGTATTCCATAGCTTTTTTATTCCCCCCGGTAGCCTTTTCATGTGGTACTTCATAGAGTTCAGTCAGTTGTTTGAGGAACAGTGATTTTACTCCAGGATAACACAGTCTTGTGGGATGAGCTAGCACTACATACAGAGTCTCATGTTTTAAACCAGCTTGACTCACTTGACATGAAGTTGTGTCTCTCTGTCATACCGAGGCTGATCAGCTCATTCTTCACCCTGTCCCTAGGAGTCATTCTGTCTTTTTGAATTGGGCTTTAGCTATGACTTCAAAATTTCTAATGAAAACTACCCTCCATGAGGCGGCCTGGGCTGGCTGTTTCAGGGGATGCTTGTAGGATGAGGTTTTCAAGCCAGCAGGCCTGGACTGGAATTCTTGCACTCCTGCTTACTGTCAGTATGACTCTGGGCAGGTTGTCAACATCTCTGAACCTCAGTTTTCTTAGCTTCTTGATGGGGATAATTATAGCTCTCCATTTCTCATAGTTCCCTCCTCCAGCTCATTAACCTTCTCGGTGCTCTCTCTCCCTAAAAATATCCTTTTGTTGACCCAAAACTCTTCCATTTTCCTTTCCTTCTCCTCTTTCTCTTAAAAGCTTAGTCTGGGTCCGGACTGATGGCTCATTCCTGTAATTCTACCACTTTGGGAGGCTGAGGTGGGAGGATGGCTTGAGCCCAGGAGTTTGAGACCAGCCTGGGTAACATAGTGAGACCCTGTCTCTGCAAAACATTAAAACATTAGCAGGGCATGGTGGCACATGCCTACTTGGGAGGCTGAGGCTGGAGGATGACTTGACCCTGGCAGGTCAAAGTTGCAGTGAGCCATGATTGTGCCACTGTACTCTAACCTGGGCAACAGAGCAAGACACAAGTCTCAAAAAAAAAAAAAAAAAGCATAATCTGCTTTCCTATACCCATGTCTTCACTTCCCAGTCAGCTCTCACATCAGTAAGTGTCCTAGTGACAAGCAACAGAACCTACTCTAGCTAATATAAGCAGAAATAAAATTAATAAAAAGATTTCAGGAATCTTCCAGAAACTCTTCCAAGAGAAGCCTTGGGGTCTGTACATGGGGACTGGTGCTCCAAGTCTCCTACGCTGGAGGCCCTACTAGCCTTGACTACTGACTCCAGAGCTGTGGCTGGTACTGCTGACGACTGATTTTGGATGCCAAAGAGCCTGGAATTGCTGACCCCAAAGCTGATAGCTGCCTATTACCCTAATCAAGAAACAGATTCCCCCCAGCACCTGTCTGCTCACCTTGCTCTCTTGCAAATCCACACTTCTCACTGGTAGGGCTTATTGGTGGAGCCCAGATCACATGCCCGCCCCAGCTGCAAGACGGCTGGGAAAGAGAAGATTTTTCCTTAGGGAAGACAGACTCATATATGAGAGATTTACCATGCCTGGGAAGGGCATTCAGGGGATGCTGGCAGGTGTGACAAGCATTTGCTGCATGACCCACCCATTACTCGTGGGTCTTGAGCCCGCCCCCACCATGGCTCCATTGAAGTGCTCTAGGGGGACAACCATGTTAGGCATGTCCTCTTTGTCCCTCCATGTCTACTCTCCACCCTCTTCCACCCTGCTCTCTGGTCCCAGAGGCTGACCTGGGGATCTTGCATCTACCTGTTGTCTCACTAGCCTTGTGGCTTCCTAGTGGGTAAGGCCCATAGGGAGCCTCTGCTGGAGACTGGAAGGGGGAGAGAGAGGTCAGAGAATTGATCTCCACAACTCTCTACCCTTGGGGTCTCACTCTGCGGGCAATCCACCTTCACCAGCTTCACAAGCCCTGACAACCCTCTGCATTCAGCCCTCCCTGGCCCTGGCTTTGGTGCTCTTCTGTCTTCTTGGTGCTCTGGTCCATGGTAGCAGCTTCCTATGTGCCCTTCTGTGACCTCTCCCAGTGCACTGCACTCTCCTCGGGGTTTCCCCTGCACCAGGCCATGCTGTTATCAAGATTCCCTTTATTCAACTCTCTAGAAATTTCCCAACTTAAGAGCCCCATCTCTTTCCTGCCAGGACCCTGATAAGACAGCCACAGCGACCTCCATTCTGTCAAAGCCAGTGGACACTTTTCAGTCCTGATCTTCCTCTGCCTCTTGGCTGCATTTAACATTGGGGCTCCTCCTTCCATGACATCTTATGCTCCCTTGGCTTCTAACTCTCTGGTTGTTTCTGCTTAGTCTCCTCCATGGTTGTCCCCCCTTCTGTCCACCTCCTGAGCATGGCTGCTCACTGGGGTCTGTTTACGGATTTTCTCTCTTTTTTCTCTACATGATCTCTGTAGCTGGGCTCACTCACTCTCTTAGTTTTTAAACCTGTCTTTTTGCTGATGTTCCCCAATTCTGCATCTCCAGCCTCTCCTCTGAGCTTGATTCCAGGTATCTACTGAAAGCATCCACCTAAATGTCACTTGATTATCATGAACTTAACCAAATCCAGAATGACCCATCATCCCCTCCCACCAACCTGCTTCTCTCTCTGTGTTCCAAATCTTAAAGGCAACACACTCATTCAGTCACCCAAGATAGAAGTCTACAGTCGCCCAGGTGCCTCCTTCTCCATCCCTGGCCTTTTCTCATCTCTTCCCCTTTTTCAGTGTTTCTTAACCCAGTCCTCTATTCTCTAACCTAATACTAGTGCCTTGATCTGGGCCTTCTTCATATCTTGGGTGAAGTATAGCAGACTTTCCCTTGTCAGCCTCCTAGGTTTCAGTCTTGCCCAGTGGAAACCCTCGCCCTCTTTGTTGCCAAAGGGGTGCTTCTAAAATGCAAAGCAACCAGGTTAGATCCTGCTGAAAGCCCTTCAGTCCTCTGAAGGATTGAGCCCAAGCTCCTCAGCCAGTTCCACAAAGCCTCCTATGGTGAGATCCTGCTCATCTCTTCAGCCTCATCTCATATCACTCCCTGTCTCCAAGGATTTGCTTTAATAATCAAACACAAACTGCTGTTCCACACCTCCAGGACCTTGCATATGCGATGTTCTCTAACCCGAGTGCTGCTCCCCACCTTCCTCACCGATCACCTGCTCAGCCTTCAAGGCTCAGCTAGTGTGTTCTTTCCTCCTGAGCTGACGTCCCAAGTATGGAGAAGGACCATGAATTTTATCTTTGCATTTATCATTCATATTGATTTTTTTTCTATGTGTCTATCATCTTCACTAGACTATAATCTTTCTGGTGAGAAGGACTGTCACTTAATCATTTCTAGCATTTAGTGTCTGGCACATGTTTATTGATCCAAATTGAACAGAAGGTATTGGATCAACTGGGTCATAGAATCTCTAAATTCTCGATATCCTGAAGTTCTTGGGGGTAGGATTTACAAGGAGACCCTTCTGCCCTTACTCAGAGGTGGTTTGGGTTTCCCAGAGGGGGTCCTGGGAAATCATAGAACCCCAAATCCCCTCCCCTACAATGAAGCAATCTTAGGGTCGGAGACAGTAACACACACACATCCTAGAAAAGACAGTCGAGTTCTTACTGCTGGCCTGGAAACCTCCCTTCTGCAAGACTTAGATCTTCCTGACACCCTCCCATCTTCTTAATGCTCTGGCTCTGTGGCAATGCCCTCCTTTCAGTTCTCCTTCTTAGGAAATTTTGCATATTTTCAAGGTTGGATGAGGCCATAAAGCATTAAGTTTCAGAGCCAGGGCTTAGAAGTCAGACAGGTCCAGCTTAAAAGCTATGCACTAGCTTGTGACCTTGGCAGTTCCCTGACTCCTCTGGGCTTGTTTCCTCATCTAGGAGATGGGATGGTAATTATAATGCCCAGATCATGGGGTTGTTATAAGGATTAAATGAGATAATGGTGTCAAGCACTAAACTCACAGCCTGGCATCTTGACAGCATGCACTGAATAGAGACTGTTAGGAAGGCTTAGTCCAAATCCCACCTCCCCTGACAAACCTTGGGTGACTCAGAGCCAGCCCACAAGAGTTTCCGTCCTCCGAAGGGTGTGAGTCTGGTCCCAAGCACTCATTCCGACATTTAATCACTCACCACTCTAGCGTTCATCATTTCCCCGCATGCTAGCCATGTCTATCAGGCTTGTCTTGTCCCCCCGCACCCCCACTGGATTTTAAACCACTAGAGGACAAAGATCATGAAGCAAATAATTTCTTGAGACCTTGCAGGCACCTTGGTTGGCTCCTTCCCTTCTCTCCTTTGACTAAACTCCAGCTTAGGGCTGGGGGTGGTGTGGGGGAGCAGGAGTATTGATTGAGAAGACCCAGATGGCTTGAACTGCATGAAGGCGGCAGGTGAAGGGGGAGGAGGAGGGACGGCCCGTGGAGACTACTGCGGGTGGGGAGGGAGAGAGCACGTTAACATACCCTCCTCTGTCACAACACTGCAGGCTGAGTAGTTCCTAGAAAACATTTCGCTCGGATGATTCACAAGGAGGCTGCCAGGAGAGAAGCAAGGCAGCCTACTCCTCCTGGCGTCTGGGGAAAGATGCTTTGACATAGCCCATTTCCCGAAGCGGAGGGCACCAGCAGGCCCCTGTTTATATCCCTGAAGGGTGTCAAGGAGACGCTGGCAGTTTCACGGGCTCCGGATCCAGGGAACTAAAGCAAGATTAGGTCTCTTTTACAGCAAACCAGAGCCTGGGGTTGCTTCCATAAACACCCGCCTGTTTGCACCAGGGCTCGCGCCCCTGTGTGTTACTGCGACTTCCTTAAGTCCAAACAGGAATGTGAGGAGGACACCTAAAGAGCTGAGCGCACTTCGCCTCCCTCTTGGAACAGCCCCCACCTCCCACTCCCCGCTAGGGCTGGCAAAGCCAGAGCCCCCAAAGGAGGCTCCAATCTCTTCCAGCAGGAGAGATGGGAAGGAGCCCACACACTCGCACCACTCTCGCTTGGGCCTACGCCTTCCTCCGCAGGTCCTCGGCTGGAGCGCAACGCCCTTCTCCCCTTTCTGACATCTGCCCGGGGTGCCTGGGCGGAGCTTGGAAGCTGGACCCCTCCCTGCCCCCAGACACCTGGAAGCTCAGGCTCCTCAGCTTTTGGGTGGTAGGTCATCGCAGCCCCCACTTCCAACCAACACTCCCAGCTGCGCTGGGACATGCGCGGACAGGGCCTCCCATGCGTCTTAACTGGATGTGAAAAGTTAATTCAGGTATAAACGTGAAGGCTTAATGAAAGGAGAGCGCTGCGGATTAATTATGCCCCTTTCTGCCAAGGGAACGGGAAGAATCCCCGCAGCCCAGGGCAGCCCCGCGTCAGCAGCTCGTCCGCCAGCCGCCGCTGCCGCTGAGCCTTGGCCTCTCTCTGGTGCTTTTCGGGACAGAAGGCAGGCACGTTTCTTCCCTGCCTAAGAGGTGCCTGGGGGCTGGGGCGGAAGAGGCACAGTATTAATTACGGGGTTTTGGAGAAGAAATCTGCAGGGGCAGCGATAAACAGATGCATGGCATGTGCTGTTCTCTTGCCAGCAGTGAGTCTGGCTGCTCCCACTCACTCCCCAAATCTTCCATCTTGCTGCTTCTCCTTTGGTGTGTTTGACCCTCCACTGGGTTCTAAGACATGCTCCTACCCTCAAGGCCCTGGAGCATAACTGTTACTATTACTACCACTACTATCATCATCGTTATCATCATCATCATCATCATCATCATCATCATCATCATCATCATCATTATTTATTTACTGAGCAGGTCCAATAGGCAAGGCACTGTGCTAGAAATATTACAGGCTATTTAATTCCACGTTGTCAGCAATTCTATGGGGTGGGTTTTCTTGTCCCCATTTCATTGATGAGGATATGGGGGGTCAAAGAGGTAAAACTAAATTGTCCATGATTGCACAGCTAAGAATCAGCAAAATTAGGCTTTGATTCTTTTTCTCTCTGACCCTGAGCTGTTATACTGCCCACCCTATTAGCTGCCCTTTTAAAAAAAAGTCACAGACCCAGTGATGGAAACAGCCCCAAGTCATATTTATGTATGTGTAATTCTCTGCAGACAGCATACGATGTTTAGAAGTTCCAAGTAGGATTGCAGCAGGCTTAAGCAGTCAGGAAGCAACTCCTGCCTTGAGTGGGTTATTAAAAAGCATGGAGACTTCCTTCCTCATTTCCCCACCTCCAGAATCAGCACAGATTTCTTCCTCCCTCTCTCCACCATCCTGGGAATTCACATTTCTTCTATGATGGGAGAAAGTGACCCAAATAGCTCCTGGGACCAGGGGAAGGAAGCTCCAACCAATGTGCCATTTTCCCATCTATGTGGAATGCTGCATCACTGATGAGTACCCTGTCATGCCATGCTGGAGCAGAAGTGAACTTCATGCCCTGATTCCCCCTCCCAGAGCAGATGATACAGAGAGAGGGCCCTGGAATCTGACCCGCACTGTGGCTGTGTCTTGGGGACAGAACTGTGCCTGTTAGAGTAGGGATTTTCCAGGAGCTGTCGCATCAAGAGATTTTTCTCTCCACAGCTGCATTTCTGTGCTTCACTTCCACACTTCCAGCCTGAGAGTATTCAGGCTGGTCAGACACTGCCTGTCAGTCTCAAGGGCAGCTGCCATGGTCAGCAAAGTGGACTCCTAATCCAGAGAGCCACCCGATATGCTGAAAGGTGGGGAGAGGGTGGCTGGTGGAGGTTAGCGGCTCAGAGAGGTCAGGAGACATGCTCAAGGTCACACAGTAATTCAGCCCAAGCAAAACCAAAATTTGCATTTCTAGGATCCCAGTGTAGACCTCTGCTCCTCAGAGCTCCTGATGAACTCCATATTTTTCCTTTCTGGGTGAGCCTTCAGCCTAGGGAACCCCCATTTTAAAGATGTGCAAATTGAGACTTAGAAAGGTAGGTTGACTTGTTCCAGACCTCCCAGTTGGTAAGTAGTGGGACCTATATTGGAAATGTGAGGCAAATCAGGGTACCTATGGAAAAAGGGTGGCTTAAGTTTCACTCAGTTTATATTTATAGGATACCTACTATGTACCAGGCAGTGCAATGAGAGTACCACAGTAAACAAGAGAGAAGGGGTCTCAGCCCTCTAATGGGGCAGGTGCCTGTGCCTTCCATGAGACATGGTGGAAATCGGGCGTGGGTTTTGTTCACCTCTGAATTTCCTACAGTGATGGTTCACCACCCTGGCTGCAAAATAAGATCACCTGGGGAGTTACAGAAACAAACAATACCAGGGTCTCACCCCAGACCAACAAAACCCAAATCTCTAGGGTGGACTCTGGGCATCAATGTGTTTCAAAAACTCTCCAGGTGATGGAAATTGACCACAAGGGTGAGAAACACTGTTGTACAGCTGTTACAAGAGCACATTGAACAAAGCAAGCCAGAATGTGTGGCTTCAACTAAAGAATCTGGGGAGTGTGACTGCCATAAGACTGCACATTTGGGAGTAGTGGTGCCCCTCAGAAGGCAGGAGTGGAAGGTACAGAGGGCTGCTGGGGTGACCCCACACACAGGCCTCTCTCAGACGACAGAACCAAGGTGGCAGAGTGACAGGCTGATATGAATTACATTAAGGTTTCTGGCTGCCATCTACCTGGGAAGAATTTATTTATTTATTCCAGTTTCTAAAGAGGGGACTTTTGCCAGAGTGAATTGAGATGTACCTGTAAGATTTAAAGCATGAATTAAAATACATAAAATAGAGCATGGAACAATTAGAGTGGCAGGAAGTGGCTTCGAGAAAGTTCATAAGCTCTGAGTGTTTAGACTGGGAAGAGACCAAATACCAGGCAGGGCCTTGCCAAAGGCTCTGAAGGTCAGTAGTGAAGAGGGAAGAGAGTGTCCAGAGGTCTCTGCTCTTCCAAGTTGAATGTTGAGAGATGGTCTCTAACCACATGGAGCCCCAGGCTGAGGGAAGACACAGCTCCATCCTCAGGGAGCACCCCTAGTCTGAGGGGAGATATAGCCCCATCCTCAGAAAGCCACAGTCTGACAGAGACACAGCCCCATCCTCAAGGAGCCTAGTCTGAGGGGAAACACAGCCCTGTCCTCGGGGATCCCCAGTCTGAGAAGGACACAGCCCTGTCCTCAGGGAGCCCCAGTCTGAGAGCAGACGCAGCCCCGTCCTCAGGGAGCCCCAGTCTGAGGGGAGACACAGCCCTGTCCTCAGGGAGTATTGTGTTGAATGTGTCCACATTCACACGTGTGAACCTTAAGTTTATTTGGAGTGAAGCTACCAGTATAAGTGTATGTGGTTATTCATGTTCTCACTGGAAATTTTGTGTGTGGAGGCTGAATCCCAGAGTTTTAGTTGGATTTGTTTGCTGTCCTTTTCACATTTGTGATTTAGTAACACTTTGTCAAAAATATCTTTTTTTTTAGTCTCTTCCTACCAGCTAGTAGCCAAAAGGAGACCCAGAAGGTATATGTTTATCAATAATAATAATAGCTGATATAGCTTTGTGCTAAGAACTGTTTTTAAAGCTTCATGCATCATAAGTCATGTAATACTTTTTTTTTTTTTTTGAGATAGAGTCTTGCTCTGTCGCCAGACTGGAGTGCAGTGGCGCGATCTCAGCTCACTAGAACCTCTGCCTCCTGGGTTCAAGTGATTCTCCTGCCTCAGCCTCCCAAGTAGCTGGGACTATAGGTGCATGCCATCACGCCCAGCTAATTTTTGTATTTTTAGTAGAGACGGGATTTCACCATGTTGGTCAGGCTTGTCTCAATCTCTTGACCTCATGATCCACCCCCCTCAGACTCCTAAGGTGCTGGGATTACAGGCATGAGCCACTGCACCTGGCCAAGTCATGTAATTCTTACAACAATTCAGTTTGATGGATATTCCCAACCTATATCACACAAGAGGAAACCGAGGCACAAAACCTAACTCCCTGGATGTCACATAAACAGGTTAGAAGTCTACCTGGGTGCAAACCCAGATGCTCTGAGGTGTGGGGCTGATTCCTGCTGGGCACCCCCTGTCCTCCCTGTGGACCTTCAAGCCCCACTGTCAGGAGTGTGTTCAGACCCCACCATTGGGAACCGTGTCTTCATTTTGTGCCACAGGGAGTCAGGGTCCCAGGCTCAGATACTAGCTCAAAATGTGACCTGGTATAAGTCCTTTTGCCTTTCGGGCCTCAGTTTCCCATCTATAAATGAGGGAGCTGGGTTGGATGAACCAGGAACACCTGGGGAAACTCAAAATATGGATTCCTGAGGATTCTGATTCAGCGATTCTGTGTGGGCTCCAGCTGGTATTGAGAACTCTAGACCACCTTCAAAAACAAGATGAGAATCACAATACCTACTGTAGCAGATGTTAGCAGACATTATTTATTGAGCATCTATCATGTGCCAGGCCTTGTATCAAGTGCTTTACAGAGATTGTCGCATTTTAGTGTCACAACAATCCTGTACCAAAGATGCTGTTTTAAACCTAATAAAGCTTAGAGAGGTGAAGTGGCTTTTCAAGGCTACCAGCTAGTAATTACAACAGCCAGGATTTGTACACAGATATTGTGACTTGAGCACTCACATTGGGTATTCGTTACACTACACTATCCCTTTGCTTGTTCAGCTCACTGCCGTGCCGTCACCCAGACCTTGCTGAATGGGCTATGGGCAATGTGACTTATTTCTACAGCTCATTGTGCCAGGGGTGGGCAAGTGGCTCAAACTAGCCACTGAACTGGATGGCTAGTAACCAATCAGTGTTTCTGTTGAGAACTTGAACTGAGATATTGAGAAGAGACATTGAAACTTTGGATGACGTTGAGACCCAGAGTGATAATTTCAGAGCTGGAGCCAGACTTGGCACCATAAGAACTCAAAGTTATGTTGACACTGAATTTATGGGGAGCTTTTCAGAAGAGGCTGGTTTGCAGAGAGGAGAATGGAACAGATAGAGTGAAGAGAGACCAGAGATGAGAAGGAGAGCAGAAAGAGAGAAGGAAGCCTGCGGGATGCCTTTCTAGGCCCCTGGAGACCAGCCTGCACTCCCTGATATTAGGATGCATGCTCTGCACCAGTTCCTTTCTAATAAATACCTTCTACTTATGCGAACTCCGTGGGTTTCTGATCCTGGGAGTTGAATTTTCCCTAAAATACTTGCCCCGAATTCCCTACAAAGTTTTTAGGATCAAATTAGCTCATATGTATGAAAGGGCTCAGTGACCTGCAAGGAACTATACCAATTATGAAATATCTGGAAAAAAGTTTTAAGTTTAAATATAATCAATGGATCACTGTGAGAAGAACTCAGAGATGGAAGACTTACTGTGGGGAGAATTTAATAAATGGAGCTCTACAGAGGCAGTGGTTCTGCACAGAGATTTGTAGAAGATATAGGATACGGATGGCAAGAGAGAGAAGACCCTCCAAGTAGGGGAACAGCAGAGGCAACCACCCCTGTGAAGAATGTATATGGGTGTGTGAATGCAGAGGGGGCAGCAGGGGTGGCAGGGGATTGCTGTGGCTGCTGTCTAGTGGGGATAAGTTTGGAGAACTCCAGTGAGTGGATGTTTATTTTGTATACTGGGCAATAGGGAGCCATTGGAGGTTATTGACCAGGTGGTTTTAGGAAGGCAGAAATGATCTGATGAATTAGTTGGGGAGGGGGATAGTGAGAAGTAAGCAAGAAGGCATTGTAGACTCAGAGGGCCTGGAAAATCAACCAGAAGGAGAGACTGCATGAATGAAGAGTAACCAAGACTAGGTAATGGGTTGTATGTGGGTCACCTATTCATTCATTCAAAAAACTTTTGAGAGCCTTACTCTGCCAGGCACTGTTCAAAGCCCAGGTGATTTAGAGTGAATGAGACAGGTGTGGTTCCTGCCCTCTGGAAGCTTACAGTCTGGTAAGGGGGACAGACATTAATGCAGTGATGCTGCAAATCAGTAGGGGATCACATATGGCAAGATGAGCCTGTTACAGCAACTTGATCAAATTGGAAAGAGGGCGGAAGTGGGTCAGGGAAGGCTTCCCTGAGGAAAAGAGGTTTCCCTGGGATGCAAAGTCTGAGTAAAAATGTTCTAGGTGTACAGCAAGTGGAAAGACATTCCAAGTTGTGAGAACAAAGGCCTAGAAATAGCTAGGACTCAGAGAGAGCAAGGAGGTGGGGATGGTCTTGGTGAGCGAGGAGACTGGGAAGGCAAAAGAGGCCCTGCAGGGCTTGGCAGGCCATAGTGAAAATTTTGGTCTTAACTCTAAAAACAGTAGGAAGCCAAGGGAGCAGGGACGAGCGTGATTCGGTTTGTGATCTTAGAAATCTACTCTGCTTGAAATCTGAAGAAAGAACAGGAGTGGGTCCAAAGACGATTCTGGGAGGTCAGTTAAGAAGGTTTGGCTTTAAGACATGGAAACTAACCCTTATTATCTCGGCCACAAAAGGATTGACTGGAACTAGTTAGGGGACTCACAGAACCGAAGAGAAGGTTCTGGGGACCTTGGTGATTAGTTTGGGTTTAGGTCCCCCAAGACTCTCTTTCCCCTTTGTCATGTTCTCGGTCTCTCCCCATGCTGAGGATATGGCTGCCAGCCACTTATGGGGTCACATCTTTACATTCATTGCCCAGAAAAAAAGAGAATATTCTGTGACAGGACTCTGATCGAGCCTCATGCTTGGCCTCAGGGTCTAATGGGATGGGAGATACAGTGGGGCAGGAGTACTGGGACTGACAGCCCCACCAAAACCAGAGGGAGCCTGGGAAGAGCACCTCCCTAAAGGAAGGGGTGAAGGACTTGGGGGATTCTGCTGCCAGAAAATGACAGAAGGGACATGCACAGACAGAGGGGAAAATAGACGTTTAATGCAGAAGTGATGGCAACAATCTAGAGGGGGAGAAACAGAGCCCAGAGAATGGTTTGAAGGAGAATGGAAAGGAAAGGGACCAGCATGGATGAAGTTACTGTGTGCCAGGTATTGAATTGGGTCATTTTCCTTATTTTCACAACAATTCCATGATGTAAGATTAATTTTATAGAGAAGAAAACTGAGGCTCAAGAGAAACAGGGTTGCTTGCCTGAGATCACACAGACTTTCAATGGAGGGGTTGAGGGTTGATTCCAGGATTTGGGGGTTAATTTCAAACTCTATGCTTTCTCGTATTCAGTGTGTATCTTCCTTGGGAGTGAGTTTGGGTGGAGAAAATAATATTGGCCTTTGACACTGACTTTCCAATTACAGGGAGGCCAACCAAAGAGAACAGCCTTGGAAACAGCTTAACATCCAGGCTGACAGAGAGAATGAGGGGTTCAGTCTAGATTTGGAAGTTGAGAGGTCATCCTGGCAGGCTCCCCAGCCATGTGAGTCCCCATTAAAATGGATCTCTGTGCACTGTCTACCTCCTTTTTCTTTCCTCCTCCCACTCCTCGATGTGGTTACCTGACTGGCCCAGTTTTTGCTGATCCTCTAATTAACAAAAGAGCCAATTGCTTGTTTTCTTAATTCTTATTTTAGGAAAGGAAGCAAGATGATTTTGCACAGGTTTGTCTGATTGCTGGATTAGCAGGTGCCTTCCAACTTGCTCAATCCTTATGTAATTCCTTGATCAACCTGGTTCAGCTCAAAACAGCCTGCACCTAGAAAACTCGGGATAAAAGCTGTCTTTTCAGGTGTTAAGCACTGGCATTGTGTTTTTTCTTTAATGTGACCAAAATGTGCCTGTCTGTAATAAGAGTGACAGGCATACTAAGAAGTGGTTACCAGATACAGAATTCAAAGAGTCTGGATCTTGAAAATGAGGTCCAGGAGAGATGGAAAGGGGCGTGGACTTGGGGGTGGAGTCAGGAGGGAAGTGTGACTGGACACTGTGCCCCAGGCCCAAGCAGAGACTGCTCAAATCATAGTTAGGGTTCAGACAGGAAACAGATGCCACATTGCAAGTGGGGAGTTTGTAGATGGTTTAATAAAGGGACCATTTAAAGAGGAGGGCAGGGTACACAGAAATCACAGGAATAATGTGGTGTCCAGGGCTAGTAACACAGGGGTCATTCCCACACCTAGATCTGAAGGGCCAAGGGGATGGAACAGAAGAACAATGGCCAGAACCCGGAGGCAGAACAAGTTGTATGGACAGGACCACTGGACAGGAGCTGCGGCCTCCATTTGAGGATCCTGCAGGGTGGGAGCTGGGAATGAGCACCCCAGTCGCATTCTCCTTCCTTCCCCCATCTCCTGTTGGTGTTCTTCATTGGCAAAACCCAAACGGAAGCCTGGGGGCCGAAGTCCCAGTGAGGGATCCCATAGGATGGGCAGGGGTCTTGTTGGGGAGGGGTTGGGGGGAGGAGCATATATAAAGGACTCAGCACAGCTCTCTGCAGTCATCCTCCTGGCTTCTCTGGCTGTGGGCTGTAGAGAAAAGCAATGTGTGGGTGGGGGAGGAGGACAAGCTTCAGCCTCAGTCATTGCTGTCTGAGCCTGGTCTTCCAGCTTCCTGCACACCCAGGCTTGCCAGTCAGGTCTCCACACCCTTCCCTCCTTTCCTTACCTTTACCAAAGTGTATTTGTCTCTCAGGGCTTATTAGACAAGTGGAACTAGTCTGACAGATAGAACCTGGTTTAGATGTGTTTCCCCTTCATGTTCCCACTCACAGAAAAACAAAAGCAACACTCGCCATTTAGGCCCTGCTTTGGACTTCAGGGGAGTTTGGACACACCTCTTCTGAGGAAGAGGAGAATCTACCTGACCCAGGTGTGCCAAGCCTGCCTCGTTGTTTTGACTCTCATCTTTTGCAAGACCTGAGAATCCATCAGCATGGAGCATAATCTGGATATACTACCCTTTTCTCACTCCTAACTCCATATAGACTGTCCATCTCTATCCCTTCCTTCTAGGAAGTCTTCCCTGATTACCCCACCAGTATATGCTCACTTCTCTGCACCATCGGCAGTCATCATTCACAGGTTCCTGTTGCTCCTGCATATGGTTCTGGAAATGTGGGTTCTAAGCCCACTGGACTGTGATCACTTTCATGGAGCATCTCTTTGGAATGTCCCCAACGTTTCACCATCTGCACCAGCTGAGCCAACATCTCTGGGAAATGTGAGGTTGCAGGGGAGGCACGGTGTTCTGTACAATCATCTAACCTGACCCCAGAGACACAATGCTGAGAGTAAAATGTAATATATTCAGGGTTCCATGGCTCTGGGAACAGAGAGAGACCATTGAACCAAGTTCTAGTTCTGGATTTTGAAAACTAAGATTGTTAGAATTGGAAGGACGCAGAGAGATCACTTAACCCAATAGTTTACACTAATTTATAGCTACAGAATCTTTTATTTCCCACAAATTAAATCTTTTGTGGATTCTGATAGCTAACAGAGAAATGGCAGCTTCTTTGATTAAGGAGGTTTAAGGGCCAGAACTCCACTCAGCCTCTGCTGGTCTTCAGGTCTGAGAGCCAAGGGCTCCACGTGGCACAAGACCAAATCTCTGAGCAGTCCCAGTGTGAACATTGAGGCCACAAAGGAAGGTAACTTGTCTTAGCTGGTTACTGGCAGAGGAAGAACTGGAACCCTGGCCTCAGCATTCCCAGGCTGATGTCCTTTCTTTCTCACCCGGCTTCTTATGAAAGTTGTTTGCCTTGGTCATTTGTGGCCCAGCTTTCTCCCCTCCCTCTAGACTAAGAAACCAGGTCTGTGGGGGAACAAAGCATAGCTGGTGAAGCTGTGCTGGGCCTATGGGGAGTGCTGGACATCTGGGACTGGAACAAACCTCAGAAGCACCTCCTGATTATACCCCCAGCTCGTTAGACCCCAGTGGCTGAGCAATCCAGTTGCCAACAATCCAGGCCCAGGACTTTGGGTTGTGAAAATCCCAGGCTGGATTCTCTCACTCTTAGATGAGTGCCTTCCTCTGACCTCTCAGGAGCTTATTGGTGACCTGGCAACTTGGCTGTGTCGAGATCCTGTGTGAGGTTCAATTAGCATGCAGGGCCAGTGCTGGCTGGCTCCACGTATTATTTGCACAGGTTAAGTATTCCTGATAAGGCTTCTTAAATCAGAAGGCTGAAATGAACTTAATTAGAACTCGGAATACTCAAGTTAGAGATAAAAGGAAGCACCTCCAGTTCTCTGAAACAACACACTGGGGGTGGGGAGAGAAAAAGGAAACGGTGAAGGAACTGGTCCCAAGCCATGATAAAATCCTTCTGTGTGCAGACAAGGAGGCTGGAGCCCAGCCCTTGAGCCCTGGTCTTCCCTCCAGGGACCTCCTCTTCCCACCAGACTTAAACTCAGACCATCTCCCTGGAAAATGAATGTCAAGTATACTCAGGGGCCAAGCAACATGGGTGTGTGAAGAATGAGCGGGTTGGCAGGCAAGGAAAGGAAAGGGAATTCAATTTTTACTCCATTTAGAAAGACCAACAGATCCCAGTGCTCATAATTTCCTCCAGGGTGGGGTAGGAAATGCAATCATCAGAGATGGCAGCTTCTTAAGCCTGGGTAAGAGGACAGGGGAAAGGGAAACTAGTTAGTTTTCTCTAATTCTTTCAGATTTTCAGGTTAGTTCTCTCCCAGATTCTACACTTCCAAGAGTCTGAGTCCCTTCTAGTGGCACCTTTAGCTCGTTCCCTGGTGGGATAGCTAGAAGACACTCTGCTATTCCCAGTGGGGCCGGGGCTCTTGGTGCCTCACCCATGTCCCCACACATGCTCATTGCTCAAGCGTGAGGTGTGTTCCACACAGGGCCCCAGGCCTCCCCAGCAGGACCGAACCCCAGTGGCCCACAGCCGTCGTCTACTCAATATTGCACCCTGAAGTGGCTGCCTCCCTTCCCTGCCCAGTTCCATGCTCCCTGTGCTCACGGCCCAAAGAAACCACTTGAATTCAAATCCTTGTTTCAGAATTTCCTTTGGAAGACGCAAGTCAAGATGCTTAAGAATAAAGAATCTTCAAAGAACAGGGGCGGCTATTATTATTTTCCTCCTCAACTTTCTCATAAGCTTGGAGTGAAACACTGCAGCTCCTGCATCATATTCCTGGTCTCACGTGTCTTTATCTCTCATCTGATTGGTGCTGAGCCTCCGGGGGGCGTGACCTCACCGTGGCCTCCTTTTCAGCTTCTGCCGCTGCCACTGGAGGTCATCTCACCACTGGCTCACCCCTGGCCATCTACTCCCTTTTGGCCTTGGTCTAGAAAGCAGTCTCAACTCATGTCCACTTGCCCACGTGATGCACTGGTACCCAGAAGCATGGTGTATCCCCAGAAACGCCCACTCGCACCCTCCACCTGCAGCCCTAACCTCTGACCCGTTTGAACCCCAGTCTCACTTCTCTGTCTCTAAAGTCTTAATCTACTCTCTGCTTTCTGCTATGGTTAAAGATACATGTCTTGTCTTGGGGAGGACATTTGAGAGCAGAATCTAGGTTGGATTCATCTCATGGCCTGTGCAGTCACAGACGCTGTTGCCCTCGGCACCATTTCTCCCCCTTCACCTGTTGTGTTCCATAATAGGGGGCCGACCCCTACTGGCTGTGTTTCTCAGGCTCCCTCATCAGCTTGACTGGCTTCTGGGTCCACCAATAGGAGGCCCTGATGGAAATCGGAGGGTGGGAGGAAGGGAGAGTGTTTCTCCTTTTTATTTCCAGCAGTGCCTGCCTTTCCTCTGGTTCTAGTTTCCTTCTAACAGGCTCATGATGTTCAAGGTGACCCCCTACTGCTAGGGTTTGGTGATCTCCTTCTTTCACCTCCAGCCCTAGGGGTGACAGTGGCTTCCTGCTATTGCTAGTCTTGTTGTTGTCTTACTCTCCTCTGTTGACTTCCCAGCTCCCTGCATCATCTAAGCAACCAATTTTCTGCATTAAATTCCCTCTGGTTATGTACTCTGAGTGGTTTCTGTTTACTGGCTTGGACTGCCTGATTCATATGCCATTGCCATATAACCCCTCTGGATGCAGATCTGTAAAATGGGGGTAACATTAGAATACGCCTCAAAAAGTGGTTATGGGGATCATATGATTCAACCCTTGTAAAGCACAGAGCACAGCACCTGGCATGCGGCAGGTGTTCAGTAAATGGGTGGTGCTATTATTAGTGAACTGTGTGTCAGTGAACTATGTATGTTAATAAACTGTGTGTGTGTGTTATTACTAGTGAACGGAACTGATAAATCTCTGTGGATGTGAGTGTGCATTGGGGAAGGGGAGGATGTCCATTTCTGGGGGCAGCTGTGTGTGCCCTGTGTGAAGGGTTGCCTCTGTGGGTAACCAAACCAAAATTGAGAGCCCATGTAGAGTGCGCTCATTGAAAATGCCCCTTGTCACCTCATTATCCCCTTGTACAATCACCTTTCCCTTTGCAAGCTTATAAAATCAAAGAGCCTGGAAGACTCTGGGGGCAGAGTGTAGGTGCCAGCCTCAGCCCTCCTGGGATTGGCACATCAGAGATATGGGTTGTCTGTGGGGAAGACAAGGTCTTCTGTGGCTGACTAGCCAGAGGAGCAGGGAGAGGATTGCCTGGAGCCCATGGTGCTGTGTGGGCCATGCAGGAATCTGTGCCAGACTCAACAGAAGTCATCCCATGGGACCAAACTTCCTGATCCTTTAGCATGTGCATCCCTGGTCCAGGCATGGGATGAATCATGTAAGAGCTTCAGTCCGTGGGCATTGGCAAGGGACCTCCAACTCCTCTGATCTGCAGACACATGTGGAATTTAGAGCTCATGGGCATTAGAGACTCATTCCTATCATAACACAGAGGAGGAAACTGGCCAAGAGAGGGGGAATGACTTGCCCAAAGTCACTGAGCTGGAATTAGAACTCAAGTCTCCTTATTCTATGCTATCTTTTCTGTATTGGGCAGAGACAACCTTCTCAAATTTTCCGGTACAAATGGATATTTCAATAAGAGCAATTATCCTTTACCTGTGTTTTAGGCTTTACAGTTTACAAATACCTATCTCATTTGTGATGGGGATAATATTTTGCAAATATGAGATCAATGCATTTTGATTTCCCCTCTAAAGTGTGTTCTCTTCCAGTCTTCTTTCTCCAAGGCTAAGCCATGAGATTTGTCACTCCAGTGAGAGGAGAATGGTCCTGCTTGGAGCAAAGACTCCATGGAACCGGCCTAGAGGATTCTGGTGAATCTAGTAGGGCTCAAATCCTGGCTCATTCGCTGGGCAAATAACTTCTCTATTCCTTAGCCTTTTCCTCTGCTGCCAGAGGATATCTCAGACCTCCCTTATAAAGGAGTTTTGAGATAGGAACAGTGTAAGTGTTGCATACGTGCTATCAGGCCTAGAGGACTTGCTCATGGGGCTTTCCATAGGGAACACCCATCACCCATTCATTCCAGTCTTGAGGCTTGTAGGGGAAAGGAAGGAGCTGGAGATGAGGATGGAGGCAATAAGACCTGAAAACTGGTCTTTCTCCAGGCTAAACTCCCCTGTATTAATGGAGAAGACACCAGAGAAGAGAGGATTCTGCCCCAATCTCTTTTAGGATTCAGGCAGGTCATTGGCCTCCCAGGCCACTCCTGCTGTGGTGTGAGGTGGCTGCACTGAAGCTGACTGGGCAGTGTGGTATGGTTACTGGGGAGAAGGCTTGAGTTTGGGTCTCCAAGTACCTCTTGGTTTCTGCATGTCTATGATGGAGCCCAGAAATTTCTGCTTGCCTGAAGTGAGGTAATTCTAGTTTGAGAGTTTCCCAGAGTTCAGAGAAGGCTGGAGGACAGGACCTCAGAGGGTCTTCAGCATCATCAAGAGTCAGAATGGGACCTGTTCCATATGGGAGTACCAGGGGCAGCCCTGCCCTAACGGAGCTGGAAAAGAACATGCCAGAGGTTATCAGCCTTGCCCATCAGCAATGGAGGGCTGCTGAACGCTCAGGGATAGACCACCCACCCTCATCTTGCTGGGCACCAATCCACACATACCCAAGTACTGCTTGAGGCCACATGTACCCTTCCCTCCAGTGCCATCCAAGCCTCTCACCATCCACAAAGGTTCCACCCTGGAGGGCAGGAGGGAAAGAAAGATCAGCATTTTATCCGCAAGAAACTAAGTGGTTTCTTTAAAAGACTGTTTAAATCACTGAATTGAACTTGAATGACTGTATTGGGCTAAAATTTAGTTGCCCCTCCCCCATTCCCACAGACTAGGGGCACACACTCCAATCAGCTCACAGGAAATAAAGAAAAGTGCCTTCTCTGCACATCTGAGTGTGCTGTAAGTACATCTGTGACCTTGCCACACATATATTATCTTGTTTGATTCCCATATGTGCTGGAAAACGGCCATTGCTGGGGGTCAGCTTAGAGTGGCCATATGGTAGGGAATAGCAGAGGCCATGGTGGCGTGCCCAGAATTATCTTCATTATCACCATTTCCACTTCTAGTGGCTCCAGAGGCCTTGGGCTCCTCCTGCTAGCACCTCCCACCATGTTGGGTTCTGAGTTGAACCGAGTTTGGTGAAGGAAGGTGGATGCAATGTAACTCAGGGGGAGAGTGCTAAGGCTTTGGACACTCCCAGACCAGACCTGGGTGGAAATCCCAGCCTTCTTGCTTACCTGCCATGTGAGCCTGGGAAAGCAACTTCACCTTTCTCAACCATAAAATGGAGATCATAACAAAGTTAACTGCAATTTGGATGTGAGAGTGAGGTGCGTGTAGAGTACTAGCACAATGCCCTGGGCATGGCAGGTTCTTGGTAAACGGTAGCAAATTTAAGGATGAATAAATGAATGAATGAATGGGCCATTGCAGAGATAAACACACAGGTAGGGGTCTCACGCTGACAGGCAGTATAATGTTGTGTTTAGGAGTGAGGGCTCCGAAGCCAAGTGGCCTAGGCTTAAATGTGGCCTTGGTCACTTACTTGCTATATGGAAAAGTTACTAAATCTCTCCAGGCCTCCGCACTCCTGCATATACAATGAGAATTGGGATAATGATACCCATCTAATGGGGTTGCTGTGAGGATTAAATGAGTTAATGTACATAAACCTCTTATAGCAGTGCCTGGCCCAAAATGAGTGCTCTGTAAATGTTAGCTACTGATATGATGATGATAGCTGTCATTCCATTTCACTCCTGCCCAGCATTGCTCTAGGTCCGGTGAAGAATATATGAGAAGCATAAGACATGACATCTGGCCTCAAGCAGTTCGTTGAGGAGGCCAGATGTTCATCCCTGCAGCTACCATGCTCAGGCTGGCATATGGGCAAGAGTGAGGCTAATAGAACCAAGGACCCGAGGGAAGTGCACATAAAAGATGGCACTGGGAGCAGAGGCGCAGAGTAGAAGGAGGCAGGTGACTGAGGTGATGGTGCCTAGGTGCCCTTGCAGGATGGGCTAGGTGTGCTATCCAATTTCACACGCTCCGTGTCTCCCCACTAAAGTTTCTCACTATGGGGGCGCCTAGTAGCCAAGCCAGTGACAGTGTAACAGGAGTCCAGACACTAGTGGCCTTTGTATTTGCCTCACCTTTCTGAGAACAGAAGACTGTGGACAAGTCACTTGCTGCCTTGAGCCTCCATTTCCGTAAACATAAAATGGGAATCATAGCACCTGTCCTTCCAATTTCTCAGGGTGGTCACATGGTAAAATAAACCAAGAAGAAAGTACCAAGTAGGTGGTTAGGATCTTCAAATGAATTAGCCAATGCATGAACCACCAGCCCATGGACTATTGGTAAGATAACTCAAATGAACCACCCTCTGAAGGAGAAGTTGGGGTACTTTCACCCCTGATTTGGTGAGAGGACAGCTGTCTCATCTCATAGACCTAAAGATCTTCTGTTTTTAGTTTTAATCCCCTCAGAGTGCTGACATCAACTATGGGGTAAATAGCTGACCTTGTAGCCTTCCTGCACCATGCCGCTTGCCCATGGATATCACAGCTGGTAAAGACAGAAGGACCAAACTCCAAGCTCCTTAGCGAAGAAGATAATGCAACCCACACAACCCTCTTTGCTGGATGGTGGCCTTTGTTTTCTGCCATAAGATGCTGGCCTAGGGGCCCCATCTGCCTGCTGCCCCGTGAAACCCACCCACCTCTGCTCACGATCTCCACCCTACTTTCTGTCTGCTCATCCCTCAGAAATCAAGCTTAATCACCTTCTGTCTGGCTTCTGCATTGCGATAAATAGTTGCGGCGTGCTTCTGAGGAGGAGAAAAATATCCAGCATTTAAAATATTGAGCCACTCAGAAATAATTATTCATGAGGTTTTTGTGCATGCATTAGCGTTTTCCCTCGAGGCTGAGGGCTGCCTGCTGGAATGAACTTAGCCACAACTTGGCTTTTATTTCCTTGTTTTATTTTTTTCTTTCTCATTTTTTCCTCCGTGAGTTTATGATTCCTCGACACATTTGAGAAATTGAAACATTAAAAATGCTCATGAGCATGACATGGGCAGGGCATTTCTGAGCTCATCAACAGAAGAAGCTTATGATGAGGAAGAGGGACCTTAGAGACGTGAGGGTTGCGCACGAGGGCACCCAGTCCAGGGTGGGAGTAGGCAGAGCCCCTGTCTACAGGGAGCTCCAGTCAGAGAGGAGATGTAGCCCTGTCCCCAGGGAGCCCCAGCCGGAGGGGACCTGTAGCTCCATCGTCAGAAAGCCCTAGTCTGAGGGAGACACAGCCCTGTCCTCAGGGAGCCCCAGTCTGAGGGGAGCCGCAGCCCCGTCCTGAGAAAGCCCCAGTCTGAGGGAGACACAGCCCTGTCCTCAGGGAGCTCCAGTCTGAGGGAGACACAGTCCTGTCCTCAGGGAGCCCCAGTCTGAGGGCAGCCGCAGCCCCGTCCTCAGCGAGCTCCAGTCTGAGGGGAGACACAGCTCCATCCTCAGGGAGCTCCAGTCTGAGGGAGACACAGCCCTGTCCTCAGGGAGCCCCAGTCTGAGGGCAGCCGCAGCCCCGTCCTCAGCGAGCTCCAGTCTGAGGGGAGACACAGCCCCATCCTCAGGGAGCCCCAGTCTGAGGGGAGACACAGCCCTGTCCTCAGGGAGCCTCAGTCTGAGGGGAGATGCAGCCCCATCTTCAGGGAGTCCCAGTCTGATTGAGGAGACACAGCTCCGTCCTCAGGGAGCCCCAGTCTGAGGGAAGAGAAACCCAAGCTCTCTTGGGACTTCCTGTAAGAAGGAAGATTCTATTCCGTTTTAGAGATGGTGTTCTCAAGCTCAATGACTTTCTGATTGGGAGATGTGTTTGACAGTGTCGTTTTTCAATGGGCAATGGAATTGACTGATTTACTTATTTATTCATTCAGCAAATATTTATTGAATACAGATTTAATTCTGTACCAAGTAGTCATAATACTGAGGGATTCACCTGAAAAAAATAAGACACAGTCTTTTTCGCTCAAGACCACCAGCCTTATTTGGGAGACAGGTAGGTAACAGTTTTCACTGTAAATTGTAATAAGTGCTCTAACAGAGAGGAGCCCACAGGTCTGGGGAGAGAGACAGGCATGGCCCAATGTCTCCATTTTGCTGTGGAGTCTTCCGAAAGGATGGAACAGGAAGAAAACAAGTGTTGAATGTGGAATATCGGAACCTCTCTAAAGGATGTTTTTCACTCACTCATTTATGGATTTATTCAGTAAATATTTTTGGAGGCCCTCTAGATCCCAGTACTATGCCAAATGTAGGGATAGAAGGGGGGTAGGCATGACTCCTCCTCTTTAGCAGCTCATTGACCTGTGGAATCTTCAGCAATTCTTCATTGGCATATTCCAGAACTTTAGAGCAAAAGCCACTTGGAGGCCCTCTGGTTCTGTCCCCCAACTCGAGACACAAGGTTGTGTGGACAGACCGAGTCCCAGCACCTGGCACAGTGCTCAGAGAGGAGCACTCTAAATCCAGGCAAATCCAACTACACTTACCTGATCCCCCCCCTTTTTTTCTGAGACATAGTCTCGCTCTGTCACCCACGCTGGAGTGCTGTGGCGCCATCTCAGCTCACTGCAAGATCCGCCTCCCGGGTTCACGCCATTTTCCCATTTCAGCCTCCCAAGTAGCTGGGACTACAGACGTGCACCACCACGCCTGGCTAATTTTGTTTTTGTAGTTTTAGTAGAGAGGGGGTTTCACTATGTTAGCCAGGATGGTCTCAATCTCCTGACCTCGTGATCCTCCCCCCTCGGCCTCCCAAAGTGCTGGGACTGCAGGCATGAGCCACCACGCCCGGCCACCTGATCCCCACTCTTAAGAGATCTCTGTTTAGGTCTGATCAGCTTTCCTCTATCCCTCTTGCTGCAAACTCATCCCTTTTTTTTTGTGGGGGCGCCATGGAGGAGCTCTTCACCCTCCCTGTCCTCCAACCTCCTCTGCCTTTCTGGCTTCGCTACAGCACACTAGCCTAGCTATCTCTGTGGTTTCTGCTCACTGAAAGAACCTGAAGATGATCAGATGATAGGTTTCTATGAGCCCAGAATCAAGATCTTCCCAGGGCAAAGGTGCACCACCCCATGGGGAGTTTGGCGGCTGGGATAGGGGGTAAATCAAGAGCACACTTTGGGAACTGGAGCAATAGCCTTAGGACCTGCTGGGCCTGCCCTGGGAGGCAGGGGCAGGGGCAGGTCTGGGTGAAGTGGTCCCACCTGCTGGGCCTGCCCTGGGAGATGGGGGCAGGGGCTGGTCTGAGTGAAGTGGTGCCATGTGGGGTATAGCTGCCTTTAGAGCAGGTAGAGTCCTTTAGGATAGCTGAGTTAGGGAACAGGTGAAGCTGCTGTAATAGAGGCTCAAAAGACAGCGGCTGACACAAAGGGGAGTTTACCACTCTCTTTCGTGATAAGCTAGAGGCAGGTGGGTAGTCTGGGTTATCCACCCCAGACTGGGGGTGCTGCTCTGCCACTGTCAGCACAGGCCTTCTGTTGCAGGCTGCATAAGGGCTGCTCCAGTGGTGGCCAATCTCCAGCTGGTGGGAGGTCAGGAAAGAATAAATAGTATTCTCCTTTTTCTTTTTTTAAGGATATGGCCTGGAGATTGCTTCTGCCCACACTTTCACTCACATCCCATTGGCCAGAATTTAGTCACATGGCCAGTTCTCATTGTCGGGGCATCTTGGAAATGTAGTCTGCATCAGGGAAGCTATGAGCTCTGCTAAAGCTTGAGTGATACTAAAAACAAGGAGAGAATGGACACTGGGCATCATTCATGGTTCGTGTCACAGGGATCACCTCAACACTGCCGAAGATCCACGGCAGCTTTATTTCCCCCAAACACCTCAGCAGCGTTTCTGTTCCCAAGGAATAGCAGGATTCCAGAGAAAAGCCCCCAGGGCAACCAGCTCTGAGGCAGGAAGAAGCCTCTTGGAATTGCTTTCATGTAGACTTTTTGATGCTGCCTAAAAATGAGGTTGGTGATGGGGTCCCTCAGAAGCCAGGCTGAGACCCTCAGTCCACCAGGGCTGGTGCCTAGAGCCTATGCCGCGGCAGCAGGGGCTGAGCACCATGCAGTCGTGGCAACCACAGGGGGCCCCTCTAGGACTCTGGGGGGTTCACCCTGTCCTGACCCAGCAGTTGCATTTGGTGCCCTCCTCTGTCCTCTTAGTGTGCCCTTTTAAATTCTATTTCCAAACGAAATGATGGCTCCTTTGTGAAAGCTCCTGTGCATGCTGCCCGAGGGCTTTCTCTGGTTACTGGAGCATGCCTGTGCCCTCCCACAGGACAGAAGTACCAGGGAATTACCCTGAGGAGTAGCTCCCAAACAATACTAAATGGCAGTTGGTGCATAAATAGCCAGCTCTGGAATGTGTTCTACGCAGTCTCTGAGAGATTCCCAGTGGGACTGAGCCCCAGTTACCCACAACAGTAATCTGCTACCTGTACTGGCTTATTTTCCTGTCTTATTTTCTTTCTTCCCTATAGGTACTTCTTGGGGGTGACTTCCCAAATCAACTATTTGTCCTGACATCATTGTCTCTGACTCTACTTCTGATGAACTCAGACCAAGAAACCTGGGTTGATTGGTTCTCCTTACTGTCTCCAGAGAGAAGATCTGACAACCAAGGCAGAGGACTCCAAACTGGGAAAGAGCAGGAAGCTGCGTCTTATTGTCACTGTAGTTCCAGCACCTGGCATAGTACCACACACGGGACAGGTGGATACGTGCCCAGAAAGTATTCCATTAGATTGAGTTAATTAATTAAAGTGTATTCTCTCATCAACTTGCTGTGTGATTTTGGGCAAGTCACTTTACCTCTCTGAGCCACATTTTCACCATCTCCAAATACATCACCTACTTAGAAGATGAAATGAGATAACAGCTGTGAATGAGCTTTGTGTTTCTAACACCTTCTGAATCTTAAGGGGTGAATGATTAGAAAGCTGCCTCTTATTCTTGTTGCTGCTTTTCGAAATGCCCAAATGGGAACATTTTAATGGCTAAAAGGCAGCACCAATTTTCTCATTGAAATTCTTTTATTCGACAAAGTGGATAATCTTAGTGGAAGGAATATACATTATATTTTCTGTAAGATGCATTAAAGTTGTTTTCATTTTGAATTAAACATGCTGTTTCTGAATATTTGTTCTGAATTGGTCTTGTGCCAAAAAAATAAATAAATAAATAAATAAAGAGGAAGGCTGCTCCTCACTAATTTTCTCATTTGATAGCTGAGAAAATGGAGCAGGGACGACTGTGTCCCTAGGGCTACAGGCTAGTTAGGAATATCCATTCATTCTGCAGATACTACGTGGGCACAGTTATGACCAAGCACTGTGCTGGGTGGGGGTGTGCCTTGGTGAGCCCAAATGGTCACAGTTCTGCCACCATGAAGCTGTCAGTCTCGTGGAGGCTGTGGCTCTAAACAGAACAGTCACACTAAGGGTTGAACAGCAAGTGCTATGACAGAAAGGAACATGTTTCTTCAAGAACTAAAGCAATGGACCTAATCTTGTGGTGGTGGTGAATGGAGAGAGAAGGTACCCAGAGAAAGACTATTTGAACTGAAGTCTGAAGTCTGAGGCATTATCTGGGAGAAAAAGGAAGGGAGAGCCTCCCAGAGGAGATAGCATATGCAAAGATCCTGTGGCCTGAGGTAGTACATACATGGTGGGTTTGAGGAAGTGAAAGAACGTCCTTGTGGCCAGAGTATGGAGCACAAGGTGTGGGCTGATGAGAAATGAGGCTGCAGAGGTGGGCAGGAGGACCCTCATAGGTCCTTGGAGGGCATGTGTGCTAAGCCAGCTGTGGAATCCAAGTTTTATTCATTTTTTTCTGCCCAAAATTGTCTACAAAAATTTTAAAATACAGAAAAGTTGCACAGTGAACACTCATATACCCACCACTTGGATTCTACAATTTGCATTTTGCTCTCTTTGCTTTATCACATATCTTTCCATCAATCCATCCCTTATTCATCTATTAATCCATCCTATTTTTCATGCTCTTCAAAGTAAGTTATGACATCAATGCAGTTCAGCCCCAAACACTTTGGCCTGTGTATCGTATCACTGGCAAAAGCATACTGCTGTGCAGCCCAGATCCTTATCAAGATACCAAACATTCCATCACTCCAGAAAGTTCCTTTGTGTCCCTTCTCAGTTAATTCCTGCCTTCAACTTTCAGGCAACCACTGTTCTGATGTTTTGCACCATAAATTAAATTTACTTATCCTAGAACTTCATATAAGTGGAATGATTCATTATATCCCTTTTTGGGCAAGGCTTTTTTAGCTCAACATAATGTTTTAGAGATTAATTCGTATTGCATGTATCAAGAGTTCCTCCCTTTTTGTTGTAGAATAGCATCCCTTCTATGTATCTGTTAAAATTCGGTCATCCATTCTACTGTTAATACATATTTGGGTTGTTTCCAGTTTGGGGTGATTAAGAATAACACTGCTATGAACATTTTTGTACAAGTCTTTCTGAGGATGTGTGTTTTCATTTCTCTTGGGTAAATACCCAGGAACGGAACTGTTGGGTCATAAGGTTGATGTGTATTTAGTTTTATGAGCAACTTGCAGACTCTTCTCCAAAGTGGCTATACCATTTTCTATTCTCATGAACAGGGTAGAATTCCAGTTGTTCCACATACTCATCAGTACTTTCTGTCATCAGCCTTTTACATTTTTAAATTGGTGAGTGTGTAACGATAGTTCATTATCAATTTAATTTGCATTTCTCTGGTGGTGAGTTGATGCTGAGAACTTTTTCCGTATGCTTATGGGCCATTTGCATTGGCTTTTGGTGAACTATCTGCTAAAATCTTTTGTCTACTTTTAAAAAAGAAAATTATTTATCTCCTTATTATTAAGTTTTACGGGTTGTGTGTGTGTGTGTCCTGCATATAAGTCCTTTGTCAGATAGATACAGTAATTATTTTAACCAACAAATGTTAATTGAACAACTGCTAATACCAGGCAATGTGCTAAACTAGACAGCCTGAGGTCTGCCTGTGGAAAGTCACAGTCTAGGTCCCCTGACTAGCAAATCCAAAGCTCTTCCCACTAAACTCACCTTCTCAGAAGAAGAAAGCTTTAGATTCCGTATTTTGTCAGGATCCTTGAGCTAGCAGGAGGGGCTTCAAAGGAGGCATCAGATCCCAGCTCAGCCACTTACTTGCTGTGTGATTGGGGGCAAGTCACCTAACTTCTCTGAGCTTTTGTTTACTCATATAAAAAAAGGGAAGGGAAGGGAAAGAAAAAGAAAGGACCTACCTCATATATTTGCTGTGAAGACTAAAGGAGGCAAAAACACCGGGCATACAGTAGGCCCTAAGCCAACGTCAGTTTTCTTTCTTTTTCTTCCCCTGGGACAAGAGTCTGTGCTAACCCTGAGGTGACTTCAGCAAGGCTTGACCTGTCTTTGCAGGGTTCTAATAGAGACAAACTGTGTAGTTTAAAAATTAGATGTTATGATGGTACTAACAAAGTAGTGAGTACTTATTCTCTCCAGGGTTGTGCTCAGTGGCCCCTGTTTTCCAGAACTGATGAGATTTCCTGGGTTTGCTACTGGAGTATGTTTTTAATGGGCTTTCTGATTTCTCTCCATCAGCAAAGAGCTGAGAGAGAAGCACGCTGGCCTGGGAGGGAGAGGGCCTGGGTTCCCGGCCTCTCTCAGTCTTAACCAACCATGTGCTCCAGGCAGGTTTCTCTCATTCCTCTTGTGCAGACCCTTTGGAGTAAAATCAAGGGGTGGGGCAAAGCAATTTCTAAGGTCTCTTCCAGTTCAAATATTCTGTGCTTGCAGGTTTCTTGGGTCCCTGATGAATGCTGGACCACGGCTGGGAGACACATTTTCAAGCAGAATTGACTGTTAGATCAGCAAGCATTTATTAAGCACTTTTATATGATCTTATGTTTTGAGACTTGGGGTGGGAGGACAGAGGCCCAAGGCAACTATTAGATGTATCACAACTCAAAGAGTCTCAATCAGACCTAAATTTAAAAATAATTGATAGGAAACATGTTAATGTTCTTGAAAAAGCAAAGACAAAATAACTGCATACCCAGTTACTCAGGCACCTCTGTGTTCAATTTTCCTTTAACCAACTTCTTAACAGCCAATTAATGATTTTCTTTATTTACGCAATTGATGGAACTGGGGACTGTCTTACTACTCCCTTTATTTTTGCCTAAGTAGAAGACATGTATTTGTTGGCTGTAAGGGTTTTGGATGGTTTTTTGTTTGTTTGTTTTTAGATTATATATCAGTGAGATGAAAGCCATATCTCTTCTCTAATTTACTAATTTGGTAAATTCAAAGCTTCCTGGGAGGGATTTGTGTAAACTGTGGTTGAAAAGGAAGGCAGCCTGTGCGAATAACAGCAGCCAGGCTGGCAGTGCTTGGAGGGGCTTCCTCCGGCCCCAGCCTGGGGCTCTCCTGAAGTTCACAGCTAAGTGGGGCCAGCCCCAGGAGGCAGCACTACCGTGCTTCAGAGCAACCAGCTGCCTTTCTCACCTCCTAGGTGGGCACATTACTCTGGCACTCAGTTTCCTCACCTGTATAATGGAGATGGTGGTAATGCCAACCCTGCCAGATTGTTTGAGGAGTACATGGGGTGGTGAGTGTAAAGCACTCAGTACAGTGCCTGGCATATCATAGGCTCCACATCCATGTTATCAATATGAAGGGAATTGTCAGTGTGAAGGGAACAGTGTTGGAGGCCCCTTAGCTTCTAGTCACTTGGATGTAAGGGACCTCTTCAGCAGACATATAGGAGTCAGCCTCTGAATCCTTTCAGTTCTTCTCCCTCAGGGATATGTCTCCTCTGGATTGTCCCCAAGGCTTTATCCTTAAGTCACAATTTTCCCAACATTTTTTTCCTTCTGAAGCTCTTGGTCTCCATTTACATGTAAATTGGACGTCTGAGTTCCTGAGGCCACAGAGTTTGTTGAATCTGGCTTTCACATTTTAAGGGAGGTAAAGAAATACTGCAACAGTGAGGGATGTAATTTTCAACCCAGAATAAATCTTCCTCTTCCTGGTCCCTGACAATCTCCCATTCGTAGGTGCTGGGACTAGGAGTGGTGAATTTCCTACTGCAAAGGATCTCCCCAAGGCTATTCCCCAAGGGGCTCATTTAACAGGGCCTCTGTCATAGTCCATCAACACCTCTCAAGGGCTGACACTTTCTACCTCTTTAAACTTTTTCATACCTGCAGCAAACGCTTCCAAGCAACAGGGGTCTGGGTAAAGGCCTGCTTGATTGCCCTTTCCCGTAACACCTCCATCCCCCTCCTCCAGGTCCTGAAGTCCCCCAGACCAGTGTTGTCCTGAACTGGAGCAGGCAGTAGAGGGATAAGTAAATCCTTATAACAAATACTACTGTATAACAGCATATTGGATGCCAGTTCCCATTGGCTAACCAAATGCTTTCCCTGCATCATCTCATTTTATCCTCAAGAACCCTGGTAGCAGATACCATTATTCACTCAACCGAAATCAGGAAGCTGAAGCTCAGAAAGGTTCACCAATTTGCCAGAGACATGAACTTTGCTAATGGTAGATCTGGAATTGGAGTCAGGGGTTCTGCCTCCCGAGAGCAGCATGCCATCCTCTGCTGTAGGTGTGATCCTCATGGGAGGGATGAAACCAGGATTTGGCCTTGGGCCTGTCTGACTCCTCAGCCCTGCTCATGCTGCTTAGGAGAGACTCACTGTAGGTATCATACAATGAGTTTTCAAATAAATAAGATTCAGCAAAACCCAGAGAACATCAAAACCCTGTCGGATGCAATTTAATGTCTCTTAGAGATTCAAGGAAGCATATTGTGCTCATTCAGGAATTCAGGACCACGGCTGCTGTGTTGATTGCTCTGAAGATGGGCAGAGCTAGTCAACTGCTAAGGCTTCCAGGGACGGAGAACCAGGTAATGGAAAGGTTTCCTGCCCTGTCTTAGTTTATCTTCTTATGAAAATGGTGATTGGATTTTAGAGTCAGGGATGGGTGAAGCTCATAGAGAACCGTTTAGATGTGAGACAATTTGATCCCACTCACCAGATAGCTTATAATAATGAATAATAGTAGGTACCACTGAATTTACATGCTAAGCAGTTTCTAGACACACACACATATATTTAACGTAGTATCTCATTCAAAGTTTATCAACTTATGAGGTGGGTATTTTCCCAGGTTGACAGATGAAGACATGGCCACCCAGAGATGTTAAGTAAGTGACTCAATGTCACACAGCTGGGAATTAGAGGGTTTGAACCTGGGCACTCTGGCTCTAGAATATGTGTTTTAATCATGTTCTATATTCTGTAACTATTTAGTGAGCCCCTGATGAGTGCTTAGCATGATGCTAGGAGTATTAAAGTGTTAATCCCCAGACCCCTGCACATCTTCTTCCTTAAAAGGAATCATATGGGGACTGGTCCATGGCTTCCTCCCTAAGATCATGCATGTTCCATGGGGCAGGATCCCACCCAGGTTGCCCAGCTGCATACTCAGCCGTTGGTAAAGGCTCTGGTACTCGGCATCAACTGAGAGATTGAGACAGTTCAGCTCATCCCACCACAACCAGCCACATGAGCTCCAAGCCCAGTGGCTAGAGCTGCAAGAGGACCTGGGGTTGGAGAATGTGTAGCAGGGAGAGTGGAAACTCCGGGGAAAAGAAAGGGCTTCTGTAGCCTAAGGCCCTTCTGTTATAAGTAAGGCCCTGGGTCATTTCTAACAGCATCAGCTTGTCAGTAATGCAGACTCAGACCCATCCCAGTCTTGCTAATCTGAATATGCATTTTAACAAGATCCTCAAGTAATTTGTGTGCACATGGAAATGTGAGAAGCACTGGTGCTATGGCCTCGATATTTGTGTCCCACACCCCAAATTCATATGTTCAAATACTATCCCCCAAAGTGGTGGTGAGGCCTTTGGGAAGCGATTAGGTCATGGGGTTGGAGCTCTTATAAATGGGATAAGCGCACTTATAAAGGAGACCCCAGAGAACTCCCTCATCTCTTCTATCCTGTAAGGGCACAGCCAAAAGGCGCCATCTATGAACCAAGCAGCAGACCCTCACCAGACACCAAATCTGCCAGCTCCTTGATCTTGAACTTCCCAGCCTCCAGAACTGTGATAAATAAGTTTATTGTTTATAAATCACCCAGTCTAAGGTATTTTGTTATAGTAGCTTGAACAGACCAAGATGACTGGTATCAGGAGCTATCATCAGAATGGCTGAGACGGCTCTAAAACTCTTTGTGGAACTGGCTGGCTCCACAGGTTTAGCAGGCAAAGGTCAAGTTCAAAAAGGTCAGCTCTGAGAAGTTAATATGCTAAATACCAGGGGTTAATGTCAGCTGTGGGAAGGTTGGACTTGCAAGCAGGACTGAATGTGATCCCATGATGAAGGTCGCTTGTATCTCTCTCTGTCTTACTTTCTGTGTGTGAACTGCCCTAGGCTTCCCTCTTTGGGGGTAGCCAGGTGTGCAAATGTGCCTGTCCAGGAGAGATGCAAGCGTTGATCCACAGGGTTTGAAGTCACTGTCTAAGTGGAATCAGACTAACCTTACCTCTGTTTGTTGTGGCTGCTGCTGCCCTGATTCTCATTCATGAGTACATAAGTGTATATTCCATGTACAGCTAGAAGTCTGTCCATACACAGGATTCTTGTATCTTACACAGAACACTTTGCAGAACACAGTTCTCTACTGGAATCCCTGTCCACTTATATTAGACTTAAGTATTTAAATTTAATCCATTAGTAGTTCTATATTTAATTTTTAAAAATTAAATAAATTATTCACCGATTAATAAATAATAAAGTTTAACAGCTGTTAATGAGCATTTGAAATAGATAAATTATTACATCCTGTACACAATACCAATATTTACCTGTGAAACAGAAAAGTTGTACCTATAAGAAACTTTACCATTTTGACCTGGTTCTCTTTTACTGTTAGCAAATATGAACTAATTACTCTATTATGTAGCATAAATAAGAAAGGGAGGGGGAGATGAAGGTGATTTACATGCTAAGAGTATGTTTTGTTCAACTCTTTTGACTACTCTAGCCCAGCGCATGCTCCCTCCCATCCCCAACAACTAGGGGGAGATGGGGAGTAGCCCATGAGGGTTGCCATTGGTTACATGGTGTTATAAACCATTCAAGAGTAAATTGCCTATCCCTCTCTTGCTGGGTGTTTCCCCAGAGTATTGCTAAAAGAGCCTCATGTAAAACCAGAAGTAGGAGTGAGCTACACACTGAATAAGAAAAGCATCCATGAAAATACTGTTACTTTTATTATATAGGGAATATAAAAGGCATATAAATAAAAATATTTTATTATGCGATTTGAACATTAAATTTCATTGCCATACCCCACATGCTTTGTTATGCAGACTGACGTCTGCTAGGAATGAGACTCTGGCATTGCCTTTCTAGCTTGTGTAATTCTAAGATGTCCTGAAAAAGTGTATTAGAATTTCCATTTATGCAAAAAGCTGTATGTGTGTGTGTGTGTGTGTGTGTGTGTAGGTGTGGGATGCGTGCATGGAAGTATGTATATATGTATACGCATGTGGATGAAAAAATGTAGATACACTTGCACGTGTAGTCACTCATTCTGTTTGTCAGTTAACTATTTATTAAAATGTCTACTATGTGCTATTTTACATGCTGAGGATTCAGCAATGCACCAAAACAGACAAAATCTCTGTCTTCATGGAGTTAATATTCTCATGGGAGAGGGTATTAGGCCATTCTTGCATTGCTATAAAAGAATACCTGAGGCTGGGTAATTTATAAGGAGAAGAGGTTTAATTGGCTCACAGTTCTGCAGGCTGTACAGGAAGCATGGTGCCGGAATCTGCTTGGTTTCTGGGGAGGCCCAAGGAACCTTGCAATCATGGGGGAAGGTGAATGAAGAGCAGGTATCTCACATGGCGGGAGCAGGAGCAAGAGAGAGCAGGGAGGTGCTACACACCTTTTAAACAACCAGACTTCAGAGGAACTCACTCACTATCCCCAGGACAGCACCAAGGAGATGGCGCTAAACTGTTAACGAGAACTCTGCCCTCACGATCCAATCACTTCCCACCAGGCCCCACCTCCAACACTGGGGATTACAATTCAACATGAAATTTGATGGGGACACAGATCCAAACCATATCAGAGAGAAACACCGTATCCAAACCAACAAACAAGCAAATATTAAGTGAAGAAAACCAATTAGGATGAGTGATCCAGGTGCCACCTACGACAGGGTGACCAGGAAAGGTGTCTTTGAGAGGGTAACATTTAGACAGAGACCTTCATAAGGGGAGAGGGAATGAGTTGTGCTGGAGGGGCAGGAATCCAGGCGGAGGGTCCAGCTTATGTTAAAGTGTGGACACAAGGGCTCATTTAGAGGTTTGGGGAACACCGAAGAGGGTGTGGAGAACAGTGAGTGAGACGGGGTCTGTGTACCGGATAACAAGCTCCATAAACTAGGGACCATGGCGCCAGACTCGTGGGGTGAAAGTGGCTTCATAGCTCACCTAGCCAAAAACCCTCATTTTCTGGGCAAGTTGGAGCCAGAACTGGGATTTTGCACTTAGGGGTCCTAACCACGAGTCTGGGGGCTCTGCCCTCTCCCTGCCTCCATTCCCTACCCCTAAGTGACTCAGCTTCCCTGGTGCAGGCCTAAGCCAAAACAAAAGGGGCTACTTCCTGCTTGTTTATGGACTGATCCTGGTTCTCCTTCCCTGGCTCAGTCAGACTCAGAGCCTCTGGCATTTCCTTAACCTGTCTTCCTATCCCTGACCTTCCAGAAAAGGACTGGCACAGCCTTGTGCCCTGCAGACTCTTGATGAAATCATCATTCATGCTTGTGCCATTCTTTGCACAAACTGTCTAGGGAGGCTTCATCAGGCTTCAGATTTCACGAGGGAGGGAGGTGGGGAGCTACAAGCATTATTTTGGGAGAGGGGTGTTATGGAGATGGTGATATTTGTGTTGAGAAAGACTGAGGCCCGGGGAAGTGACTGAGACAGCTTTCCTGGAAGACAATGACAGGCAGGCCCTGGCTTCCAATGGAGGGTCTTGGATTCAAGGTGGGGCTGTGGGTTATCTCAGCTCAGTCACTCTTTCCAGGGATCTCTGAGCACCAGGGGCCTCAGTACTTTCTGTTTTTGGAGACCTGCTGTATCTGTTAGTATTAGGTTCAGTTGCAGGACAGAAAGGCCAAATATTGAGTAGGCTACTGGCCAATATAATTCAAGTTTGCTCTTCTCTCATGTAAAAGAAGTCTGGGTTGGCAATCCAGGCCTGTCAAGAGGGCTCCTTGGTACCATCCATGTCCCAGCCGCCATGTGTCTTTCTGTTTCTCAAGGTCACCCCATGACTTAAGATGGCCACTAGAATTCCAGCCATCATGTTGACGTTCTAGATAGAAAGTAGGAGAAATTGGGGAAGGCAAAAGGGTATCTATCAGCTGAGAAACCTCCCTTTACAAATCCTTTCCAAAATCCCCACCCAGTGACTTCCCCTTATATTTCACTGGTCACTGCCATCTTCAGGGGAAGCTGAGAAATACTTTTTTGTTTGTTTAGGTGGCATATTTCCACTCTAATGAAAATGTCATTCTGAAAGACCAGACGCTGGATATATGGTATTAAATCTCTGTGACTTATGCCAAAGCTCATACCAGCTCAGGCCCCTGTCTGAGGTCCCCAAACTCAGGTGGGGGATGGCAGAGAACAGGCATCCCTCGAGGTCCTGGTTGGTTGGAAAGAAGAAAGGGACTCCTGTGCTTAGCTCTCTCTCTCTCTCCAGATGGAATTATTCTCAGTGGATTTGTTGGGGGTAAGAATGAAGGACTTGAATGGAGTCCATCCTTGGAAAGATGGTCCCCCCTCACACTTGAATTTCTGGAACACATGCACATGAGTACGCTGGTCCCTGGACATGATTTCCTGGTTTCTGTTTATAAATGTGATGATACTGTAGTTCATAAGGCTGCAGGGAAGAAGAACAGAGAATATGAAGTGGATGTAAAAGTTGAAGCAAAATATTTGTCAAATGGTAGGCACTCAGATATAGTAACAGTTTACTATTGTTATATGTGTGTAAGCCACAGATTAGTGTGTTTGTGTGTGTGCACATGTGCTTATATAAACACGTGTGTGTGTAAGCATATGTGTATTCATGATTGTTCATGGAGAGGATGGCACAAAAGACAGAATGAGAGGCTGTGGCAGGCTTTGGTTTTTGTGTGTCCTGTGCCCTGCTCTGCTACCCAGCGGGGCAGGGAAGGGCAGGGCAGTGATGACAGGACCCACCTCTCACAGAATTGAGTTTCCATGGGAGGCGCTTTAACACTAAAAATTCCTGCAGTCCAATTTTGAGGGCAACAGGCAGAGATAAGCTGGGTTGCCAAGCAACCAGCCATTAACAGGAAATTAGTCGCTCATCTCTGAATGTCCTGTCCCATTTCCATCGTACCTCCCGGACTTCTGCCAAACAGAAACACTCACATACAGGGACACACAGAGAGCCATACAACTGAGTGTCTCCAGGAGCTTTTAGAGAGAGAATTCACATTGCTGGACTCACATCCAGCTAGCAGGCAGGCCAGAGCATCACTAGTCACTTCCTCCTCTTTCCCCACCCTCTGTTTCTCCTTCCCTACCCATTCCTCTCCAGGCATAGCTCAGCCCTGTGTCCCAGTGGGCCCTAACGGCCTGCATTCATGTATTTTTCCCCTTGAGCTCTCTTAGGGCAGGGCTCTTTCTTCTTCACCAATCTGAAAGCTCCCTACAAGTAGTGGTACCCAGCCTCTCAAATCTCACCCTTAACCTCATCTCTCAAACCCTACTCAAACCCTATCCCAAACCCAAATCCCAAGCCTGATGTTTGGCCTAGGTTTCTTGCTTCAGGAGCTGGGCTGCACCTGTTGTCAAAGGGGCAGAGCCACCTCAACACTCACTTGGGGTGTGTGAGAAATCGATGTCCCATCTGGGGAAAGAAAGTGGAGTGGAGCAGGCTTGCTTGACCTCCCATATTGGCCAGGCCTGGGTCAGGGGCTCAGGTTAGGAGCGGCTTTTGCCTCAACCCCGTCCCGACAGAGAACAGTGAAGTGGGGGCCCCTTCAGGTCACCTGATACCTCCTGTGGAACATGCCCCTTCCTTGGATCTGTTCTGCCCTCGTGGGTAGCACTTGGGGTCTTCATAGACACAAATATATCTGGAGAGAAAGCCGCATACCCAGAATTACCATCTCCAGCCCAAGCCATATTTCTAGCAAGTTGACCTTGAGTCCTGAGGCTCCTTCTCCACCTATTCCTTCCCTCCACACATTCATGGACATGGGCAACTGATCCCCAATTAGCAATGTCAATTGGACTACACACTGGGCTAGACTCTGCTGTAATTCCCCTCTTGGAAGGAGCCCATGGCCCAGGGAAAGAAACAGACATGTAAGTCGTTATGTGCCCAGCAGAGGCATATGAAGGGTGTGGAGGAGACCCAGACAAGGAGTAATTCAGTCTGTTGAAGTTGAGGGGGTGGGTGGAGAGAGAAATCAGGGAGCAGGTGATATGCCAGTTGGACTTTGGAGTATGAATACAAGCTTGCCAGAGAGAAATGTTGGGGACAGTGTTGAGGAGAGGGCATTCCAAGCAGAGGCAACAGCCTGGACATGGGCTGTGTATAAATAATCACCTTCCAGAATTAAGGACCAGTATTGCTGTGTTTTTAAAGTTAATATTTAAAGAACATTGGGATAGGGGCAAGGAGGTTCAGGCCTCAGCTCTGACCCTGACTGGTTGTGCATCCCCAGACAAGTTATGTCATCTCTCTGGACTTCTGTTTTCTCATCTGTGAAACAGAGGCTTGGGCAATCTCTGGGGTTGTTCTCAAGCCTGACAACCCACGGCTTTGTTTGTGTAGGATGTTCATCTGCGGGGAGGAGGCCCAGGTGGGGGTGTTGCAGGGGCTGTGGTCTTCTCATTTCTCTCCACTTCCCTCCCTCCCCACTCTGGGACTGCCTCATTGCCTTCCAAGGGTCTCCTGGCAGCATAGAACTCTGAGCATTACAGTGACCTTTGCAGAAAATTGCTCATTTCAAAAGATTTAACTGTATTTAAAGTTAACGTGGGAGGATTTTAAGCAGGGATCGGCAGGTATCATGGAGTGTAAGGATGGGCTGTGATGTGTCTTGGAGACCAACAAAGGCTGAGGGAAATAGGAGTTTGCCCATTCAGCACCTTTCCCAAGAGGGGAGCAAACAGCTGAGGTCGGAGCTCCTGGATTACACACTGAGGCCTCCCCTGCCTGAGGAATGCTCTGAGCTGAGAGAACAGGATTAAGACCCGAGCAGCAACTGTTCTCACAAGTTCTGTCCTATAAGAAGCATTATTGTCATGCAGGAGAGGAAGGTGATGAGAGGGGCAGAAAAACAGCTTATCCTGACTCTCCTGGGTCTCCAGCCTCTCCTGTACAGCCCAGTCTACTTACTGGCAGAGCAGGAGGCTGCCTGGATGTCTTTCCTGTCCCAGTGACACCTTCCTTTTTTGACTACAGGAAAATCCCAAGAAGACAAGAAAGGTCACATCATTAACCCACGAGGGTGTTAGCCTGATGGCCTCTTGGGAGGCCACTGAAAGGAAAGAAAGATGAGGTGCCCCAAAGGGAGATGGAAGGACCCCAGACAGGCTTGACGCTATGCTGTAGCTCTGGGGGGCCTCTGGGCAGCCTCTCCACTGCCTGGCAGCAGGACTTGTGGAGCAACTCATCCTGTTTCAGCCTCATGAAATCATGACTTTCAATGCCCTTCAGGGCCCCAGGGAGGAAGACGGTCTCTCAGTGACAGGAGCAGGGAGAGGAAAGCTTGACCTGTTGCCCCTGTTCCCTGGGTGGTCACTGCTTTCTGGCCTGAGGCTTTGAATCTTCAAAGCCTTTTTTAATGTGAAAGAAATGTAATTTCTTTGTCAAATCAAAAGCTCCTTAGCTGTGCAGAGGCTGCTCAGCCCAAACACCCTTGCCTTGGGCAGAGCAGAGGCCTGATGACTTGCCATGGGTGTGCTTGTGCATATTTAATTTAATTTGTATTTATGGAGCGCTGCGCTGTCTGCCTATGTGGGGCCCTGTGTGCTTGAATGCTCCCTTTTGCAGGCATCTCTGTCTGCAGGCACTCATGCATGCCTGTGTATTATGTGTTTGGCATATGTCCATGTGCCCACATGTGTAGGCCTAGCCTAGTGATTCCGGGTGGAGTGCGCTTATGTGAAGACACAAATGGATGCAGTGGTGGGATGGGAAGAAGAGAGCCGCAGAAAGCCTGTGCCTGGAGCATCTCTTGCTAAAGTGCTGAGAACACATCAGCATCTCAGAGAAGCCACTGAAGCCTGGGCCCCAGTGAATGGAGGGCCAGAAAAGCTCAGGTCCACTGAGCTGTCACCTCGCTAGAGGTCTCTGGGGACCTCAAGAGCCTAGTGCCTCTCTGTGACCTGGATCTGGGCAAAGGATTTACCATCATAGCCCCTCACCCCCTTATTATTAACTACTCAGGAACGTCCCGACCTCCTTTTCCCATCTGAGCAGTGGCTGGCAGGGTGGCTGGCTGGAGAGGGAGGAGGAGGGCATGGATATGAGGACTTTCCTGAGTAACGTGGGCAGGGGTGGAGGCTGAGGGAAATAGGAGCTTGCCCATTCAGTACCTTTCCCAAGAGGGGAGCAAACAGCTGAGATTGGAGCTCCTGGATTACACAGCCAAGGCCTGGCCTCCTCCATCTGACTTGGATGCCTGATCTGAAGATGGATCTTGGCTGGAGGATCTGGAGAGGCAAAGCACGAGACGGTGGGGTGGACGAAAGGGCTAGACATAAAGAGACAGTTCTCATTACTCAGGAGAAAGTTGCATTCTCAGTTTTTATAATGCTCTTGAAGAGAAGAGTAAGTTTTTCTCACTTGCAGCTGGCTGGAAAGCCAGGGCTGGGTCAGGGCTCAGGGAGCAGGAATAGGCACTGAGACCTTTTTGGCTGTGGTGATAGATGGTGCTGATGAACTTGAAAGGATGCTGTGGGTGGAGTTGGGGGAGGGGTTGCCTCATCTCAGGACAGAAGGGGCAGAAGGGGATTATTGTCTGCAAAAAGTGAGGTGGGGGTGGGGAGGCCTGAGGGATCTTTCGTCTCTTAGTACCTCTTCCCTCCCTCCCTCCCTCTGTCCCTCCCGAGCTTCCTCTTCCCCAGGGTCCTTTCTCTCCCTGCTTTCTCTATCCAGGCACTCCCCAGCCCAGCTGGTCAGCCTCTCTTCTGGCTCTTGAGGTCTATGAGGGACACTGGCCACTCCTGCGGGACACACAAGACTGTCCTGCGCCTCTCTCTCTGTGATCACACTGAAAGGTTCTTCTGCTTCCTGCCCCTGGGTTGGCTAAGGGGCTGCTACGTGCTGCCTGCAGGTTTGCATCCCAGCTCCCCCTTTCAGGGACTCAGCAGTGGAGGCTGTTAAAGGCAGCGTGTAATTAACATTCTGGGCTGGTAGGTGTGCACGTACTGCAGGACTCTGAGAGCTGAGAGGGCACCTCACTCGGCATTCCCACCTCTTCATTCTCTCTCCCCAGTTTGCTTGGATTCCCATGTGTGCTCTCTTTCTGCATCTGTCTGCTCTCCTCTCTGTTATCTCCCTGTCTATCCTCTCCATCTCTCCCTGGCTCTGTGTCTCCTTCCAGCTCCTCTGGGCTCCAGATGCCTCTCAGTCTTACATAGTTAAGTGTTTTTTTTCCCACTTCCTGTTTTCCTTCCCAGAGCCTGCCTGCCTCTTTCTTTCTAAGTGCTCTGATCTTACTTTCAGTTCCTCTCCCTGTAGGTCTCCTGCTCTATCACCCTGTCTCTGTCTCTCTCTTTCTCCCCCCACGCTCCACCCCACTCTCCTATTTGGAAGGTAAGTGTTCAAATAAATGAAAAAGGTCAAACCCCATGTGCCTGGCAGTAGAAAGCAACTTTGCAACCCTGGGAGCAAGCGTGGCAGAGACTGTGTGGAACAAAAGATCCCCAATTACTGCCTCTCAGTGCCGGGCTTACTGCTCTAAAAAAAGAAGAATTCAAAGTAGGAGAGGCAGAAGGGCCTTGGTGGGGCTGTGGAGCTGGAGGTATAGCAGGCAGTAGTGGGCGTGAGAGGACTCAGCCCCAAGACACTCCAAGAATTGTTTCTACCTCTCTTATCTGGCTCCAGATTCCAAGCCTTCTCTCCATCTGAGCCACCCTATGGGCCAGCTCCACTGGCCCCACTGCATGTTCATGATGCTCATGCCCACCGGGACCTCACCCCCAGACACACACTTATGCCATTAGAATCCCCATTCTATTGCAGGCCCACAGTTCTCCAGGCCACAGCTCTGTCATGAACAGGTGTCAGGGAAGCCATCCTTACAGGCTTGAGACAGGCTTCAAATTCCCTTCTTACTCCCCTCTTTGAAATCCCCTCAAATTCAATGGCAATCTGTCTCCCAGGAACAGACCTAAATTGCATTTTAACCAATTTCTATTCTTTCCCACTTTCTCTTATCCAGTGGGTAGCGGATTGGTCGAGGATGGGGTAAAATTTACTGTTTCATGTTTCCAAAGACCACCTCTGTGAGTTATAGGAAAAGCTGGTGTGATGGTTAACATTAGGTGTCAACATGACTTGGCTAAGGAATGCCCAGATAGCTGGTAAAATGTTCTTTCTGGGTTTGTCGGTGAGGATAAGTCTGGAAGAGATCAGCATTTGAAATGATAGGCCAAGTTAAGAAGATCTGCCCTCCCCAATGCGGATGGGCATCAACCAGTCTATTGATGGTCCAGAGAGGAAAACAAACAAACAAACAAACAAACAAAAAAGGTGGAGGAAGGAAAAGTTTGCTCCCTGTTTGAGCTGGAACATCCATCTTTTCCTGTCCTTGGACTTCAGTGCTCCTGGCTCTTGGGCCTCAGGACTCAGACCAGGATTTATATTATTGTCTCCCTTGGTTCTCAGGCCTTCAGACTTTAAGCCACTCACTTTAAGCCAATGCATTACACCACTGGCTTGCCTGGTTCTCCAGCTTGCAGATGGGCAGACTGTGGGACTTCTTAGACTCCATAATCGTGTGAGCCAATTCCTGTAATAAATCTCTCTATATCTATACCTATCTATACTTCCTATTGATTCTGTTTCTCCAGAGAACATTCACTAACACAGGTGGTATAGATTTTAGAGTTAGAAGTTCAGAACTCAAATCTAGCTTTCCCTACTTAATAACTTTGTGATCTTGGGCAAGTTATTTAATCTCCTGGAACCTCAGTTTCTCTATCTGTCAAACGTGGGCTCAATAATCCCTATCTTACAGAATAATTATTGTATCTATCTTACAGATAATTCCTATTTCAAGGATCCACTTATTAGGAGCAGGCATAGTTAGCAGTCTACCAGCCCAAAAAAACATAGCAGTATTTGGAACAACAAGTAACTTATCATGGATATCAGTTTCACAGTTCACCCTTGAGTTTATTTAGGAGGTTCAAGTGGATTCCAACAGGTCATGGTGACCTATTTATACTGATTTCCGGATGAAATTCAGAATTTGGGTTCCCCTCAAGGAGGAAAACTCTTACAGTTAGTGCTATGCTATTGCTCCAAGGTCTCTGCAGGACTGGGCCTTAGGAACCAGGTGTTAGCCAGCCTGATCACTCACTCTGTTTTGGTTTCTCCCCTTCCCTGTTCCACTGTCCCATTCCTCTTTCAGTGCTTTCTTCACCTCCCAAATAAACGATATTGCACCCACATCATTGCCTCAGGCTCAGCTTCTGCAAGAATCCAAATTGAGATAGCATGATATTGCATAAAGACTCTGGGTTTTAGGATCATGTTCCAATGCTGACATGATTTAGCTGAAGGTTCTTGCCTTATTTCTTAGTCTATTTTCTGCTGCCATAACAGAATACCACAGACTGGGTAACTAAAATAGAAATTTATTTGGCTCATGGCTCTGGAGGCTGGAAAGTCCGAGAGCATGGCACTGGCATCTGGTAAAGGCCTTTGTGGTGTGTCATAACATTGTGGAAGACATCACATGGCAAGAAAGTGTGAGAGTGTATCAAACAGAGGGAGAACATTAGAATAGTGAACCCATCCTTTTTATCAGTAACTCACTGTCACAATAATGGCACTGATACATTCATGAGGGTGGATCTCTCATGGCCCAATCACCTCTTAAGTGACCCACCTCTTAATTCTGTCACAATGGCAATTAAATTTCTTTTCTTTCTTTTTTTTTTTTTGAGGTGGAGTTTTGCTCTTGTTGCCCAGACTGGAGTGCAATGGCACGTTCTCAGTTCACTGCAATCTCTGCCTCCTGGGTTCAAGTGATTCTCCTGCCTCAGCCTCCCAAGTAGCTGGGATTACAGGCATATGCCACCACGCCTGGCTAATTTCGTATTTTTAGTAGAGATGGGGTTTCACCATGTTGGCCAGGCTGGTCTCAAACTCCTGACCTCAGGTGATCCACCTGCCCTGGCATCCCAAAGTGCTGGGATTACGGGTGTGAGCCACTGCACCTGGCCAGGCAATTAAATTTCAATGTGAGTTTTGAAGGAGACATTCAAACCATAGTACTTCATAACCAATTTTGATAATAATTTTCGCATCTATGAATGGGGCTACTAAAAATTCCTTTCCTGCCCATCTTAGAGACTATGTTATGATAAGATTAAATGAGATAATGTGAGTAAAAACAATAACAACAAAAAAGCAAACCATAAATCAATATGTACATGTAAGGAGTTACCATTGTCATTAATATTTGATCTTGTACATTCAACTCTCACCATCAAAAGGCATTTTGGGAGTGGAGATTTCAGGGCCATCTTCCCTGGCACAGATTTGGCTGAGCCTGTCCACCAGCCTCTTTTCGTTCTTTGTGCACCTTTTGCACTGTGATCACTGAGGGCTCCCACTTATTCTTCACCTGGTTCCCTGACTTTGAAGTTATTTAAAGGAACTGTTATTACTGGCTTTGGAGTTCCTCACAAGGGGATTCTCAGATGCTTTTCCTGGATGTTTGACTTCAAATGTACATCTGACCTGCCATGCACTCTTTTCTTGTAATAAATAATTAATAATAAAATATAAATATATAATATAGATTATATACACTTACAGGATGCCTTTCCCTTTACATCTTTACATGACTTCTTTTTCTCTGCTAGTTAGCAATGCAGAGGGTTTTTTTTTTTTTTTCCTTTCCAGAAACCAGTCTTTTTGATCCTCAGCACACATTTTTTCCTGGCTTTCAATGAGGATTTTCTTTATTTTTTTAAAATAGTCTATGGGTTTCTTATGCTTTTAAAAATGTTATTTAAAACTTTCTTTTAACCATTCCTTTTGATTTTTTTTCTTCAACACATGCTCTCATTTTCTATATTTCTGTCTACAAGAAATGAGCAGTGGCATAATGGGTATTTTCGGCTTTCCCACCAGGGGATTAAACTTCAAGGTGCTGTGGTCTGAAGGAGGCAGAGCTTCACCCATAAATGTGTTTTGGCCAGTTCCTGCCTTTCCCTCTAGAAACACCCCTGCCTCTTCCCCACGCTGCAACCAGCAAGCCTCGTGCCTGTGACAGGGCCCTTATCTCCGTCACCACCGGGGACTCGCTGCACAATGCCACTTTATCACTTGCACCAGCTGCCTGAGCTCACTGCACCTCACCCTTAATTAATTACACCCTCTGCCGTAAGGAGCCATCTCCCTCCCGAAGACAGCCTTCAAGACCCGTCAGATGAAGAAGCAAAACCCTTTCATCTTTCCTGATGGCTCCTCTCTTTCTATGTCATTTTTTTCCCCTTCCTGCCAACACTGATTCTTTTGTAAATCTGCTTGTGCTCTTGGTCTAGAGCCATCCACGAGGCCTGGACTCCGCAGTGAAATCAAGCTCCAGGAAGCAGGGTGTGAGGCCCATTAAGTATGGCAGGGAGCAGAGGCAGGGTGTTTGGTCTTACGAGACTCCAGAGGCCAGTATTCAAAAATGGTCAGAGGGCATGGGAGCATGGGGCAAGGTGGTGTATGTGTCCCAGGTGGGGGGCGCAGTGACTGCTGGGGATCAGAGATAGGCTTCAGATATGGTTGTGAAGAATATTCCTCTGTGATATCATGTTTCACTGTTGTGTCATAGACAGTGAGAGACCCTGTCAACAGAGGCACAGGCAGCAATGGGTTCTGCAAATCATGACGCAGACAGCGACACTAACAGTGAGAAGCCTCAGCACAGAGTTGCACAGAGAGACTGCCTCTGCATTTGTGACACTGACAGCACAGACACCATAACTCCAGCCATGACAGGCTCTGCACACAGGGACCCAGGAAGTGAAGGGCACTGCAGACCATACCTCTGACTGTGACAGACCCCGAACATCCACAGAGACAGTAACATCAGCATTGACAGGCTCAGCAAACAGAGAAATAGGGAGGAATGGGCTCTGTCGACATCATAACACCAACAGACACAGGGACAAGTACTGCAAACAGTGACACAAACAGTACTAGCCTCTCCCAATAATACCAAGCTCTGCAAATAAAACTAAACTCCACAGAATGACAAACAGTGCCACGGTCTACAAATGGTGACACAGGCAATGACAAGCTTTGCAAACAGCTCCAAGCTCTGCAAATAATGACACACAGGGCCAAGCTCTGCAAACAGTGAGTGTAGTTGCACCTGGGGCATGGACAGCCAACCAAGGGCCACGCCTGCTTATTTCAAACACTGGCCCTGAGCACACCCACCTGCTATCACTGTCTCTAACACTCCCCATCTCCCTCCCACTCTCTCCACTGCTTCAAGTCTCCTTTCATTTGAAAATCCTTCACTTGACCCACTCTTCTTTCCTCTTATCTGTGGGTGTTCTGCCTTTCAGAGCTAAGCCTTTCCCATGAAGAACCAGGCCTAAGGCCTTCTGGAACCCACCCCCTTGGCACCCTGGGAAGACACGCCCTCCACCAGAACCCTCACCTTCATGCCCTGTGGTTTCTGTAGCTGAGCTGCCCACTCCCCCTCAGATTTCAGACTGACCTTCCTTACCCCTGGCTTCTGGAATCTGCCCCCATCTGCCTGAAATGGGGTGGGGAAGGGAAGGATGATCCCCAGACCATATGAAGCCATGTCTGCTCATCTCTGCTTCCTCCTTCACTATGACCCTGTGAGGTGCAGCGTGTGAGGAGACAGAAGCACACAGAGGAGAATTCACCTGCCAGGGCCATAGAAATCCTGCGCTGCTGTCCAGCACTGGGATTCGTGTCTGCCCAACTCTCAGGTGGATGAGTTACTATTACGGGTGACGTAGCAAAGCAGTTTGGTGTGCAGACCACAGGCAAGAACTGCTTGAATCCTGGCTCTGTGATCTGTGGGAAATATGTAACCTCTCGCCTCCTCAGTTTCCTCATCTGGAAAATGGGGATAATAATTATACTTATCTCAGAGTGTCTGAGTGAGAATTTAATGATACTTAAATGCCTAAAAGGGTTTTTTTGGAAGCTGCAACTGACCTGCTCAGCCCTGCTCTGGTCTCATTTCCTCAGCCTCCCCCCTGTCCCTGCTACTCCACACAGCCTCCTTGCTCTCTTCCAACCAGCTGGACCCCTCCTTGCGTGGGTGATACACGCTGTTCCCTGTGGAGTGAGCTTTCCCAGGTGTCCGCCCAGCTCACCCCTTCCCTCCTGCAGGTCTCCAGGCTCAAGTGTCACCTCCACAGAGAGACTTCCCTGACTGCCCTGGGTAAAGTGGCGCTTTCTCTAGCTCCGGCTCCCCTCAGCCTGCTTTAATTCTTCTTTTGTCACCACCTTTATTGCCGAGTCCTGTAGCCTCTGGGAGGACCGGGAGCTCAGGGGCATGGGTTGCAAATGTAAACAGGGCAATGCGGGGAAGCCAGCATCCGTGGGAGGAGAGGGAGCTGTGCTGTGGCTCCCTGAGGACTTGAAGCCAGGCCAGGAGGATGTCACTGGCTTTTCATAGGGATCCCTCACCTAGGCACGCCTCAGCTGAGGTGGCCTTTCCCCTCCAGCAGCCCTTTGGTAGGAACCGGGAGGCCTGCTGGCAGCAAGGGAGATGACATGCCTGAGCCTTGACACTGACACTTTTCCCCCCAGCAAACAGGCATGAGGGCTGGAAGAGGAGAAAACACAACTGGCTAGGAGAAGGCAACCTTCCCTGCTGTGGTGAGCAACAGTCGTGAGCTGTCAGCTCCTCTGGGACATCCTCTCCCTTTCAGTTCCCTGCCTGCAACACAGTTCTCCCTCTCTCCTGCCAGAGGAGGCTTGGGCTGGCAGAGAGAAGAGAAAGAATAACCAGAGAGGGACCAGGCAGAGGGGAGAAGAATCCAGCATGTGCTGGTGGCTTCGAACTACACTGAGCTCAGACACGCAGGCTCTGAGGCTGGAACAGTGCTTCCCTCTTGAGGCTTCCTCCAGGCAGGGCCCGCAGAAGCTGCCGCTGCACTCTCTGAATTCCAACACTCCAGATGTGCAGGGGGCCAGATGCACAAACCGAAGCCTAGAGCCCTGGGTTGAGATGCCTGGGCAACAGAGAGCAAGGACTCTGCCTCATTATGGGATGCAATAAGCAGGTAACTTCTTTCACTGAAAGACTGGATTCTCCTCCAGGTCTTGAGATGAGATCCTGGGTCTGCAGCAGGTCATCTGAGCATCAAACATAATATTAATCTTCTAGGTATCTTGACTGCTGTGTGCACAAATACTGTGCAGTCAGGAAAATGGCAGCTTAGTTACGTCCCAGTCCTGTTGTTGTGTGGGCTTTGCAGTCCCCTAAGTCCAGGCTTTGGGGGAGCTGCACTGTGCTATCCACAGATCCAGCCTCTTTCTGTCTCCTGTCCCTGCTCCCTGGCTGCACATCCAGGGAATCTTCCTTGAGGTGTGGTGAGTTGCTATACTACTCGTCTAGCATTTCCAGAACATGTTGGAGGGAATCAAAGCCTTCCTATAGAAACTAATGGGGACAGATTTCATACTCTGGAAGAGTGCTTTAAGCAAATGAATAAGCAAATACCAGGACATGGGAAAAAGCTAGAGGAAGCAAGAGATGAACAAAGCCTCTGTTGGATCGTATGGGGACTGGAAAACAGAGGCGTCAAGGCAGACCAGGATCATGGAGGTGACCCACCTGGTGATGCTGGTCCAGGGCACTGTGACTTTGTCAGTGAGAAGGCCTATTCATTCATTCACTGACTTGCCCACTCATTTATTCATTCAACTGAGCACCTGCCACGTGCCAGCATGGGGCAGCCCTGGGCCTTTGGATGAACAAGAGAGACATGAAACTCACAGTCCAATGGGACTGATTTCAAAGACCCCATGTTTCCTTCCGAGTTTGTGTGGTTTCTATATATTCAGCCCATACTGCACACTGTCAGGGCTGCTGATGAGAGAGTGGGCATCAGAGCAGCATGTGGAGTGGAGCTGTGTGGTTGTGGTCAGAGCCAGTAGCAACTAGGGTATTAAGGATTTAGAATGCCAACCCTGCATTCAGTTCTCTTTATAGATCCTTTTGGTCAACTTCATAAAGTCCGGAGTTAGGGAGCCCCTTTAGGTACAGATGTGCTCTTATCCCTGGAATGGGTAGATAGGGCATGGCTGTTATAGTCAGCTCCTGATATCCTAAATGGGCAGGGTCAGGGGGAGGTCCTGAACCCACCCCCTCCCAACAAACACACACACAATATTTACACACACAGACTCATACTGACATATGCAAACACACATATACAATTCACATACACTTATACTCTCACTCAGGGGCATGGGTTGCAACTGTAAACAGGGGAATGCAGGGAAGCCATACATGCACAGACTCATGTAGACACACATACAATTCACACACACATACATGCACACATTCACAGACACAGGACACACAAACATGTTCTGTCTCTTGCTCTCTGTCTTGCTTTATTTTTCTCCTGCAGACTGCTCCTTTCTGTCTGGCAGTGCTGCAGACAGGAGGCTTAAGAGAGTTAGGGTTAGGAGATGTTCTCTCTGGAGTCAGTTAGCCCTCAATCCTCCTGGGCTTTCTGCTGCTGACTAGCTGTGTATCCTTGGCTAATATTTCTGACCCTCATGTACCTGTTCTGATGAGTGAGGATGACATATCCACCGTCAAGATTTAAATGAGAGAAACAAGAACAAGCATGTGAAGTGGACAGGTGTCTGTCTTTGTGGCCAACCTCACTCTCTCCCTGTGTCTGGAGATTTCTCCCTATGTTGGGACCAGAGTGGGTGGCAGAGCCTACCTTCTACTATGGAAGACTTGGCTCTGCCATTCGGATGCACCTGCCCAAGACTCAAGGGGATCCTAAAGAATTATATCTGGTTGCTGCAACCATTTTAAGAGTTCTCAGGACAGCAGTGGCTGTGCTGCTAATTTGGTGGCCAGCATCCAGCTGGCAAGCTCCAGGCCTAGGGCCAGCCCAGCAGCAGTGGTGTTCAAATGTGGACCATTTTTGCAGCAGCATCACTTTGGGTGTTATTCTTGAGTGTGTAGCCCCAAACCTGGTATTTAGGCCCTTTAGAGAGTCTATGAGCAACCAAAGATGTTTTTAGTAAATTATTTTTAGGTTTAAATCAGCCAGAGTTGGTTTCTGTTGCTTGCAGCTCAGAGCCCGGTCTGCTAGAGTGTGTAAAGCATTTGGCCTGGTGCCCAGAACACACATAGCAGGTGCTCAATAAATGTTAGCCATTAGAGATGACATGCACACAGCTTCAGAGATAAATTGGAGAGGGCAGGATGGAGGGAGGGGGCTGTGAGAACAGGATGCAGCTGAAGCCCTCATGGCGGAAGTGATCCAATCTCCCCACCCTCAGTTTCTCCAGCCGCAGGGCCCCAGGAGACAGACGGGAAGCCTCTTTCCCTTTTCACTGGTTCTCTGTCACTTGCCTGCTTCCAGCCCAGTCAGGGTTGGGTTTATTTGCACAGCTCAGATTCCCAGGAGGAGTGGGAGTAGTAGGAAGGGCAGCAGGAGAGGCTGGACAGAAATCCAGATAAAAGGCTTTAAGTGGAAGCCCCATCAGAGCCTGCCAGATTCCCGGTACCAGTTTATTCCCTTTACTCCCCAAGTAAACGTGCCTATATCTGTTGCTTGGCTTCATCGTCTCCATTTCTGCTCAAACAAATCCCAGATCACTGAGCTTCAGAAAAGAAATACAGGAACACCAGGAAGCCCCTGAAGGCAGAGGACACACAGGGAGGACCATCGGCCAGAGCCTGTGGGATTAGTCTTCTGCCCTGCTCCAAAACCCCCTTAGGTACATGGGCCCTTTCTCTAACCCCTACCTTCCTCCATGGGAGATACATATTACCTTTACCCAGAGGGCTACATACAGTTATATGCCTTTTGAACTGCACAGAGGCATCAGCTGAAAGTAAAAGTGGGGTTCCTTGGATCCAGGCTGGGTCCGACTGGGGGAAGGAGCACCTTTGTACCTCCACAAGAGACTACATGCAAGACCATGCTTGTAGCACTATTGAGGGGCTTTGAGAGTTTATCACCATGTTACTAGTTTAATCTGGGAGAATCAGCATCCTCTCATTTTCTGTTATTCAGTGCCATGGTTTGAATGTGTCTTCCAAAGTTCATGTGTTGAAAACTTAATTCCCAATACAACAGTGTTGGGAGGCAGGGCCTAACAAGAGGTGAACAGGCCATCCAATTCTCATGAGTGGATTAATGCCATTATCATGAGAGTAGGCTCATCATAAAAGTGGGTTTGCCCCCCTCTTGCTCTCTTGCCTTTCCACCTTCCACTATAGGATGACACAGCAAGAATGCCCTCACCAGATACAGGTCCTTTAGCCTTGGACTTCCCAGCCTCCAGAACTGTAAGAAATAAATCTGTTCTGTATAAATTACCTAATTTGTGGTATTCTGTTACAATGACACAAAATGGACTAAGACACTCAGAACTATTTCTTAATAATCTCTAGGGGAGAGATTATGGCCTTCAGTTTTCCCAGCTCTCAAGCATGGGGATGTATTTCAGCTCCTGCCTTCCCTCCTCTAGGTCTTTCTGGGGCTGCCATTAATCAGTGGTGACCCCATTTGGTCAGCCGTAGGGACCTCCATGCTCCATTTGGTACTGCTCTGCTTGGCGACATGATGGGGACGGGTTTGTGTCCTTGTCCGGAGTGTCCTCCTCCTCCCCAGGTTCCTCATCAGGTCCACTCTGCAGTACTATGAAGGTGTAGACAGGACACTGTGGGGGCAGGAGCCACATCTTTAAGCACCTTCTCCCAAATGGGATCTGTGCAGACCTTGGGCCCGTGGCATATTTTAGTACTCACTTCCCAAGATGGCAGAACCTGACTAGGTTCCTATTGACACAAGTCTTTCCCTAAAGGGTCAGAGCAGAGAAGGTGGGGAGAAAAGAGGCTGTTCATTCATCAACTCAGTAACTGCTCTCTCTGTTCAAGGGGCAGAAGCTCTTTTCAAATTACATATTTAAAGGTAGTTTCTTCACATGGTTGCCACATCTCCCCAGAGGCCTCTCTCGAGTTTCCTGACCTCCTCCTGCAGTGGCCTCCTCTTTTAAGCCCCCAGGTCATTTTCCCACCTCCTCCATGGAGAGCTGTATCCCTTCCTCCAGAAGGAAGAGGATATCCCATCCCCAGCCTCAGTCTCCCCTTCTGTCTAGCTAACTTAGCTCTGTCCTCAGAACATCTCCTCTGCTCAAGCTATGCCAGTTGAGAGGAGGAAGGGTGCTGTCTGGTTCAGTGAGAGAGGGTGACATGTCTTCTAAGTCTTTTTTTTTTAATTTTATTTTATTTACTTTTTAGAGATAGAGATCTCACTCTCTTACCCAAGCTGGAATGTAGTGGTATGATCATGGCTCACTACAACCTTGACCTCTTGGGCACAAGCAATCCTCCCACCTCAGCCTCCCCCATAGCTGGGACTACAGGGGTATGCCACCAGGCCTGGCTAATTAAAGAAAAAAATCTATGTCTTCCCACCCTTTTTTTCCCCTTGTAACTTATCGATGAATTAAATTCCTGTTCTTTGCAGTTTTCCAGTCCTTGGCTTTTTGTTGCTTGCATCTTTATAGTATGGTAGTCGTTAACATATTTCTCTGTCTTCTGTATTTCTACAAATTAGAATCTGGGTCTATAGGCTTCAGCAGATTCAGCTACCTCCCCCTCCACCTCTTTTTCTTCTGGGATTCCAGGTTAGTCCCACCAGTGAGTGCTATGGCTGATTTCCTCACTAGCTATCAAAAATACAAACATACCCCACTAAGGAAACGTTAGTGGTTTTCTCCCAGGAGAGCAAAGTCCAGCCTCATAAGAACAAAAAATATTTCTCCTGGCAACATGACTTCGATTCTTCTCCTTCTGACCCAGGAGCATTGTGTTCTGGTGCTAAGGAGCACTTGATACCTTCATTAGCCTGACTAACATCCTGCAGGTCACCTGTGGCTATCAGCGCCTCTCTCAGCTCCTGACAAGGTGGCTGCCGCAGTTTAGGTCTCAATGATTTCTACATCTCCCTGCTGACATGGGAGCAGGGGGTGGTGTCAGGCATTTCAGTTTAGCCCCACCATTCTAGGAAGCTATCCTTTTCTCCTCACCCCTAAAATAGGCTTCTTTCCCTAAAGACATATTCTTTTCCCTTCCCAACTCTTTCTTTCTCAATCCATCCAGTTGCCTGAGAAGGCCCAGTGAAGGGATGGGTGGGAAAGTGTATAAGAACTTCATCAGACAAAAAAGCCAAATCCTACAACCAAGGTGTTTATTTGTCACAAGCACGAGGACTAGGAATGAACACAGCCCCAAGAGTTGAGGAAGAGTTTTTTCTACCGCTCCCTGGACCTAAACCTAATCTAACGTGGGTTAGATAATGTTCTACTTTGAGGCAGAAGAAGAGCCTCCATGACATTTTTTTTAAAATCATTTATTTGTTTAAGTCAGAATTTGAATAAGGTCCACACATTTTGAGTGGTTGATATGTCTTTAAGTGTTTATTAATCTATAGTTCCTCCCATCATTTTTTCCCCCTTGCAACTTATGGATGAAATTGGGATGTTTGTGCCACAGTTTTCCATTTTTTGGTCTTTGCTTGTTGCATTCCTTTGGTGTCCTTTAACATGCTCATCTGTCCTCTGTATTTCCTGTAGACTGCAGCTGGACCCATAGGCTTGAGTAGATTCAGCTTTCTCTCTCTCTCTCTCTTTCTCCCTCCCTCCGTCCTTCTTTCTGTTTTTCTTTCTCTTTCTCTCTCCCTCCCTTACTCTCTCCCCCTGATTCTCTCTTGGCAAAACTACTCACTCTCTCATGGGTAGTGGTGTATTCTTAGGTCAAAAGGCACAAAAGTCTGATTGTTTCACTTTTTGTAATGTTAGCAGCTCAATGAGCAATGCCTGAATTCATTAATTCACAGGGGTTGCCAGATGGTGCTTTTTAAATTTTATTATTCTTTTTTCATTTATTAGGTGGATTATTTATTTCTTAGCTGATTACATCCGTCAAGAGAAACTTTCCCAGATCTACTTTGTGGATTCCATGGAATAACATATATTGGAAACCTCCATGACTACCTACTCAGCCAGCACACCCGTGTTTCCAGCACAGGGGCATGGGCTGGGGCTCAATGTCCACCCTGCTCATAAGGCAGGAATCGCCATCCTCCATCACGCCAACTTACTAGTTCAGGTTCAGGGCAGAAAGTGGTCTTTGGCTTGGATCCTGCTCTCAGGGGCTCCGCAGTCTGAGGCACAAATACTATTTTTTTTTTTTAAGTTGTGTGCCTTCTTGCTGCCACAGTGGGTCAGCCACATGGAGGTCTGTTTGCATTACTCGTGGTGGGCATATTGTCTTTATGTTTAACCCCATTTATTCGCTTATTTGCTAAACACAGAAACACACGACCATCTAGTAGCAGAATTTGGAGGTAATGGGGGAGGAAGTGGTGGTGATATCATACCATCAGAAAGCAAGTTACTTAGAATTGGATTTTAAATACCAGTTTTCTTAAGTGCCTCTGTCTGGTCTCCCTGTCCACCACCCCCATGGAACATCCCATCCTCCCAGTGTGCCTTTGAATTACTTCTCTTTGCCTCTCCCTGATCCCTGGCCCCAGCCCTTGTCTCCTGTTCCTGCCCTTTGCTTCCCTCCCGCAGTTTCCCCTAAAACCTCCTGCCTCTGACTTGATGTAGTCTCAGCTTTCAGGGCCTCTCCATTCATACTCACTGTGCTACATCAGGAGATTCTGTTAAACAAAGAGCCATTTGCCTGCAGGGGAATTATGCCCTTCCAGCTGGTAGGATAAAACAGCTATCATCAGTTGGGGTTTTAAATTACTTTATATATTTTTCTTGTAACAATAATGAAGAAAATGAAGCTCAGTTACCTTAAGGACTTTCCAAGGTTTCAAAGGTAGTACGTAAGGCCTGGAGTTGGGATTCAAATATAGATTTTTAAGCTGCAAACCCTAACATATGTCCCTGTCCTCCACTGCTTATCCACCTGTCACAGTAGTTGGTACCTCTCTGCAGGATGAGAACAGATATATAGCTCATCCACGAGTGCTCAGAGAAGGACAGATTTATCTAATGGGAATAGAGGCTCTTATTTCAGCAGTTAAGCTGGACTGTTTATGAGAGCCTTTAAAAGCAAGCTACTTGGGGCATAGTGTGGTGTAGTTAACAGACAAGTTTGTGCTCTGTGAAGTCATGCTGCTTTGGTTCTAATACCAGTTCCACCGATTATTAGCAGTGTGGCCAGAGGCATAGATATTGCTTAGCTTGTTTGTGCCTCAGTGGCATCACAGGGTAATGGAGATTATAATAGTCCCTACCCCATAGGGTTGCTCTGACATAGTGACTTAAATGGTTGCACCATTAGCATTATCTGGGAGTCTGTTAGAAAGGAAAATTCCCAGCCCCCCCGAGTCAGAAACTGGCAGGGCCCAGCAGCAGTCTGTGATTAATACACCCCCTAGACAATGCTGATGCGCATTAGAATTTGAGAGCCATGGGCTTAACACATGGAAATACTTAGCATAACACCTGGGACATAGGAAGTGCTCAGTAAGTGTCAGTAGCTTATTATTATTGTTGTTACTAGCCAGGGCACTCATCACTCTGAGACTCTTCGGTGAGGAAGTTCAGCCCAGCTGCAGAGGCGAAAGGATGGAGTGCTATTCTTGTGCTTAATTGACCATCTGAATTTTCCAAGGACTGGTCTGTCTTGTCTTGTCCACTGCAGAATTGACAACCCCCAGAGCAGTGCTCAGAACATAGTGTAGACTTAGCAGTTACTCACTGTGTGAAAATGACATCTCACTCTGTCTCATCTGTCAGTCTGGCCCTGAGAAGAGGAGGGATGTTAGGAGCTGAGGAGTTGACTTCAGCTCCTGCTGGAAGCACCCCACATCTAGGGAGCATTCTTTGCTCACCTAGGACTTGATTTCATACTCTCTTGTTTCTGTTAGTCAAATAGAGTGTGGTGTATCGGGGTGGGTGGGTAGGAGGTTACCAGGCCCCTGTGTTTATATTACAGTGTATTAATAAGAAAAAGACAATTTCAAGAGAAAAATGAAGAAAAGCCTTGTACATTACTTGAAAATGAATAGCCACATGGCCAATACATATGAAAAGGTGCTCACATCATTAGTCTAAAGGAAAATGTCTGTTAAAACCACAGTGGGATGCCACTACACACTCACCAGGAAGACCAAAGTAAAGGAGATGAAAAATACTGGGTGCTGAGGAAGATGTGGAACAACTGAACTCTTCTATACAGCCGCTGTGATAACACATGGATAAAGCCACTTTGGACAACAGTTTGGAAATATTACCAAAGTATATCCTATGGTCCAATATTTCTACTCCTAGATGTAATACACCAATAGAAGTGTGTCCGCATGATTCTCTGAAAGACAGGTGCTAGAATATTCATAGAAGCGCTATATTTAATAGCACCAAACTGGAAACTACCTGAATAAACGTGTCTGTCAAGAGTAGAATAGAAAAATCAAAAGTGGCATATTCACACAAAAGAATACTACACAGCAGTGAGAATTAATGACCTGCAATTACACTCAACAACATGAAAGAATCACATAAACACACTCGAGCAAAAGAAGCCAGGCATGAAGAATATGTATACATTGTTTGATTCCATTTATATAAAGTTCAGTAACAGACAAAACGAATCTGTGGCATTAGACGGCAGATGGTGGCTCCCCCGGGAGCGTAGTAACTGGAAGGCAGCACAAGGGGGCTTTTTTTTTTTTTTAGACGAAGTCTCGATCTATCACCAGGCTGGAGTGCAGTGGTGCGATCTTGGCTCACTGCAACCTCTGCCTCCCGGGTTCAAGCGGTTCTCCTGACAAGTAGCTGGGATTACAGGCACGCGCCACCACAACCATCTAATTTTTGTATTTTTAGTAGAGATGGGGTTTCACCATGTTGGCCAGGATGATCTCAATCTGACCCTGTGATCTGCCCACCTTGGCCTCACAAAGTGCTGGGATTACAGGCATGAGCCACTGCGCCCGGCCGAGGGGGCTTCTAAGGTGCTGGTAAGGTATGTTCTTATCTTAAGAAGTGCTAGTTACTCTGATGTGTTCAGTTTGTAAACTTTCACTGAGATGAATGCTTCTGATGTGTGCGCTTCTCGGTGTGATTACTTCAACAAAAGATTTAAAAATCTTGGCCAAGTGCAGTGGCTCACACCTATAATCCTAGCACTTTGAGAGGCTGAGGCAGGAGAATTGCTTGAGGCCAGGAGTTTGAGATCAGCCTGGGCAACATAGTGAGATTTTGTCTCTACAAAAAAATTAAAAAATTAGCCAGGCATGGTGGTACATGCCTGTAGTCCTAGCTACTAGGGAGGCTGAGGTGTGAGGATTGCTTGAACCCAAGAATTCAAGACTGCAGTGAGCTATAATTGTGCCAATTCATTATAGTATGGGTGACAGAACGAGACCCTGTCTGTTAAAAAAATAAAATCTAAGTGATCATGGAATATCAGGCGCTTCATGCCTCCTACTCCTCCTGAGGAGGCAGCCTTGTGGGAGGGAAAGAAGTCCATGATCCAAGACCTAGATCCCGAGCCCAGGACCTTTAAGCATTCCAAATCTCAGTGCCTATATCAGTCGATTTTGCACTGCTATAAAGGAATACTTGAGATTGGATAATTTGTAAAGAAAAAGAGATTTATTTGGCTCATAGTTCTGCAGGCTGTACAAGAAGCATGGCACTGGCATCTCCTTCTGGTGTGGGTTTCAGGGAGCTTCCAATCATAATGGAAGGAGAAGGGGAGCCAGCGTGTCACATCACAAGAGATGGAGCAAGAGAGAGGGGTGGAGGTGCCAGGCTCTTTTAAATAGCCAGCTCTCCCATGAACTAGTAGAACTCACTCATTACTGTGGGGAGGGCATCAAGTCATTCATGAAGAATCTGTCCCCATGACTAAAACGCCTCCCACTAAGCCCCACCTCTTAACATTAGGGATCACATTTCAACAGAAATTTGGAGGGGACAAATATCCAAAGTATATCAATGTCCTTATCAATAGATGACAAGGAAACTTAGACCCAAGAGAAGGGAATCTTCCAAGGTTGTATAGGCAGTGTTTGGGAGAATCTTGGCCACATGGAATGAGGTAGTCAAGGCCCTGCCCAAATGCTTTTAGAGTGATGGGATGATGTCTGCAGAGGTGCTGTGTGCTCGATGGGCATGGTAAAGCTCTGCAGACTGCCATTGCCAGCATTCTCTGGGCCAGAGATACATCTAAGTGGATTTCTCCATAACCTCCCAACGCTACACTCATTCTTTCCAGTGATGCGCTCTTGTTCTTTCTTGAAAGTGATTACAATCCCTAAATGAACACACAAAAATAAACCTCTTCATTAACTAGGGAAAAAATCCACCACCTGAGTGGAACGTGAACCATAATGCAGTAGAAGCACAGCAGCATATGCTGAACTAATTACCCCTGTCTCCACAGATGGATTTGCTCAGCACAGTGGTTGCGCTATGGGGTGGGGTGGCTGGAAGCTGCCTTATTTAGGACAGCATTTCCAAAGGGTGTTCTCCAAAACACTAGTCCCATGAGATGTTAACAGGTGCTGGGAAGTGACAATTCCATGCTCAAATACATTTTGGGAACTACAAGGTTGAATGTTATAAGATGTGTCCTTTGCTGCAGGACTTCTCAGAGATTTTAATATACTAGTGGGCATAATGAATCACCAAGACAGACATCAAGTAGGTAGCATTTTTAAAAAGTTACTTGATTGCTCAACCCTTTTTGATTTACAGAGCACATCGTGAAAAATGTTCTCTGAAACTCACAGTGAGAAGTATTAGCATGGACCCAACCTTGGTCCAAGAGCGAAGGGATCTGGCTTGAAGATTGAGCTCTGTTAACAATCAGCAGGAGGGAGACCTTGGACAAGTCCTTCTCTCTAAGCCTCAGTTAACTGGAAAAAAGGGACTCGAAGAAAAGGAAGAATATGGATTTGCCAGAGGGAGACAATGGTATTCTAACCATTATCTTACCACTTTTTTTCCTTTTTTAATACCATGGTGTTAGGCAATGAGACAAATTTATATATGGGGCAGACACTATTGATAATCTGCCCCATCTAATGGCTGTTACCTTCATTTCTTGCTAAGAGAATCCTGATTTTCTCATTTGGTAATGATCCCAATGACATGGTAAATCTCTTTCGGCTTTCTTTTGTTTACGAATCAGTTGTGGCCAGTAAGATGTCTAAGGGGAAGTTCCCTGGGGATGTCTAAGAAAGGCTTTCTTCTCTGGTAAGACAGAACCACTCAAGGAGAAACGCTCTTTTTTCCTGCCTCCCTTCCTGATAAAAAAGTGGTTATGTAAGGATATGATAGTTAGAGCTGTGGAAGCATCATTTGATCATAAGACAATAAGGATGAAAACCAGGAAGCTGAGGACTCATAGAGGAAGGAAGGAGAGTCTGGGTCTTTGATAACATCATGGACCTGCTGACCTAATAGTTGAACTGCCTAACTCTGACTTCTTGTGAAGTAAACTATAAGTGTCCTCATGGTTTTAGTCACTGTTAGTTTGACTTGCTGTTACTTGCACTCACACAGAAACTTACTGATAATATTTGTGTCTGTTTTTATCTTTCACTATTCAATTTTCTTATTTGTAAGGGATCCTCAGTTATAAGGTGCATCATTTCCAGTTGATTTATTAATAAGTTAGGAGGCTCTGATACAATAAGATACTAAAGCTTAAAATCTCAGTGACTTAACACTATAATAGTTTATTCTTCACTCCACCATAGTCCAGTATGGGTTGGATAACCCTATTCCAACTAGTAATAGTGTTGTCTGGAACACATGGTATATTAGTCAAGTTAAGCTAAGCTAGGTTGCAGTAATGAACTCTGAAATTTCAGTAGCTTAATACATAAATGTTTCTTTTTGGTTCATTTAAAGTCTGTTCTTGGTCTATTGGCTCTCCAGAGAAGTCCTCTTCCAACTAATGACTCAGGGATCCAGGATGCATCTTATAGATACAGACTCTAGAACAGGTGACTTCCTGGTGGCTGAAGCAAGAAAGGAGGGAGCTGATGGTCATGCACCAACTCATGTCACTGAAATGTTTTCTAGAACAAAAACCCTAAGAGTAAACTCATTTTTTATTTAATTCGTTCAATAACTCAAAACAGGTGCTATTTTTTATCTTCCACATTTCACAGATTGGGACACTGACGCCTAGAAATTTGACTTGTCTAAGGCCACAGTCAGCATATTCTGAATCAGATTTCAAACCCAAGTTTATGCTCCTAATACTCATGAAGCCATGTTCAGCCCCAGAGGGGTGAATAATAGCCCTGCTCCTTGCACCTGCCCAGGCTTGAGCCCAGGAGTCCTCTCTGTAGCCTGGAGGTGAGGCAGCTAATGTCTACCCTCCAGAGAAGCGCTTGGCATGTCCAGGCAGTTGCCCTTGCCCACACGGTGCCCACTTCTTCCCATGTGGTTCTCACCCTATCTGGAGGGACTTTGCACCCCAGGAACTTGCTAGAGACTGGAAGTCCCTTGGTGCTTTTGGTATTTTTAGTGCACGTTGAGCTAATGGTGTGAGCAGCAGAACATAACAGTGTGTTTCTGCTTAAGGCAGTGATAATGGAGGCTGATAAGTCAGAACAAGGAGTGATTTCTTTATGAGCCAGCATATTAGGGCTTAGCTGTAAAACTGCCCTTTTCTTTAATGGGCAGCAGCAAGTAAAAAAGCTCCTGACCACAGGTTTATTAAATGTTGTGGACTTAGATAAGATGATTTAAAGTTCATGCTTCTGTTCCTGATCTGCCTATCACCAAGAAGCTTCAACAAGGACTTATGCCATCTCAGCAATTTGCCTGCATTTGAATAAGACAAATGGGCAATTTCTCGAGGTCTAAGGACTGGAGGGGAACAAATGAGCCTTAAAACAGCATTGGAAAGGCACTGCCATTCCCTTCCAGGGAGGGTCAGAGAAACACTGAACGCTGCTGATTGGCACATGTCCCCAAAGAACACAGTGCATTTAGTCAGGTATGCATGTGCGTGGCGATGAAGAGTTGGGTGTGGGAGCACCATACATGTGGGACATGTGCAGGGAATGGCATGTGTCCTAGTGGGAACCTGGAAGGTTGAGAGTACAGGTCGCAGAGACACACTAGAATCTGGGCTTTACTATTTACAGTTGGAACCCCCTAATGGGCTTCCTCATCTGTGAAATGGAGATAACAATAACAATGGCACCTATCTTAAAGGGTTCTCGTGAGAGTTAAAGGAAGTTAACACTTACCTTGCCTTTCATATGTTGCCTAACATATTGTAAGCACTTATGATGATGGCTACTTTCATTTCATGTGTTTCTTGTATTTATTTATATGAGCTCCTGTTTGGAATGCGTATGTATGTGTTAATCTGAGTCTGTGTTCAGTTGTGTGTGTGCATAAGGGCAACCACCTGAAAGTGTGCATGAAACCTTAGTGTGATTAAAGACAGGGAACTTCCTGGCTGTTGGGGACTCATCCCTTCCCAGGTGGAATGTGACACCCACACCTTCTAGTGCAAGAGCTCTCCTGGAGCTAGGTAGTGATACAAAGTCCTCCCATTGCTGCAGAGGCCTCCTTTACCTGGGCCTTTATAGGGGAGGACAGGTGGGTAACTGGATGGCCACATTTCAGAGGCAGAGAATGAAAGTTTTGCCTGTCAGTATAATGAAACTCATAGGGTTTAATGAAAATCCAAGGGGCCAGGTATAACTCTGGCTGATTTTTCTCACTATAATTCCTAGACATCAACAAAATAGGTGGGTTTGCTAAATCATCTGACTGCAGGGCCTCTGCTAGCACTCTCTGTCATCAATGTTCTTTGGAGACTGGGGCTTTAGGAAGGGAGAGTCAGTCAAGCATAATGCTGCTGGAATTGCCATGTGCTGCCCGCTACTGGCTGCCATGTTTGGCTTAAGGCCTTATGAGAAAGTTGCCAATTCATCCCCAGTGCTGGGATTCAGGGGGGTAGCTGCTGGTGGTTTTGCCACAAAACTGAGTCTTTAATCAGTGAGATGGCTTCATCAGAGCCTGGTCTCAGCCTTTCTCCATTTGGGTTAATGTTGAGTTGCCATGGGGTAGCTTTATGGGGGGAACCGGCAGCAACATTTTCTTCCAGTCTCAGTAACTTACCTGGCAGAGGCAGTGTCAGGAGTGTGGGGACCCCAATCTCATATCTGCTACTGCATTTCTATGCCTGGCTGAACACTGCCTCAGAGCCATCCAGCCACAGGCTCTCCCATCAGTCCAGCTGTCTTCATCCTGTACCCCCGGGAGTGACACACTGACCACCTGTGAGGACATCTCCCAGCAGTGGGGGTGGAGGACCACACATCCTCTCTGGGCCCCTTTGTGACTGATAACCTATTTGCGAGAAGAGATAGAGAGCTGGGGAGGCCATGGTGAAGGGTGATGTCAGCTGAGCCACTGAGGACCCTAGAAGCTTGATACAATGGAAGAGACCTGGCCTGGAGGTTAAGAGCTGTTTCTTTATCTGCAAATTGAAGGCTAGAGCCAGGGAACATCGACTTTGGAGACACAAAATTCATCCAGAGAACTTGTTACAGGTAGCTTTCTAGCCCCCAGACACTGATGTTCTAATTCAGAAGGTGTACAGATGGGCTTGGGTGATGTTCTAATTCAGAAGGTGTACGGATGGGCTTGGGTACTCCATCTTTGTCAAGCATCCCAGGTGATAATGAGGAAGGTGGCCCTCCCAGCTTTTACATTCAGGGGCCTTCAGCCTTTGGTTCGCCAGAACATAAGGGCCGTCTCGGGGATGTGAGGTGTGGCGGTGGTTCTTACTGTGCTACTGGAGACCAATAATGTCACATGCCCCACCTGCTCCCGGACCCTGGCACCGTGGTTTATGAGTAGTTCTCTGCCCCTTTCTTTCCTCCTGCAGAGAGTATATCATAGTGAGGAAATACATTTCTATTCACCCAGATATTTAGGGAAAAATGTTGGCATAATCTTAATTATCTTTTTCTCACAATCTATATCCACGCCGTGGCAAATCTTGCCTTTCGAGTCTGTTGCTTACACAGCAGCCAGTGAGATCTTTTTAAAGCATGTAATTCTCCAGGGTGCATATGATTATCATTTCCACTTTATAGAAGCGGAGCCTGAGAGAGTAAGTGACTCGCCCAAGGCCAAACAATGAGGTCAGCCATAGGACCAGGACTGGACTCCTAGCATGATGCTCATCTCACCACCAATCACCTCCTGTTCTTGCTATTGAAGGCAGAAAATGGAGGTGAAATATTAAGAACCTAGTGCGGCCATTTTCAAATGTGTGCACTAGAACCTCTGTAGAAGAGACAGTTGGCACAGAGGGGGCCTTTTTATGGTCTCGCATCTCTAATAATCTCTGCCTAGCACAGCATATGCTTCTAGTCATATTGCTGTAGAGAAGAACAGTGACAGGAAGGCGAGGTAAACAGTCATTATAGTAACTAAGCTGGCAACCTCTGATGGGCATAGTTCTGTTCCCAGAGATTCCACCTCCAGTGTGTTTGAAAGAAGCTTGAATGCCACCAGGAGGTGGAGGATGCTTTGGGAATGGGGTCCTTCCACCTTCCCTACACCCTCTCCGTCTGGTGAGGGATAAAGATTCTACACTTGATGAGCACATATCTGCACAGGTGATCGTTTGGAAACCGGAACCGAGTGAGCAGCAAGTTGCAGGAAGGTGAGGCTGCTTGTCCAAAAGGCTAGGCACAACACATTTCTGCAGTCCCATTTGACACTCCTAGAAAGATGAGGCCTATCTGCTGTAGAGGTCATGGCCTCTACAGCATTTGCCCTGACAACCAGATGGTCCTGTCCTTCCCCTGACCTCTTCCTTCCTTCCTTGAAAGTGATGTGATACCTGGAGCTACAGAAACCATCTTGTGACCATGATACTCCAAGCACAAGGAAGAAAGCCAGCTTTTGGAGGGTGGTGGAATGGAATGGTAGGAAAGGCCGAGGTCTCTGGCATCACTGAGTGATAAATCAATACCAACAACACCTACCTCCAGATTACTTGTTACCAAAGAACAATAACCATCTTTTAATTTAAATTATCTGATTGGGTTTCCTGCTAATTGCAGTTGAATGCATTCCTAATGATATGAGCTTCAGAACTGGGCTTTGCTGTTGAGTGATGTTCTAACTTTATAACTATGCATGTTGGATACTGTGAGGTCTTTAGGAGGATAGGAGGTGGGGGAAGTTGAGAAGGAAGGGCTTCCAGAAACCCCATCCTGATGGTCAACTGAGAAGTCTCACTTTTATTTTTTTTTATACGTTAGAAATGAGGTTCCCTGGTGTTGGTTGTGCCCCACCTTAAAGGTAATTAATGTTTGCAGAGCTCTTAATCAGTTAAACAACTTTGCTACCATTTGAGTTGGGGAAGAATGTTATTTTCCCCATTTTCAAGGAAACTGGCTCAGAGAAGTGAAGTGTCTTAGCTAAAGTAACACAGCTGTTGGGTGGCAGGGATGGGGTTCAAATTACAGGTTTTCTAATTTCAAATCCTCTGGAGGTGACAGCTCCACCCTTGTGGAGACCCCAAAGATCCCGCATTTAGGGAGCCCCTGGTCAGATAGGAACAAAATAATCTGAAAGGCAGAGACTCAGGCCCAACTTTTGAGGAGTGCAGGGACTTCTGAAAGAATTAAAGGACCCAACAAATCCCTGAGAGAGGAAAGGATGCCAAAAGAGGAAATGTATGTGTCTGTGGCAGCCCTATGCAGCCTTATGCAGAACGCGACAGGCAGATGTGGGACAGTAACCCCTGACAGTCGCCTGAACAGGGCATGCTGGGCCAGTTTCTGAAAGAGGAAAGAAAATGGAGAACAGCATTCTGGGGGTGGAAAGAGGGCTAAGAATAAAGGTTTCTGGCCAATAAGAGTTCCAGAGAAGCTCACCCTTGGCGGGCCACCTGCTCAGGCTGCAAAGTTCTGCTACATTTGGGTCTGTCTGCATCCTCAAAGCTCTTCTTCCTGGTGTGTGGACTGCCCATTCATCTCCAGAGCCAGCCTAGCCTCAGGCTCAGTAGGGCGAATACAAGGACAAGTGCCAAGTCACCTGTGTCCCTCACAGCTGCACAGCCGGCTCCAGCTGGCTGCAGAGGACACTTTGGCAGAGAACTGAACTCTAAGCTCCCCCATCAGTTGGGTGCTCTTTGAAGATGGGACCTCCGCCTCTCCCATCAGAATGGAAGCTCCTTGGGAGCAGGAGCTCTGTCACCCCCATTAGACGGGAGGCTCTTGAAAGTCAGGGGTTATAATTCTGTCAGATGGGGAGTTCTCTGAGGAGAAGGGCTGCATCTCCCCCATCAGATCAAGGGTTCTCTGATCACAGAGATTGTTTTTCTGTCAGCCTTAGGGATAAAGAAATAAGACAAACAGTACCCTCTGTGGGTGGAAGAGGTGGCTGTGTTAGTCTGGGCTCTGCACTGCTTCCACCAGGCTATGGTTAAGGGACTAGTTACCAGCAGACTGTTTTTTTGCTCAAGTCTTCTTTTCTAAAATGGCCTTAGAAAAATTCAACACTTTTGTCTTACCTTCCTCACACCCACCCCGAGTTTCTTGGTGAGACAGATGGGAACATCACCCTCAGTTTCATGCTCTGATTGGTCTTTAGAGCTCAGAGGAGATTCTCTCTGCCTACTCAGCAGCTCAGGCTACTGCCGGTAGGAATGAAAGCCATGGGACAGCCCAGGTTCTGCCACAGGGTTTCTGGGTAATGTAGTTCCTTACCTTCTTCCTGCTCCTGTTGGAAGGAAATGGCTTCAAATCTTAAAGTAGCTTTTGTGAGGGGGATCCCTTCAGAAGGGAAGGGAGTAATAGTATAATTGGAGTTACAGAAACAGTGGTTTTCTTTTTTATAGATTGACACAGTTTAGAGATTTTCAGAAAGGGCAGGTTGCTCTGATACAGACCTGCAACCTGCAATTGCAATGGTGTGTTTTTTTTGTTTGTTTTTTGTTTCTGAGACTGGGTCTTGCTCTGTCACCCAGGCTGAAGTACAGTGATGTGATCATAGCTCACTGCAGCTTCGACTTCCTGGGCTCAAGTGATCCTCCCACTTCAGCCTCCCAAGTAGCTGGGACTACAGGTCCATGCCACCATGTCCAGCTAATTAAAAAAAATTTTTCTTTTGTAAAGACGGGGTCACTATGTTGCCCAGGCTGGTCTTGAACTCCTAGGCTCAAGTGATCCTCCTGCTTTGCCCCCCAAAGTGCTGGGATTAAAGGCATGAGCCACTGGGCCTGGTTGCAGTGCTGTTTTTGATAAGATCCTGCCCCCTCTCTCCTGATGGAAGTTGCTATTTCCCCACGATTAAGGGTGGGGCTGAGGCTGGGTGGGCCAGTGGGATTTGGTAACTGAGAAGTGCTTCTGCTTCCTGTGGAGATCCCATAGTGGGCACCACAGTGCTTTGTTTCCAAGTATTGATCCAGGCTGGTGGTTATTCATTCACAATGAAGCTTTACCAGTCCACAAGGAAATGAGAAAATAAGAAAAATGTAACTTGTTTGTTGTAAAGGTAAACATATTTAATTTAAAGGACTGTCCTTTGGTTCGATTTTTTTACTTTTTAATATAAAAATGTGATAGAGACATGGGAGAGGGCCCAGCAGGGAAGGAGAGGGAAGAGGTTGCCCCATGTGGTGGGTCTCAACATGATTGCTTATGTGTTGGGATATTCATAAATGCAATATTCATAAGTGCAGATATACTGTGAGCTATCTGCAAATTCTGAATTGTCTATGCTGAAGTAAGGGAGAAGTAGAGATTATATAGAGAATTGTTCAATACTGGAGGTGAAGCAAGGAAGGAAAATAAAATTTATTGAGGACGAATTTGGAAAAGATAATTGACTTGCCCAAGGTCACCCTGATAGTTAACATCAGAACTGGGACTAGAATCTGTGTCTCCTAATGCCCAGCCTGGAGGATACTGGATTATAGTAATAATGATTATGTTAATAGTGAACATCCATTGAGCTCATGCTAAGCACTTCACAAGCAGTATCTCTCTCGTCTCATGACAGCCCGCTGAGTAAGCTCAGGGATTAGACTATTTACAGATGGATGGTTCAAAGATGACTTCATTTCAATTCAAGACACATCCACTGAGCCCCCATTAGGTCCCATTCCAGGTGCTGTACTAGGGTTGGGACATGGGAACATTAATAAGAGGGGGTTTCTGCCCTGAACCAGCTCAGTGGGGAAACATGTGCAATGAAATGATTTCAGTGAAATGTGCTGAGTCTCATGAGCAATTTTTATATGGGAGTATGTTGGGGCAGGTTGCCAGATTTCAGGGTAGGGGGAATTTGTAGAGAGAGTGGCTTGTGGAAGGCTTCCTGGAGGAGCTGATCCATGTCTTCTACAGGGAGGGGAGCCTGCCAGGTGAGGAAGGGTGAGGGTGGAGATGGGAGGTACTTTGGGCAGAAAGCCTGGCAAAGGCCCCAGGCCTGACAACAGCATGGCGTGCTGTTGCAGGGCTGGTGGAAGGTAGTGAGAGAGGTGGGAAGAGGTTACATGCATGGTTGTTGTAAAGGTAAACATATTTAATTTAAAGGACTGTCCTTTGGTTCGATTCTTTTTTCACTTTTTAATATAAAAATGTGATAGAGACATGGGAGAGGGCCCAGCAGGCCCTGCCCCTGCCCTAAACCATTGGGCCAAAGGACAGTGACATATGGCATCCACTGGAAGTTTTTAAACAGGAAGTGGTATGATCCCATTTATAAATTATAATGCGCTCCCTGGGAGCTAAATAATACGTAGAAGGAAGGGGCTTTCCAGTTCTAGACCAGAAGTGGTGAGATTTGAGCTGGGATCATGGCAGTGAAGAAGAGGGATGGGTTCAGCAATATTTGGGAAATGGAGTGACAGGACCAGGGGACTGGCTGTGTGTGGGGGCGAGAGGGAGGGGGGTGGTGTTAGAGAGCAGGAGGTTCCTCATTTGGATAGCCAGATGGGTGGTGAACTGAACTGAGATGGGGACTCTATAGGAGGTCTCGTGGGTGTGTGGATTTCAGGCTCAGGGTGGGGCAAGCTGAATCTCAGTGGCTAATGGCACTGTCACCCATCACCTTCTCCCTGTGATTTGTGTAAATCCCAACTCTGCCTCCATCTCTGCAGTGAAGCGTGTGGGTGAGAGAAGGGGCAGATGGCTGGTCGTGTCTCATGGGACTTGGTGAGCCCATAAACAGTATAGTCCATGAGGAATTACCTGAGACTTGGGTACTTAGGAAAAATGAAAAGGTGTGCCCTGCCTCTGCCCTAAACCATTGGCCCAAAGGACAGTGAAAGGACACATGACCTCCCTCTCCCTGTGTGCACAGAGTCTCAGTAACGGCCCTTCATAGAGGACATGTTTCCTGGACTCTTTTCCCACATTTCTGCCTGGGAGACAGCACAGAAGTGCCTCATCTCACCAATGGGTCATCATTTTGGGGCATTTATCACTCTCCTGTGATGACTCAGAATGATGCTTCAAATAATTATCATTACATGTCATTCATTTGTTCTCTCCTGCAAAGGCCTTGCTCATTGTTGTCCTTGGTGTTGTGCTAGACAAAAGACAGATTCCTAAGACAGACCTCGCCCTCAAGGAGCTCACAGATGATCAGGGGAGACAGGGGACTCATGGCCTCTCAAATAAGGTGAGCAATGCTTCTGTAAAGGAACCTTTGGATCTGCACCCCATGGGTGTTCTTTGTGTGGAGGAGCCTTGGGGATTGCTTAAGGGCACAGGCTCTGGAACTGCATGGCTGTGGTTGAATCCTTGTTCCTCTCCATTTATGAGCTGCATGACTATGGGCAAGTCACTTAACCTCTCTGGGCCTCCATTTTCTATCTATGAAATGAAGATAATGATGGCACTCATCTCCTCGGGTTGTTATGAGAATTAAACAAGGTAATACTTGAAAAGTGCCTGGCACAGAGTGAGCATTCCTCAGTGTTAGCTCTTACTACTTTTATCATTATCCTCATCTTCATCACAAACTCAGAAGGAGTCTTCAGGGGAGGAGTTGCCACAGAGGAGAAGCTTCATAAGGCATATGACATTTGAATTGGGCAGGAAAGGTGACATTTTGCCAAGGGGAATAATCAGGAGAAGGAAAGCTGGAGCAACAGCATAGGCGAGGAAGTATGGCAATGCAAGGCACACCCAGTATAACAGCCAGGCCTCTGAGGTCTCTGGAGTGCAGAGAATGTGGGAGAGACAGGACCCTGGGAGGCAGGTTGGGGCCAGCTTGGGAAAGTCAAATTAAGCAATCTGAACTTTACTCCCCAGGAAAAAGTGGTCCTGAAAGAGTTTAAGAGAGGTGACATGATGAGCTTTGCCTTGGGAAGAATTATGGGGCAGGAGGCTGCTCAGAGGGGCCACATGAAAGATGGCCAGGGTTTGAGCTAAGGCAGTGGCTGTGTGCAGGCATTTAGACACTGTGAAACTTCAGGGACAGAGGGGAAACTGGACCGCTGTCCCTGTTAATAACCAGAAACGTGTTAGAAGCATGAGGTGAGATGATTGGGCTTCCAGCTGCCTTAAGCAAAGGCCTCTAGGCAGATGGAACCAGAGCCATGGGGTCCCCCCACCCAACGTTATCCACTTTAGAGCCACCCCTCCGCCTGCCATTGGTGAGCTGTGGCCCTAGCCTCACCCGGGAGCAGCACCGTGGTGATGGCTCTGCACTGGGGGACAGGGCATAGATGTCACTTCAAGAGTGATGGGTTTTGGAAGCTTGGTTTCCAGGTCTGACTGGGCAACTCACACCTAGCCGTGTGAGCCTACCAAGTCTCTCTGAGCCTTGGTTCCCCTCTTTTGTAATACGAGGACAATAGTAGCTACTTCAGAGGCTTATTATAAGGATTTAACGTCATAATGAATAAAAGTGCCTAGCTTAGGGCCTGGTGCCTAGGACTTCTCAGTAACGGTAAGTGTTGGTTGTTATTATATCCCCAGCAGCACTGACCTTGTGTTCCCCTCATCCCACCCATCCCCAACCCACACGGTTGAGAGCTCCCTCTGTCCTAGCCTTTCCTCATCATATCGTGTAAAGATCCGGAACTCCAAGACAGATTTCTGGCTGGCACAGGGGAGAGGTTTCTTCCAACCCTTGCACCAATCCAGATTCCTTTTCCATTTAATCCTCTTATTTTATTGAGATATGTGATGACCTGCACTTTACTGTTTAGGGTGTCTCATTATCCAAATGGAGTCAAAAGAGTGGCCACACTGGAATCTTTGAAGTTTTTCTTGGAGACAGAGGGATGACAAAATGCCCCAAGGTGCCCGGCCCCTCAGCCTTTGCCTAAGTGTCTCAGTGCCCTTCTCTCTTGCCTGCTGGCTTTTAGCCTGGACCTAGAAACAGATTCTGCTGCATAAGGTGAGAAAGCCACTGCTGTGTATTGCCCCCATGTTTATTTCTAATCAGCTTATGGCACCGGGGAGGCCGTGGCTGGATGCTCTGCATCCCTGCAGCCCATCTCCTGCTGCTGCACAGATCCTCTGAGATGATTGAAATGTGATGTGTGGGCTTAGGAAGGAGAGAGGGAAAATAGCGACTCAGACCACAGCAGTTGTCCTGGTTCATTGCCTATGCTTCCCACCCTCCACCGGGCACCCTCCCATGCTAGGCTGCCAAACTAGACATAACCCTTCCACCCAGCCCATACTTGGGAACAAAGCCAAGTGTCTTCTTTTCTTCTCATTCTCACCTCACTCCAGCAAAGCTGGGTTGCAGGGAAGCAACTAGGGGCTCAGAACACTGGGAAGGGGAAATGGTGCAAAGGCCTTACTTCTCATGAAGCTGTCTCCAGATTCACACCACATGATGCCAGGAGGAAGCTCCATGTGGGAACCACAGCCAAAGCCCCAGCTAGAATTCTGTCAGGCAGCTTTGTGTAGATCCTTGTGCCTTGTAACTCTCTTTCTCTTCTGGTCAGCAGCCCTGGCTGAGGCCCCTACCCAGGAGATATGCCATGGAAGTTGGAAGCCTGTGTGGGCAGAGACCTTTGGATGGTTTACCCCGTATTACTTGTACTTAATAAAGTAATGGAAAGGGGGAATCTACAGGGTAAGGATAAAAGAGCGAAGGTTATTTTCTTGGGGAAGGGAGGTTTAAAAGACTGAGAAAATCAAAGTAGATTTGGGCGGCTGGAAGAATAGGCAAGAGACTTAGCTACAAAGTTTATTCATTCATTCTGTTACTCACTCACTCATTCAAGTGTTCGTTGGATACTTACTGTGTCCAGGTAGTTTAGGAGTACGATGGGGTTCCATGGTAAGCCAGCAGACACAGCCTTTGCCCTCATGGAACACTCAGATCAGAAGGGAGTAGACACAAGCAAACCAGCCCTTACAATTCAGGATGAATAGGGATGCCTTAGGGGAAGGACAGGGAGCTGATGATAGAGAAGGCCCATGCCAGTTAGGAAAAACCAGGAAAACAAAAATCACATAGTGTATTTATAACTGAAGTGACTTAATGCTGGAAATTGGCTCACAGGTGATGGAGGGGGCCGGTTGTCTTAGAAATTAACAACTCCAGGAAGCAGTTACTGTATCTCAGCTAGAGCCACAAGGATAGGAAGCAGTGTAACGAGATCATAGAGTCCCCTAGTGGAAAGTAGAGCCACAGTGGTTGTGTCCAGTGGGAGCCTGGATGAGACACTGCTGCTGATATCCCCTGAGGCAGAGAAAGAGGAAAGAAATATCCTTTCTTTTCCTTTTCTCCTACCGCTGCCTCTTGTCTGCCAGTGCCTGCCACCGGCTGAACCCAGCCAGGAGCCCTGTGACAGAGGAGGCTGGGAATTGCCACCTATAGGGGTCAGCCAGGCCCTCCCCACCCCCCACAGCACAGAGCGGACCAGGGAGAGTGCAAAATGAATCTGAGGGACAAGAGGCTCAATCTAGACTTGGGCCCGGGGGATGGAGGCTGGATGGGAATGGTGGGGAGATGGGCGCTGGTGCTTAAGAGAGCATGTTTGCTGCAGGAAGTTGGAAGAGTTATTTTATGAAGCATGAAGAATTAAGGCTGGGGTCCAGGGGAAATGAGGTGAGAGAGAAGGCTTGGAGGGAAGTAGGAGGAATGTCATGAGGGTCCTTGAAAGCAAGTCAGGAAGATTGGACATTAATGCAAAAGCCATGGGGAGCCACTGACTGTCATTAAGCAGTGAGGTGATCAGATCTGGGTTTCAGGAAGACCATTGCAGCTGTAGGGATAGATATGGGCAAGGGAGGAAGGGACATTAAAGGCAACAGATGAGTAAGGAGACTACTGCAGTAATCTCCACAAGCGAGGATGATGGAGGTAGAGAGACTGGGAGAGGTGCATGCGTTTGGGGAGTATTTAGGAGGGAGAGCTGGTGAGTGATTGGTTAAGGAGGGGGCGGGGGAGGGAGGAGGGATGACTCCCATGACTGTGGCTTGGACAATTGAGCCAATGCAAACACTTTTTGATAAGACAGAAAGCACACAGTGAAGAGCATTTGGAGGACATACGTGTCGATCCGAGTGTTAGGTGCTCGTGAGACATTCTTGGCAGCAATATATCTGTGGTTTTTTTTTTTTCCTAGACATGCCTGTGTTTATCTACAGAGTCTCTTTGAGGAAGCCTTCCACATCAGCTCAGTACTCCAAGAGCATGCCTTCTGTAGGCTAGGCCAGCATGCTTTCTTCCTCAGGTGTCATGTTCTTCTGTCCCTTCCCATTTTAACCCCCTGTCCAACCTCAGCCTTTGCTGTGACCCCTGGCCTCTAAGGAAGCAGTATTCAGGCTGTTTCTTCCCAGTCCCATTTTTCATCCAGACTGAGTCATACCCAGACCCAGGAGCTCTACTTTTAATCTTCTGTGTGAGCTGGGATGCTGAAAGTTTTGGAAAATGCCCTTTTCTTACTTTGTCTCTCATCAATCATTGTTTAGCAATTTACTCTAATCTGTGCAAGCCAGAATCACATAGCATAGACTAAGAGTGGGCAAGAGTCCACACATGGAACAACTGCACACATGCAGTGAAGAGGCACTGCATCACAGACGGGGAGAAGCTAAAGCAGGATGCTTCTCTTCTCTGAGCCTATTTCTTTTTCACTTTTCAAATGTGTATATTAGACTCAGCAACCTGATAGTCACTCCCTAATTTTTTTGTAGTCTGTAGAACCTGGTTTTGTCCTGGAAGCAATGAGCTCAGCCTCACAAGATGAGCCATGATTGACCATGGCAATACCACTCTCTTTTTTACCAATGGGTGATTTACCGATAGTTGTGGACATGTAACTCAGTTTTAGCAGGAGGGGTATGTATTAGTTTTCTAGGGCTGCCATAACAAAGTAGCACAACCTGGGTGACTTAAAACAACAGAAATGTATTCTCTCAGGTATAGAGGCTAGAAGTGTAAAAACGGTGTCCGTGAGGCCATTCTTTCTTGGAGGCTTTAAGGGAGAATCTGTCCTATCTCTTTCTCTTAGCTTCTGGTGTCTCTGGCAATCCTTGGCAGTTCTTGGCTTGCTGCTGCAGAACTCCAGCCTCTGCCTCTTTGTCATGTGGTGTTCTCCCTGTGTTTCTCTGTCTTCACATGGCCATCTCCTCTCTGTGTCTCTCTCTTCTTCTTATAAGGACACCAGTCATATTGGATTAGGGACCCACCCTACACCAGTATGGCTTCCTCTTAACTCCTCATTATATCTGTGATGAATGATCCTATTTCCAAATAACATCACATTGTGAGGCACTTCCACATTTCCTTTTGGGGGACAAAATCCCACCCATAATAGAACATGAGAGTGTTTGGGAAAAGCTTTCCTCCCTGTTAAGGAGCATCATCAAAGAGAGCCCACCACTCTGCCTCCTGTGTTTGCCCCATGGTGCGAGGATCTGATACTGAGAGAGGTGGCTCTCACAGTGGTTGGCAGCAAAGGACAATGGAAAAGTAACAATGCTGAACCATTACCTCAAAATTACAACTTCCTATCTCTGTATTGTTTATTAAGTGGGATAAATGTGCAGAAGTCACCTTTTATTCAGGATTCTATTACTGTCTTAGTTCATTTTTGCAGATATAACAAAATACACTGAGGCTCAGTAATTCATAAAGAACAGACATTTATTTTCTCAGAATTCTGGAGGAATTCTGTGGGAAGTCCAAGATCAAGGCACTGGCAGGTGTGGGTGTCTGGTGAGGACTGCTCTCTGTTTCCAAGATGGCACTTTTTTTGCTATATCCTCTGGAGGGGAAGGACACTGGTCTTCACATGGCAGAAGGGACTGAAAGGGTGGAAATGGATGAACTCCCTCCATCAAGCTCTTGTATAAATATACCTAATCCCATTCATAAGGGTAGAGCCCTTGTGATCCGATCATCTCCTAAAGGCCACACCTCTTAATACTGTTGCACTGGGGATAAAGTTCTAACATAAATTTTGGAGTGAACACCATCATTTCAACCATAGCAGTTACTCATGGTCAAACATATCATAACTCATCTAGTGACCCCCAATTTCCCTGCTCAGTGTTTAGGGAAATGTAAGAATCACAGGATTTAAGAGCTGGATGAGATATTGAGAGTCATCTAATCCAAATTCTTTACTAAATGAATGAAGAAACTGAGGCTCAAGAGGGGAAGGGACTCACTTAGGGCCATGGCACAGATTAGGGTCACAGGCTGGACCCACACTAGGCTCTCCAAACTTCTAATCTCCCGTCATGTTTTTCTGGCTTCCTGTACTCTTTCTGTAAGGAACAGAGGGTGCTATTTGAAAGGAGGTCTCACTGGGTGGGCTGCTGCTGAGCCGTCAGAGGGAAGGAAATGAGTGGTGGGACAGGAGATAAGAAGAATTACAAGGGGAGTGTGCAGGAGCTTGCCATGCTGCAGAGCCGTGTTCAGCCTCAGGGACACACATTTATTCTAATCACATGCTCTGTGCAGGACTTGCTGCTCTGAATTATGCACCTCGAAAGGGCCTTTCATCTCACCGAGGTTTTGACGCCAGCCTGCATCAAATAGCCTCCAGAGCAATTCAGGGCAAGGAGGTAGGAGGAAGGTAAATGGAAACACCTGGGACTTTCCCTTTCCCGAGGACTCTGCCTGCCCTACTTCCTTCCTTCCACCAGTGCTGGTATGGTGGGGCAGCATGGCTAGCAGAGAGGAAGGCAGAGATTCACCTTTCACCTCCATCAAGAAGGGACTCAGATAATTGTGTACCTGGCAGCTTTCCAAGAATGTAGAGAAATCTAACTTCACGACCTTAATTGAATTAAGATCTGGTAATTTTTTTTTTAAACCTAGAACTCTAGTGTGCTGGATAAAAGGCACCAGAGGCATCTCCCAGTCTAGGCTGCTCATTTTACAGGAGTGGAAACCAAGGCCCCAGGAGGGTTTGAAAAGACATACCCTAGAGGCAGAAGTAGAATCAGAACCCCAAACATCAGCGTCTCCACCTTGCCCACTTTCATCTAAAGCAGAGCTGCCTCTTGGATGTTTGAGCCCTGTGGTCAGCAGCTTCTGACATAGGCCTCTAATTTCACCTCCTGGTATCCATGCCCTTGTGTAAACCCCTCCCTTAAGGGTGAGAAGAACCTAGAGAATGGCTTGCTTCTAACTAATAGAATATGACAAAAGTGATGGGGTGTTAATTCCATGATTTGGTTACAAAATAATTATGACTTTCTTCTTGTTTGCATTCTCTCACTCTTCCTGGGTCTTTATGAACTTGCTATGATGAAGTGAGCTATTAGGGCCCATGAGGGAAGAAGCTGAGGGCCACCACCAGACAATGGGCAGCAAGGAGCTGAGGCCCTCAGTCCAACAGCCATGAAAAAACAGAATCCTGCCAATAACCACAGAGTGAACTTGGAATCAGGTCCTTTCTCAATTGAGCCTTCAGATGAGACCACAGCCCTGGCTAACATCTTGATTACATACTGTGAGAGACCATGAGCAGAAGACCAGGTTAAGCTGGGCTTGCATTCCTGACCTACAACAACTGTAGGAAAATAAATGTGTGTTGTTTTAAGTTGCTGAATTTTGTTATGTAGCAGTAATAGCAATATCCAAATTTTAGGATAATATTTAGGATGCCTACCACATTCTAGTTTCAGGTATGATCCCCCTATGGATTTACAGGAGTTTGTAGTTTGATGAGCTAAGATATAGCATGTGAAATGATAATAACTAACATTTTCCTGAGTGTTTCCTCTGTTCCAGGATGGTGCTAAACTTTTAGATGTACTATATATATTTTTAATTTTCTTAATTCTCACAACAACCCTATGAGGCCTCTTATTATCCCCTGTAATACAGGTGAGAAGACAGAGGTGCAGAGAGGCGAATAACCTGCCCAGGTTCAAACAGTTAGCAAGTGGTAGAAGGACTTGAACCCAGGTAGTCTGGCTTCAGAGGGAAACAAGACCACATTCATTTATTTAAAAGGCACTTAAATGTTTCCTATGTGCTTACTGTTGTTAGTTTCTGGGCATATAAATATATACACCTGTTTTGAAGGGGTTAGTGGTTCTGCCTTTTGCTAGCAGTAATCTTGTGCAATATACTTAAACTTGGTTTTCTCATATGTAAAGGGAATAAGGAGGACTATAACCTACATATGGTTGTAATGAGATTAAATGAGTTAATGTTTATAAAGAACATGTAATAGTGCCTGCTACATAGTAAATATTATATGTCTGTTAAATAAAAATAAATAAGTGGCAATGTCAGCAGAAAGGTACAAAAGCCTGTGGAAACTGCAGGGACCCCATCTGTTCAGGGTGCAGTGGGAGCTCAGGGGAAGTAATGTCCTTCACCTCCCAACTTTTGTGCATGTATTTTTAAGTTCTGGGCTAAGTGATGGGCTTTCCATGCAACCTGTGGCTTTTTGAAATATTTCTTATTCCTTCATTAAGATAATTAGTAGTTCTAAGGTCATCCTTCTTCTTTTTATTTTATTTTTTTCTTTTTATTTTATTATTATTATACTTTAAGTTTTAGGGTATATGTGCACAATGTTCAGGTTAGTTACATATGTATACATGTGCCATGCTGGTGTGCTGCACCCATTAACTTGTCATTTAGCATTAGGTATATCTCCTAATGCTATCCCTCCCCCCTTCCCCCACCCCACAACAGTCCCCAGAGTGTGATGTTCCCCTTCCTGTGTCCATGTGTTCTCATTGTTCAATTCCCACCTATGAGTGAGAACATTGGTGTTTGGTTTTTTGTCCTTGCGATAGTTTACTGAGAATAATGATTTCCAATTTCATCCATGTCCCTACAAAGGACATGAACTCATCATTTTTTATGGCTGCACAGTATTCCTTGGCGTATATACAAAAATTAATTCAAGATGGATTAAAGACTTAAACGTTAGAGGTCATCATTCTTCTGTGGAAATGCCCAATTCTCTTTACTGGTGTACAATTTTTTAGCCTAAGCTTCTCAGGATAACGAACGTTTGAAAACAACCTCTTCAAAGTTCCCAGGTCCACTTACTTGCACCTCCTCTGGCTCTCCATTTTGGCGATACGCAAATGCTCAGAAGTCACAGAGCTCACTCCCTAGGTGCCCATCCCTCCCACCTTTCTGATACATTCGTCTCTTTTGGTAAGAAAAACAGTACCTCTTGCTACTTTGCCCCAAATCCATGAGATTAAATTATTATCAATAGAAGAAATGTAAAGACTGAAAATGCTTAATGAACTACAAGTGCCAAAATGTACCCCACAGATAATGAGAACTGTTAATGGCAGGTCGAGGGGATCAGTGCAGAAAGATTTGGTTGAATACTTCAAGGAGGGGCTGAGGTTTCAGCCAGGCATTAAAGAGCAGTGACAATGGGGAGAATGGAGAGGACAGGGGATTGCCATGTAGGGAGCAGCAAGCATAGCACAGGTGGCATAAAGAGGTTCGTAGATGTTACTAGTGTTTATCTATACCCAGCTTTTCTCTATTTTGGGGCACTTGAGAGAAGTACTTCCCCCACTCCCACACTTGCTATCATGTGGGGTGATATGAGTACATGTGGCCAACAGGTTCCAATTGGAAGTGATGTGTGTCACCTACAGGCTGAAGCATTTGATTGGCAGTGCAATTTCTTCAGTGCTTTTTTCTGCAGCCATGACCACCATGGAAGTGTGGGCTGAGAGGAAGGATCAAGGACATTGAGCCATCATGTGGAGAATAGCTGCCCTGGAAAGTTGTTGAACCCACAGTGGACTTTGGGTGAGTGATGAATCAATCTTTGTCTTTAAGACACTGAAATCTTGGTGGTTCTTGTTCTTGCAGATTACCTAGCCTTCCCTGATGTCTGTGGAAAAATGTGTGTTGAGTATTGGGACATGAGGTTGGATTAGCTAAGGAGTAGCAGAGGCAGCCTCATGTGGGACACAAGAATCATCTGAAGGGACTTCAAACCACCACAAAAAGTCAAATTCAGTTGTGTAGGGTTCAGGCATGAATATTTTTTAAGCTGTTTAGGTGATCCCAAAATGTCACCAGGTTTAAGAGCCATAGACATACCTATTTTTACCCTTTAACTGGTTTATTTTCTAAGCCCTATTTTTAAGGCTGAAAAAGGAGAATATTGTAGGATTGATAGGGCCTGCAATGGTCTGAATGTGTCCCTCCCAAATTCATATATTGAAATCTAATCCCCAGTGTCATAGTATTAAGAGGGGTTTCTTTAGGGGATGATTAGATCAGAAGGGCTCTGCCCTCATGAATGGGGTGAGTGCCCTCATAAAAAAAGGCCTGAGGGAGCTTGTTTACCCCTTCCAACCATGTGAGGACAGGTAGAAGATGCCGTCTGTGGAGCGGAGAGCCAGCCCTCACCAGACACTGAATCTGCTCACACTTTGATCTTGGACTACCTGGCCTCTAGATCTGTGAGCAATAAACTTCTCTTGTTTATAAACGAACTATCCAATCTTAGGTATTTTGTTATAGCAGCACGAAAGGACTAAGACAGGGCCCAAAGCTGACATTTCACATGATGTATGTGAAAGGGCTTTATAAACTGTAAAAGGCAGAACAAAAGAAAAGCAATTTGCTTCTTGATTATATTGAAAGCCTAGATTGTCAGGAGGTCATACTTGACCCAGTGGATTTTTCACTTTGAGAATGTCTGTGGTTCCTGTTTCTAGGCTGGAGTCAGCTTCTCTGGATGCTGCTCTGTCATGGTTGGGCAGGACCAGCTGTGAGATTCTCATTACCTCTCACTAGGACTGTGGCAAGAGCACCCAGCTGGTCTCCCTCCTCTGACGCTGCTTTGATATATTATCCACTGATTGGTTAACAACATGGCACCTATTGTCCTCCAGGTAGCAAAGACTTGACAGCGTCTTCCTTTCATGAACGAACACATTCATTTTAATTTTAATCACAGTTTTATATATATTTAAGTCAAATAGATTTCGAATGTAAAAGGCCAGTGCCCAGCTGCAACCTTCCCGTCCAGAATTCTCCTCCTCAGGAGCAACCCTTCCACTCTTAGCTCCTTCCCCTGGTATTCATTTCCATGTTATTGGCACTTTCTTGATTTTTTACTTTCAGACTTTATCTGATGATTGCCTACCATGGCATTTGAGCTTTTAGCATTCTTATATCAGTCCTCCTATCATGCCTCTGACAACATAAGTGTGCTTCCCAAGAGTCTCCCAATATGGCTTTATCACAATTTTTGTGATTAAAAAAGTTAGTATTTAATGTTCACTTTAGCATTTATGATTACATAAATACTGTTTAGAAAAGAGCCATAGATGATAACATTTTCTTTTTTGGACTATTTTTAATTCCATAGAGTTAATAATTATCTCTGTTTTGTTTATGTCTTCCTTTACTCACATTTTAGACTTTTGAGAGAGATCAGAGCTAAAAAATGAATGTGTTCCATTTGCCACGTTCAGCTGAAAACTATAGCATCATTTTCCATCATTTTCCACTATGTGAAAGTGTAATACTTACAAATGAGTCCTTAAGATTTTCCCTGAAACTTTAGAAGGAGTATTCTAGATGTCTTTTCCAGCTTTTCACCCTTCTCTTCTAGCTAAGGTTAGATAGAAATATAATCTAAGATTTATAAAAGTCTAATATAAGATTAATAGAAATCTTTTCCCTGTTGCACACAGAAAAATGTGTCTTCAGAGTCTAGGGGAATAGGTTCTGTGTTTCTTTCTTTAGAATAGGAGCCTCCTGAGGGAAGGAGTTTTATCTCTTAACAGGCTGGGGATCCCTGAGTTTGGGACTGTGTGTCCCCTCAGACTGGGGCTCCCTGAGGAAAAGGCTGTGTCTCCCCTCAGACTGGGGCCCCCTGAGGATGGGGCTGTGTCTTCCCTCAGACTGGGGCTCCCTGAGGACAGAGCTGCATCTCCCTCAGACTGAGGACCCCTGAAGACGGGGCTGTGTCTCCCTCAGACTGGGGCTCCCTGAGGACAGGGTTGCGTCTCCCTATAGCTGCCCAAGGGGTTCACCTTGCCCAGACAGAACCAATTTATCAAGACAAGGGAATTGCAATGGAAAAAGAGTAATTCACTCAGAGCCGGCTGTGCGGCAGGCCAGAATTATATTATTACTCAAATAAGTCTCCCCTAGCATTCAGGGATCAGAGTCTTTAAAGATAATTTGGTGGGTAGGGGCTTGGAAGGCGGGGAGTGCTGATTGGTCAGGTTAGAGATAGAATCATAAGGGGTTGAAATGAAGTTTTATTGCTGTCTTCTGTTCCTGGGTGGGATGGCAGAACTGGTTGTCAACTGATTCATTGAGTGCGGGGTCTGTAAAGTATCTCAAGCACTGATCTTAGGTTTTACAATAGCAGTGTTATCCCCAGGAGCAATTTGGGGAGGTTCAGACTCTTGGAGCCAGAGGCTGAAGGACCCCTAAATTATAATTTCTAATCTTGTAGCTAATTTGTTAGTTCTGCAAAAGTGGTCCCCAGGCAAGAAGGGGGTCTTTTCTGGAAAGGGCTGTTTTCAATTTTGTTTCAGAGTCAAACCATGAACTAAACTCCTTCCCAAAGTTAGTTCAGCCTACGCCCAGGGATGAACAAGGGCAGCTTAAAGGCTAGAAGCAAGATGGAGTCAGTTAGGCGTGATTTCTTTCACTGTCATAATTTCCTCAGTTATAATTTTGCAAAGGTTTTTTCATTCCCTCAGACTGGGGCTTCCTTAGGATGGGGCTGTGCCTCCCCTCAGGCTGGGGCTCCCTGAGGACGGGGTTGCATCTCCCCTCAAACTGGGGCTCTCTGAGGATGGGAGTGTGTCTCCCCTTGGACTGGGGCTCCATAGATTGGAGCTGGTGGACAAGAAATATAAACAGGGAGGAGACAGTCCCACAGACTGTGGTAGAAATCAGGTAGACTGGGAGACTGTGGGAGTCTGTGGGTCTGTCTCCTCCCTATTTATATTTCTTGTCCACCAGCCCCACCTCAGTATCTAGGAAGGGGTCTTCATGTGGGAGCTGTAGTGATGTCACAGGTCAGGGAGGCTTAATCGACCTAGCCTGGTTCTGAGATCCCCCAGGAGCTCTTCAGGCTCCAGGAGCTGCTTCCCTCCCTGATTCTTCTGCTGATGACCTTGGGTCTCAAAAAAACAAAGAACAGAAACTCCTCCGAGACACTTGAAGGGCTCTGTCAGGTCAGTGGCCCCTGCCGAGCATCTGTCCTGGTCTCTATGCCTTCAGAAGATATTAGCTCTCAGGCCCTGCTTGGTTCCAAGGATGGCCTTCCCCTCTCTTTTTCTTTGCATATAGCTTTTCTTTCCTTTTGAGGTTGTCTGTGGAGAAAGACTGTGGATGGCATGAATAATAGATTATTAATTTGGAACCTCTCCAGTGAGTAAGACTTGCCACCAGTGAAGACGCATGTTATGTAACCAGCAAATTGCGTTGGCATCAGAGGCAGCATGTCTGCCAGAGAGCATAAGATCAGAGATGTGAGAGAAGCAGGAAGGGAGGCCCCCTTGCAGGAGGCCGGCTCTTAGCTGGTTATTTTCAGCTGCCTTCTCCCGTTTAAGCCTTACAGTGACCAGTGAGGAGGCACTGAAACCTCCCTGTGGAGACAGGATAGGCCGGTCGCAGCAGGAGCTGACTGATGCTGAGGCCTGCTGAGTTCTCAGCACCCGGACCCTGATATTTTCCCATCGTGGTAAACTGATTGGGCCTGTGCCACAGAAAACCTGACAGAAAGGTCTCCTAAAGGAAACTTGAAAACAGAACCCAGGCCTAGGGACCATCCTCTCTGGAGGCAGAAGCCCCAGCCATCCCCTGGGGTGACACTGAGTTTTTCTAGTGAGGCCCTTGGAGGCTGACCTGTGGCCAGAAACAGATGGCCCAGTGTGTTCATCCTATCTCTAGCATTGATGCCTGGTGGTGCCTCAGGGAGGGAGTCTCAGGCCACCTCACTTTACAGGGCACTGGAGGTAGGGAGTGTGTTGGTTGACAAAACTTCTGAGATGGGCTTCTCAGAGGCAGGGGTCTGGCTTGTGGCAGTTATGAAATTGCACCTCCCAGATCTTCTGCAGGGAGCATAACTGCCTGACAGCCCCAGCTGCTGAGCTCTGAACCCACTGCCATGTTGGAGCTAAGGCCATGCTTCTCCCCGGCTGCTTCCAGCCACTGACTGAATGGGACAATGGCTAGAAACTTAAGGCAGACCCATTCCTGCCAGATGGGGAAGGGGAGACTTTGGCTTTGGTTTAACTCTCTCCCCCGACAACTCACACTGGCCTTACCCCACTAGTCTAACTTTCTTCAAACTGCATTGAGACTAAGATTTTTTTCACTCAATCTTCCTTCCTTCCCACTCTCCTCTACAGGAGTCAGACCAGCACTGTAATTTGACAGTTCTCCCAGCGTCTTCCAGCCTTTTCCCTATTTTTACTCACAGGCATATCTTCTGTCTTGTATTCCTGGCATATATTTCTCGGGGGGACATAGACTAATCCTGTCCCTTATTCTCCAACCCCTGGATCAGGCAGAGATGCTCACTGTCTAGGCATTGTCCAAGATGGAGGTGACTGGCAGCAAACGTGTGTTTATAACTCATGATGATCATAACTTGATTGCCAGGTCCCTGTCCTAAAGAATGCAAAGACCCTGAGGCTGGAGTGGGTCTGACCCATGGAATTAAGGCAAAGAGTCATAGTAGCTGAGTTCAGAGATTTGAAGGGGCCAGATCCTGTAGGGTCTTGTGGCAATCCTGGGACATCATTCTCAGCCTAAAGCACAGTAGTCTTTCCTGGAGGCCAGGACTCAGCCTTTTCATGGTTTTCTTCTTATTGCTCCTCCTTCTTGCCCATCAGAAGCAGGATTTAGCCCTTGTTGGTTAATTTCTCCAAGGCTGTAACACCAGAAGTGGCTTGTTTCCTCCTAAGACCCCTTCCGATGCTTCTTAATGAGCATTGCCCAACTGCTCTATCCTAGAAGAGAAGGAAGTATAATGGCCATTAGAGTTCCAGACCAGGAGTCCAAACTCAGAATTCATAGCCCTGCTTGCCCATTGATTAGCCCTGGAACCTTGGACAAGTTAATTAGCCTCTTGAAGCCTTAGTTTCCACATCTGTACAAAGGTGATGCTAATAATGGTAGTGATAGTAGCTAACACTAATTGAATGCCTACTCTGTGCTAAGCACTGTTCTGAGTGCTTTACATGTATTATGCAATCCAGGTCTATGTTATTCTCTCTTATATTCTTGGCATCTGTTTCTCAAAGGACATAGACTAAGCTAGTCCCTTATTCTTTAACCCTGGATCAGGTAGAAACACCCACTGTCTAGGTGTTGTCCAAGGTGGAAGTGACTGGTGGCAAGGTGTGTTTATAACACATCATGGTCATAACTTGATTGCCCTGGCTCCCTGTCCTAAAGAATGCAAAGACCCTGAGGCTGAAGTGGGTCTGGCCCATGAAATTAAGGCAAATCTATTATTATTCCCATTTGTACAGATGGAGCAATCAAGGTACAGAGAAATTTAAAAACTTCCCCAAGATCACAAGCTGGCGAGGAGCAAAAGTGAGCTCCAGATCCAGGTGGTCTTGCTTCTTACCCTTCCGCTGCCTTGCCTTTGAATGCCCATCTTACAGAGCTGTTGGGAGAACCCTATGAGATAATTCAGCATTCTTTAGGAAATTTATCTAGCCCTGACAGACATGTGAGTTCTGAGTCCTGGGTCCTCTATGACAGTGTGTGTGTCTGGAGCACTTCATTCTTTCATTTGTCCATTTAGCAGACAGTTACTGGGGACCCCTTTGTGCCAGAGAGTGTGACAGGTGCTGAGATATGGCAGTGAGCAGGCCAGTCTTGTCCGTGTCTGCCCAAACCTTATAGCCCAGAGGGGAAGATAGATGCTAAATAGACAATTATGCAGATGATTAATTACGGTTGGGGTCTGTGCTATAAAAAGAGAAGTCATGCAGTGAGAAACTGTGACAAGGTGAACTGCCCTGTGTGGGAGGGAGTGACCCTGAGACTCTGACCCTGCCAGTCTTGGTAGTACGACCCTTGTCTGAGCGGGGAGACACTCCCTGGCCTCAGGGAGAGTCTAGTCTCACCCCACCCAGTCTGAGAGGGGAGAGCTAGCCTGTGCTGATCTGATGGAGGATGTACAGCCTCATTATCTAGTCTGATGAGGGAGATCAAGCCCAAGTGCCTGCTTATATAATAAAAGAAGAGATATGCAGGGGCCTAGTTCTGAGAGTACAGCTGAGGTCAGTGAATAGGACACCAGACAAAGCAGAGACCATGGTCAAAGCTGAAGCAGCTTTGGAAGATAGGCTAGGGTTGGCATTTTTGGGTTCTATTCAGAGAGGGCTGAGCATACCCTTAGGGGGTCTGTTTGCAGTGATCTGATGGTAAGGAGGGCACAGGCAGAGGTTGAAGGGAGAGCGGGTAATGAATTTAAGTGACCCAGCCCAGCACCTGGCCCAGGTGGGTGCTAAATAAATGATAGTTGTTATTGAGTGAGGATCATGCTGTCAGTAAATAACACAGAGAAGCATCAGAGCCATTAACTGTCCTGACCGCTCCATTATCAAAGGTCCCATTGCAGGAGCTTCCAGAAAGATTTATCTTCATTTCGGTAGCCGGCTTTTCAGAGTTGGAAATTAAAGTGAAACTGAGGTGCACAACCCGGGGCTATAGCAAGGGACTTTGCGTGGAAATGGGCACTTATTTGGAGTATTAAAAGGAAAAGCTAAGGCTAGCTCAGCCACTGGCTGCACAGAAAAGGGATTTTTTTTTTTTTAAAGAGAAGTAGTTGGAGAAAAATTTCTAATGAATCCTATCCAACCATAAAATCATGTAGAAAATGAATCCTATCTGACAATAAAATAAAAGTGAAACAAATTACTAGGTTCTCATATTTGTAGGACAAATTAATTTCATGTTTAGAATACTAATTGCTTGCTGAGGGTCTGCAACTGCGTGCTGCCTGAATTTAGCACAAGCCTTCAAGTTTGGAGGGCTGCAGAGGGGGTCGCGGGCGGGGGTGGGGGTGCAGGCCTGGCCCTGAGTCCTCCACTTGGACCCTGCCTTTGTCATATCTCTCTCCAGTGCCCATGGCTCAGTGGGCTCACGTTGCTTGGCCTCAGAATGGGGCTCTCTGAGGGCAGGGCTGTGTTTTCCCCTCAGGCTAGGGCCCCCTGATGCAGGGCTGTGTCTTCTTTGCTTGGGCTGAGGATTCCCTGAGGATGAAGAGTCTTTAGGAAAGCTACAGACTGTCTTCAGAAAAATGAACAGAAAGACAACATATCCTTTTGGGGATCCACAGACCCTGCACCATGCCTTCTTGGCTCTTTGGGAGATGGAGGCTAGAAAGCTGGAGTATAGAGATGATATAGGTGCGAATGTGCTGTGCAAATTGGAAACTGAAGGGCATGATGTTTCTTTTCCTCTTACATTTTTCACTTTTTATGCCTCATGCTGGGAAATGTGAGTTCATTCCCAGTTATCCTCAAGCAAATGATTGCATTTGTGAATTATCCGGTAGAAAAAAAAGAAACAAAAGAAAAATGCAGAGAGTCTGCCCACTGTCTGTGAAACTCCTGGGTCACCTGTTCCAACTTGAGTGGTGCCTATTCAGAAGATGCTTGGCTCTTTTCCTAACAGCCCAAGGTGATAACTGCCATGATACCTTTTATCAGTCTCCTTGTGTGGGTCAGCACCATACCCACAGCTCTTCACACACCCTAATCCTCATGCCTTCTGGAGATAATAGGGTTTATTATGCCCATTTTACAAATGAGGCAAACAAGGCTCAAAATGTTTAGTAACTTGCACAAGATTGCACAGCAACTAAGAGTTTGAAATGAGAATTGGATCCAAATCTGTTGAGTTCTCCCTCTCCCACGCTTCCATGTGCTCTGCACCATAAGTGAGGTCAATCTTTCCCACCCCACTCCCCCAAAAATGTAGTCATATTTTTCAAAGATCTCTCTGTCTCTTTCTCACACACACACACACACACACACACACACACACACGCGCCGGCAGAGGATTGAGGACTAGGTACGTGCATTTTCCTTTAACGTCTGTATGCTCTCTATGCCACAGTTTCTGGTTCCAGGTCTGCCTCCAAGCACGTAGCTAGGTTGGCCAGGGAGGTGGCCTGGCTCAGACACTCTCCTTATGCCCTGTAAGCTCTGAGTGAGCACCTGCTATGTGCCTGGCATCCTGCCAGGTGCTGGGCACATATGTGAACCTGGTCTTCCTGGGCATCTGAGAAGTATATTATTGCGGACAATATCTTCTGTGTGATGTTGCCCCTTAATTCTTGTCTGTAGGGCTTGTCCTGATTGATCTCGGTTAGGTCATAGGCCAGCTGTGTGGCTTTGTGTCAACCTCTCTCTGAGTTCAGTCTTCTAAGACATTTGGACTAACCCAGTGGTTTTGAAGGCCTTCTAGGTCTGACACGCTGCGATCTGCGCACCTCTCTGTCTTAGGATGAATGGTTCTAAGGAACCATCTTGTCCTGTCCACCCCTATGCCTCCCACAACTGTCATTCTCTGATGACCTTTGCACCCTAGCAATGCTGAGGACATGTGTCTGTCTCAGGGAGATAGACTAGAGACCAAGGCTGTATGCAGGTGCTATGGTCTTGGGTTGTTCCTTTAGGCCAGGGACTGTTCATTTCCAGCGTTGGCCCCAGTGCCTTACACAGTGCTTGGCACGTTGCTCATGTATAACAAACAGTTGATGAATGAGTAAATAAATGGATGAATGAATGAATGAATGCATATGATCAGGACTCACAGCTCCTCTAGAGACTCTACTCCAAGTCTGATTTCTTTTACTACCTTGACCTGATTTCTCATTCCAACCCCCTAATCTGAAAAACAACAGCCTCCCCTTCTGGCGTGTGTCCTGTTGTGTTGGCTGTTGAAAACATTTTACCAATAATAACATTCTGCCCCCATTTTCACGCCACAAGCAGGTTCCATTTCTCCCCACTTTTTGCCACTGTCATCTAAAAAGAATACTTTCCCCATCACCACACTTTGATCCCATTATCTCCACTCCTTCTATAGTTCTTGCATTTCCTAATTAAGAAGGAGAGTTCTCAGGTAGGGAGAAAGGGTCTTTAGGAGAAGGGTGCTCTGGCATCTTGCTTCCACTTAGGGACTTAGAAGGAAAGGGATACCTGAGCAGGTGTATCAGATGAGTCCTCCAGAGGACAGCCCACTGAGCTTTCCCCTGAGCCAGTGCTATAGCAGGATTACCTTCCATTAGTATGGTATCTCATATACAGAACAGGACCCGCATTACTTTACCTTAAATAATTAACTGCTGAGAGGACAGAGTGCTGGAAAGGAGCTTGGGCTGCAGCTGAGTGTTTCATGTTTTAATTAAAGCCTCTCTGATAAATGTTTACCAGTTGCTTCTGATTCTTCCTGGGAAAGAAATAATAAACAGAGAAAGAAGGTAGGATGATGGGAAGAAGAAGAAGGCGGGGGGAGAAAGGGATGGAGAGAAGGAGAAAGGAAGGAAGAGGGAGAGAAGGAGGAACACGTAGTCAGAAGGAGATAGAAGAGGAACATGAAAGAAACAACTCTTCAGGCTCCAAACAAGCGTAGCCAAGCCCCCTAGAATACTCATACACGCTCTCGGGCCCTTTCTTCCCTCTGAGCTGTGGAGCAGTAAACTAGAGTTTGAAAACAGGAATCTCTTTTACACCCTGCTGTGTGTTCCTGTGTTACTAATTCCTGTCTTTCCTGGCCTGCCCACATCTACTTGAGGCTTCATTCTCCAGTCTCTTGTCTCCCGTCCCTTACTGCCCTCCAAGACTCACTCCAACCAGTCACCAACACTCTCACCCCCAAGTCTGCAGGGCTCATGGGCAGACCACCTGGGGTGGCCTTCCTGGGGCAGGGACTGTAGTTTTTTCCCCTTGGGCATCTCCTTGTCTTAAAGACCCGGTTCTCAGAGTCTTCTGAAGTGCTGGTCCACAAGTGACAGATTGTGGCCACTGAAATTAACATGAGACTACTATAACGGGTTGGATGAGAAGGTTTAGATCCAAAGTGGATTTGGATGGGGAAGGGGTTTCAATCTGGGAGCAGGAGTCTAAGCTGCCTTTTTGTGACTCTTCTTCGGGAGTTCAGCCATCAGCTCTGTTCAGGGCAGCTGACTGTTACTCTCCAGCCAGTTTGTGTGAGCGTGTGTGATTTGTGTGTGTGTGTATGCGTTCTCAGGTCTAGTGTCAGCATCCCTGCTCTGCCCTCTCTGCTGCCACCCCTCTTTGCTAGCCTTAATTACAACAATTTAGGAGGCATGCTTAAGATGGCAGAATAAACCTATCAATATTTCACTTAAGAACGGATTTCTGTCGGATGATATCAGAGACCTATAAATGAGAAATATGAGACTTGTTCTCAGTAGCCTTAGACACACAGAGACACACACACACAGACACACACAAAGACCTCTGATGAATTATTAACACATGATTTCCTTTCTGTCTCAAACATTGAGAAAAGCTGAGGGCTTTATTCAGCTGCACTCAGAGATGAGCATTTCTATTGAAGCTATTTGCCTAAAACATATTAAAATAAACATGATAAAACTGTGGCTGTGTGTTTCAGGGTTTCCGGTTGGTGAGAAGCCAGGAGATGCTGCTGCTCTGTGTGCCTCCCTCCTCTGGGTTTGTTTGGGGAGGAAGATGCTGGGCCAGGTGTCCTGGATCTGAGCCATTTCCCCCAGTCAAGAAGGCAGGGTCACTGCGGGGCCGAAAAGGCACAGTGCCTACATCTAGGTGGAGAAGGGCCCTTGGGCTCAGGATCCCTCTGGCTCCCCTGCCCTTGTCTTCCTCTGAAGCCCTGTGGATGGAGAGCCACAGGATCTCACTTCTCCACCAGGCTTCATCAACTTCACTGTCTGTAAGTGGGTTGCTGTAAGGAACATGGCTGTGCTTTGGTCAAGGATAGGCCAAGGTAAACATCCAGAGTGACTCAGCAAGTTTAGAGCACAGGTGTGGAACTCCACTTGTTATCACAGCCATGTTGCCATAACGTGGCAAGGCCATCCCTTGGCTCTGTGCCATTATTGTCTGTAGAAGGTGTAACTGCCCTGCTGACGCTGTGCAAGAGGCTCAGTTCGGCACTGTAGGGCATGGCATGGCACGGCTCATGTGCGTGCCCAGAGAGAATAACACTACTAACCCCTGTAAGGGAGAGCCTGTTGCCTTGAAGGCGGGGCAGGGGGGAGCCAGGAACTGGCCTGTGCCCAGATAGAAAGAGTTAAGCTGCAGACCCTGACAGAGCTGGCCTTGCAAGCCAGGGAGTGCAGCTGAAGGTGTGGGAGCAGCAGGAGCCGCAGAGCCGGCTGCTGAGAGGAGGCGCACAGTTGAGACAAGGCGGACAGTGTGAGAGAGCTAGTGCGCATAAGCTGCTGATGAGAGAGCTGCTGGATAAAACTACATTTCATGTGCTTACAGCCCGCGGAGTGTTCTTTCAGCTATCTGCCGGACCACCCACTCCCATTGAACCTCAGCATGGGCTGGAACCTGACCACAAGCAGGACATTTGGTGTCGTTGTGAACGTGACAGCTGCTCATTGCTTTACCTCTTAGTGTTCAAAATAGTGGGTCATAGCAGAACAAACATGGCCTGAGACAGTCGTGAGTTATCGGCTAATTCTGTGGTCCTGGGCAGGTCACAACTTCTCCGAACCTCAGTTTCCCCAATTCCAAATGGGGAACAATTGTGCCTATGCCACTGAGTAATATTATCAATAGTAAATATAAAATCCCCATTCAAGGGAACGTCCACAATAGTCACTTGTATGGTAGTGATGACAGAGGTGATTTCTCAGTGTGGCTGGTTGGGTGCCATGCCTTGAAATTGACTCAGCCAATTTAGTTTGCCCAGAAAGAGGTGAGTAGGTGCTGAACAGTTGGAAAACCTTGGACATATAGGATCAAATAAAAGGGACTGGAAGTATTTAACTTGGAGAAGTTAAATCTCAGTATGATATACTTGCTTTCTTTAAGTAACCTCCTTGAAGAAGGATCAGATGTATTACGTGAAGCCCCAGATGGAGAAGTAGAAATTGTAGGAACAATTTAGATTAACATAAGGAACATTTTAACCAACAGAACTGTGTGAAGATAGAAAGGGCTACTTTGGATGGTGCTGAGTCTCCATCACTGACGATTTTCAAGTGAGGTTGAGGAGCCAGTTGGCAGAGATGCTGTAGAGGTGATTTTGCACTCCCAGCAAGAGACTCTAGGGTTTCATATTACCCTGTCACTGGATCGAAGTGGAGGGGCCTCCATCAGAGCAACAATCTTCTCCTTCTTCATTGCTTCCCTCATGGCCATCCTAGGGAGAAGGTGACTTGTCTGAGTGGAAATTTGGGAGAGGATCTGAGTGTACTCCACTCTGGAGATCTCTCTGCTGACAGAAGGCACGTATTTTCTGCTCCTCTCCACCACAGGGCTGGGACTGCTGACTTCTAGCCCTGCCTGAGACTTAATGAACCTGTCAAATTCAGGAATAAGGTGTTAGCAAGCCCACCTGGCTGAGAGACCCTAATGCCAGATTCTCCACTGTTTCAATAGGCTAAAGGTAATATTTTGGTCTCTGTCTGCCTGACTGCTCAATCCATTTCTTAGAAAGACCTGAACTAGGTGTGGAAAAAGGAGTGTTAGTCACTGACCCTCTGAGATCCCAACATAGTTCAACTTCCCAAGGCTGGAACACATGGTAGTCAATGCCTCTTTGCTTTAAGAATCTATTCCCTGCTGTCTTAGTCCCTGAGTGTTGCTCTAACAGAATACCACAGAGTGGGTAATTTATGACCAATAGAAATTTATTTCTCACAGTTCTGGAGGTTGGGAAGTCCAAGATCAAAGAACCGGTAGGTTGATTGTCTAGTAAGAGTTTGGTTTCTGTTTCCAAGATGGCTCCTTTAACACCGTATCCTCCAGAGAGGAGGAACACTATCCTCACGTGGCAGAAGGTGGAAGGGCAAGAGAGATAAACTCCCTTTGTCAAGTCCTTTTATAAGGGCACCTAATGCCATTCACAAGGGTGAAGCCCTCCTGACTCAACCCCTCCCAAAGGCCACACCTCCCAATAATGTTGCACTGGAGATTAAGTTTCAACTGGAATTTTGTAGAGAACAAAAACATTCAAACCATAGTACCTGCCCTTCTGCACACTACATTTCCCAGCCTTCCTTGCCAACTGACTTCTTGCCAGGGTCAGATAATGAGAGAAATAATGGGAGATTGCAGGGAAGAAAAGGTGAGAAGCTAGAGTATTTCTCCCATTGTCTTCCTGCTTTAATGAGTGTTTTCAAGGTGGCTGAGTACCCAACACAGTTCCAGCTTCTGCCAAACAGACTTGGCATCTGGCTTCTGGAAACAGTACCTCCTATTGTCCCTCCAGCCAGCCCTAAGGGTCACATTGACTTTCTGTTCTTGCTAACAGCTGGTTGCTTTGCTGTCCCTTTTTTGGCTTCTCAGCTCTTCCACCACTTGGGTAACCAATTTCCTATATTAAATTATTACTGTTGGAAATATCTAGAGTGGTTTATGTTTTCATGACTGGGTCAGAACACAGTCTCAATTTGGGGAATTTATGTGACTGATTTCCTGGATGGTAAATATCTCAAAAGGCACCATAGAATTCAAGAGTTCCCTGGGGATCTCTGCAAACCTCAAGCTCCTGAACTCTGTGGCTCTGAGTCCTGAGTGTCTCAAGGAGGGACAAAGTCATGGAGACAGTGGGGGGTATGATTCAGTCTTCCCAGGGCGGGGGGTAACAGCCTTTGCTTCAGGCCCAGGCTTTTCCTGCCCCAAGAAGCCAGTCACAGGGTGCTCCTATAGTAGGGCAAGTATCAACAGTCCATTGGCAGGGGCAGCTTTGACCTGGTTTCAGGGTCCTTTTCCTCAGGCGTTGTGTTAATGACAGACTTCCCTGGAAGCCTCAGTCTTGTGCATCCCAGGTTGTCAGCCCTACCTTCACTCCTGGCTGCTTATTTGCATTCAGCTCCTCAAAACTTCTTGCATCTTGGCTTCTGAGTTCTCTGGTCTAGCCTATCAGCACAGTGTGCCCCTACCCAATGAGTCAGCTTCAGCCGCGGGGCTCCAGGTCCTTTATCTTGTGTCCATCCTTGTCCATAGCTGCATATGACAGGCCTTGTCAGAGACAGGCCTCTTGAGTCTCCCCAGGTGCCTCACAGTTATCAGCACCCATCAGTGAGTGCCTGAAGGCACTGCCAGAAATTCAGTGGCCACCTGCATCTCCTTTCATGGGCCTGGAAATGGGGCAAGTGTGGAGCTGCAGATGTGGAAGTAGGCTCCACAGGAGATCTGTCATACCAGCTTAATTTTGCATTACTGTCTGCCTGTGAGCAACGTGAGAAAGTTGATTTAGAATTTCCTTGCCTGAAGAAAGAAGTAGAATAACCTAATAAACTCTGAGATTATTCCATGAACACTGTGAAAGGATCTTAAGAATTTCAATCTATAAATGAAATTTTTGATAATCGCCACTATTGTCATCCCCATCACTGTGATAGCCACAAATTCTATTACCACCATCCCCACCATCACTCCCACTGCCACCACAACCACCAGCAGTGGCATCACCATCACCATTGTTACCATCATCCTTAACGCACCCCCCCCCATCACTATCACTGCCACTATTAAAGTGATCACTACCGCTATGGCCACTGTCACTGAAATCAACGCTAAAAATACCATCAACCTCAACATCTTACTCATCATCTAATGCCCCCCTTACCCTTCTGGAAGGCTCTGACTGGGCCAAGGACTACAGGATGAGAGCAACATAGGGGCTGTCACTGGAGGCAGTCATACTGACATAGGGAGTACAGCAGCAGAGAAGCAACGTGAAATCAGGACTGAAAGGAACAGACAGGGGCTCTCTCCTTTGCACAGGACATGTCTTTTTTTTTCTGTGATGGAGTTTCACTCTTGTTGCCCAGGCTGGAGTGCAATGGCACTATCTTGGCTCACTGCAACCTCCACCTCCCAGGTTCAAGTGATTCTCCTGCCTCAGACTCCTGAGTAGCTGGTATTACAGGCGCCCGCCACCACTCCTGGCTAATTTTTGTATTTTTAATAGAGATGGGGTTTTGCCATGTTGGCCAGGCTGCTCTCGAACTCCTGACCTCTGATGATCCATCCGCTTCGGCCTCCCAAAGTGTTGGGATTACAGGTATGAGCCACCTGCCTGGCCCTAGGACATGTCTTTGAGTGGGAAGAGCAGTGAATACAGAGGTGGGTGGGGAATACATCACTGAGAAGGGAGCAGACCTCATGCTTGGTATTGGTGGAGGAACACTTGGAGCTACACAGGGAATCAGAGTGGCTGGGAGGCAGGAGATAAAAGGTAAGTTTTATTGGCTGTTGTCCCTCCTTTGAACAGTGCACTAACAGCCCAATTTCCCTGGGCAGGGAAACAATAGGGTGGTGAGGAAGAGAAAAGCAGCCCCTGACATCCACGAGCTGGCCATGGCATTCTCCTGTTGAACATAAACAATTTCATAGCAAAACATCAACATCAGACAAAGCCACCTGTGACAAGAATGGATCAAGGCGGAAACAAATCTATTCCATAATCATGTCTGAACACAGGCAAAACATGAACATTGTCTAAACCTTAAAATACCAACCGGCCCCTCCTCCAGCTAATGTGAGTGACTGCCGCCTCTCTACCGATTGCAGTGTTAGCCTCACTCTAGTCTGTCCTCCCCACAGATCAAACTTATTGAGATACCCAATCACAGACTTGGCCCTGCTTTCTGACAGCACTCAATCCAGGGCAGACGTCTGCTTTCTTGGACTCTCCCCAAGTCAGCTAACCAAAGCCAGATCCTATAATAGCTTCTTCCTAGCTCTAGCCTCTTACTGAGATGTCTCATGAGTCCCCATTTTTCATGTTCTGAATGCATCAAGTAATACACCCAACTTATCTAACTGTAGGTTCCTGGGGGGCTTTGGATGTAAGGCATTGACAGAGGTGTAGGAAGGCGTTACCTCTGGTGTATCAGGAATGGTTAATGTTACCCCAGAGGGGTCTCTCTCTCCTGGGAAGACATAAGGGGTGACCAGAGTATGGTGCAGCTAGGCAGTCTCAGAACCTGTTTTAGGGCCCAGCTTCTCTAGCTGGTCACCCTGCTAAGGGAACAAGCCTGTGGAGGACCCAGGCTTTTTCTCAAGTGCCAGTCGGCAGTGGGGCATTAAATCTCCCTGAACTGCTTGTCGAAATGCAGAATCCTGGACCTCACTCTTGGAGATCTCAAGACAAAAGCCTTGATGTCTATTATTATAACAAGCTCCTCTGGTGGTGCTTATGTTTGAAAACCACAGATTGAGGGGCTTGCCACTCTGAGGGCCTTCATGGTCACCATTTACTCAAGGCTAGGGTTGGCAGAGCTGGACTCTAAATGCTTTCCAGAGATAAATTAAAAACATCCCCCACCCTGGAAGCCATATG